>NT_187600.1:337848-675696 GCF_000001405.40 Homo sapiens | reverse complement strand
TTGGGCTCCTGGGAAACCCAACAGCTTTAGTTAAACTCACAGCTATGTACACCCATAGGCCCCTCAGGAGGTTCTCAGTTTCACTCCTACAGTCTCCCAGGCTGCTCCTTGGGGTCCTAACCTGACCATCTCTACCCTCTCTCCTGAGTCTGGCCATCCATTGAACGTCCCTGCTGCCCTCTAATCTGGATTTGTGTACAGTAGAAGGTTAACTCAGCAGACCTGGATTGTTTAAACCCTGCACATTCCTGAAAAACATTGTTCATTTATGGCTCTCAGTTACCTCCTGATGAGAACTCTGAGCCCTTAAAATGCTATGCCAGATAACAGTGTCTGTGGTTGTCTGCAGCCTTGGGACCTGTAGTACACATTTAATCATAGTGCTTTGTAGTGAATGCCAGCTATTTTTTTTTCCTGGGTAGCGGGGGAGCTGTTGTCTGAGTATTGTGGTCAGTTGAAATGCCTAACCTTGTTTTCACTCTAACTCACTACTTTGAATCTTCCCTGTTTGTCTCTTTAATCACCTAGCCTTGCTTCTCATGTAAGTAAGACTCTCTCTAGCTGGGAAAGCTGGACAAACTCCAATTGACCCCTTAATTTACAAGACACTAAGGGCTCCTCACCCAACCCCCTTCCGTAAGGAGTTAACCTGTGTAAACAGATTCTCAGCATTTCAAAGGAGCCCAGTTAACTGATAAGGTACTAGCACCAACAATGTATGAAGTTCCCAGGATTTTTCTCAAGGAGATAACAACATAAAGCCTTGAGTTCATGCCCGGCATAGCCCCTATATCTAATTATAATGAAAGATTTAGAGCCCTGCACCTGGTACTGTTGCTCTTTTTGTAACCATTTGTCTTTTAAATTGTTTATCTCTCTGTAACCATTTTGCTTCTTTTGATTCTTGCATGTTTTTACTTCCGTAGAATTATTGCACTTGAGTTCCCCTCCCCTTCCTAAACCTAGGTATGAAAGTTAATCAAGCCCCTTCCTCGGGGCCCAGAGAATTTTGAGCATTAGCCGTCTCTTTGGCCGCTGGCTTAATAAAGGACTCTTAATTCGTCTCAAAGTGTGGCGTTTTCTCTAACTCGCCTGGGTACAACATTTTTGGAGGCCGCAGCGAGATATTAACACCACTGGGCGAGAGCCGGTCTCGCTCCGGGCTCCCCCGGAAGGATGGCCAGCTCGGAGGAGGGACACCACCTGAGGAAAGAATTTTCAGGTCTGCAAAGAGTGACCGCCTTCCAGAGGAGAGCGGATCGACCACTGTGTCAGCGCCCTAAAAGTCAACATCTGAGTCCTCAGCTTCTGACCCCGGGGTCAGGTAGGTCGGATGTGACTTCGTTTCCGGTGAGAGGGGAGCGGCCCTGACGAGGGCGCTGAGTCCTCAGCTTCTGACCCCGGGGTCAGGTAGGTCGGATGTGACTTCGTTTCCGGTGAGAGGGGAGCGGCCCTGACGAGGGCACTGAGTCCTCAGCTTCTGACCCCGGGGTCAGGTAGGTCGGATGTGACTTCGTTTCCGGTGAGAGGGGAGCGGCCCTGACGAGGGCGCTGAGTCCTCAGCTTCTGACCCCGGGGTCAGGTAGGTCGGATGTGACTTCGTTTCCGGTGAGAGGGGAGCGGCCCTGACGAGGGCGTCCCTCTTTTGACTCAGCCCATTACTCTAGGATGCTAGTGGGTTGAGCCTTCGTTTTCCGGTAGGCGCCTTCGTATCTTGGTTTGGGTGGGAAGTGGTCCTGACCAGGACCCTCCCTTGACTTAGCTCAAGACCCAGGACGCTGGAGAGCTAAGCCTTGGTTTCTGGCAGACCTCTCTCTCTCTCTTCTATCTTCCATCCTTCTTTTGGAAATCTCCGGGAAAGGGAAAAAAAAAAAACCTGTTATAAACTCTGTGTAAATGGTGTGTGAATGTGGGAGGACAAAGGCTTGCGTTTGTCTTCCAGTTTGTAGCTCCATGGCGAAAGCTACGGAGTTTGAGTGGGCCCTCACCTGCCGTTCTGTGGTGACCTCATAAGGCTTAAGGCAGCATCGGGCATAGCTCGATCCGAGCTGGGGGTTTATACTGGCCTGCCAATGCTAAGAGGAACCCAAGTCCCCTCACGGGGAGTGGCCAGGCAGGCATCTAAATGATCCCATCACGGGACCCCCTTCCCTTGTCTGTCTAATAGAGAAGGTAAAACAGGAAAACTGTCATCATTGTTTACATGCCCTAGGGTCAATTGTTTGTTTTATGTTTATTGTTTTGTTCGGTGTCTATTGTCTTGTTTAATAGTTGTCAAGGTGTTACATGTCAGGACATCGATATAGTCCACGAGGTCTGGGTAAAAATTTCTTCAAGGTCCTTAGTGCTGATTTTTTGTCACAAGAGGTTAAATTTCTAATCAATCATTTAGACTGGCCACCACAGTCTTGTCTTTTCTGTCATAAACAAGTAAGCTGTTGTTACGGAAAAGAGTGTGGAGAACATTCACCTGATTGGAATTTCTGGCACCATGAAGGTTGCGGGTATTTAGATTGTCATACCCCACGTCCTAGTGATTGGTCCCCTTCTAAACTGAACTGGTGGTGGGTTCAAAACAGCCACCCTGCAGACCTTCTTGCTCACCTCTTCTGTCATTCTGTAACTTTTCCTGCGCCCTTAAATAGGACCTTGTGTAAAGAAACCTACGCCCGTCATGCTTTACTTCGTTTAGACTCCTATTCTGTTCCACTGTGGCTACTTTCTCATCTTAAGGACGATCCGAGTGGTCCTTTTCCCCCTCGTCCCTGCCCCTTACCCCGCACATCTCGTTTTCCAGTGCAACAGCAAGTTCAGCGTCTCCAAGACTTCGCTCTGCTCTCACTCCTTGAACCCTTAAAGGAAAAAGCTGAATTTGAACTGTTTGCCTTTGAATCGTGGAGACATAAAAAACACTTAGGATATAGGTCTAGAAGAAGAAGAAGAGGGAGAACGCCTAGATCGAACTGGCCCAGGAGACCTCAGGCTGGCCTCCAATCCCCCTCCCTCAATCTTAAAGCTACAGCAATGTGGCAAGTGGTATTAGCTGTTGTGGTTTTTCTGTTCTTTCTGATCATGTTAATTCTGTTTTTCCGACACTCCAGCCCCCCAGGGAAAGAGTTTCTCTGCCGGTGTTGGATCTGATATCTCTGCTCAAGACTTTGCTAAATTGTCTTTAAATAATAATAATAATAATAAACGGGAAACACCTCCTCCTGGCCCCGTAAGGGTTGGAGCCCTCTCCAGTGTATGCTGGAAAATTTTTCTCTTGGTTTCTCAGAGGACTATGGAGTCCGCCTTAGAAAAGGCAAGGTCTGGACACTCTGTGAACTAGAATGACCAAAGTTTGGAGTCGGATGGCCCTGTGAAGGGTCATTAAATCCTACCATTGTTCAAGCCGTGTGATGGGTTGTTACCGGAACTCCCGGCCACCCTGATCAGTTTCCCTATATCGATCAATGGCTAAGTTTGATTAGGAATCCTCCTCCATGGCTCTGTTCATGTGCCATTCGCAATTCCACCTCCAAAGTCCTCCTGAGCCAGGCCGCGTTTTTGCCTCAACCCTCCGCCAGTTCGGCTCCCCCTGTTTTGCCTCCCTCTGAAGAAGAGGAGAGTCTTCCTCACCCAGTTCCACCGCCTTACCACCAGCCTGCTCCCTTGGCGCCATCCCGTGTCTCTTCGACTGCGTCCCCTGTGGGCTGTGACCGCCCATTGCCTTCCGCTACGACCGCATGGGAGGAAGCAGCCCCTCTACTCCCACTGAGAGAGGCACGAGTCCCGCGGCTGATGAGCGCTCAGCCCCCTTCCTGGTTTATGTCCCTTTTTCTACTTCTGACTTGTATAATTGGAAAACCCATAATCCTCCCTTCTCTGAAAAGCCTCAGGCTTTGACCTCACTGATGGAGTCCGTGCTCCGGACCCATCGACCCACCTGGGATGACTGCCAACAGCTCCTTTTAACTCTGTTTACCTCTGAGGAGAGGGAGCATATCCGAAGAGAGGCCAGAAAGCACTTCCTTGCATCAGCCGGTGGGCCGGAGGAGGAAGCTAGAGACCTCCTGGAGGAGGAGGAAGCTAGAGACCTCCTGGAGGAGGAGGAAGCTAGAGACCTCCTGGAGGAGGAGGAGGTCTTTCCCTCCACCTGGCCTAACTGGGGCCCAGATTCCTCAGGTGGAAGGAGGGCTTTGGACGATTTTCACCAGTATCTCCTCGCGGGTATTAAAGGAGCCGCTTGGAAGCCCATAAACTTGTCTGAGACAACTGAAGTTGTCCGGGGGCCTGATGAGTCACCAGGGGTGTTTTTAGAACCTCTCCAGGAGGCTTATCGAATTCACACACCTTTTGACCTGGCGACTCCCGAGAATAGCCGTGCTCTTAATTTGGCATTTGTGGCTCAGGCAGCCCCAGATATTAGGAGAAAACTCCAAAAACTGGAAGGATTTACTGGGATGAATATCAGTCAGCTTTTAGAAATAGCCCAGAAGGTTTTTGAAAACCGAGAATTTGAAAAACAAAAACAAGCGACACAGGCAGCTGAAAAAGCTGCCGATAAAGCATATAAAAGACAAGCAAAAATCTTGGTAACAGCTATCCAAGAGGGCAGAAAGGAAAGGCCTGCATTCCAGAAAAATGGCCAAGGAACCTCGGGTTCCCACCAGAAAAGTGAAAGAGGTGAACAGGCCCCTCTAGGAAAACACCAATGTGCCTATTGCAAACAGACTGGGCATTGGAAAAAGGAGTGCCCGTTACTGCCAAAAGAAAAATCTGAAAACAAAAAGGTTCTCACCCTGGCCGCAACAGAGGAGCCTGATGATTGATGGGGCCAGGGCTCCCTTGCTCTCGGCCCCCAGGAGCCCATGGTAACTGCTACAGTGGGGGGCCAGCCTGTATGTTTCCTAGTAGACACCGGGGCAGAGCACTCCGTACTGGAGACTCCCCTGGGCAGTGTCTCAAATAAAAAAATTGCTGTACAAGGGGTAACTGGAGCTATTCAAGAATATCCTGTCACACACACCTGAGAAGTAAACTTGGGACAGAAAAGAGTGACACACTCTTTCCTAGTAGTTCCAGAGTGTCCTATTCCTCTCCTTGGACGGGACCTACTCCATAAGTTACAGGCCTCAATCTCCTTTTCAGCTCAGCAGGCTCATCTCACACTAGGAAATGCAACTTCCCCCACTGCCCAACTCTTGCTAACTACCCCTCTGTCAGAAGAATACCTTCTGGTTTCACCGTCGTAATCACCGGAGGAGAATACTAATACTCTTTTGTTAGATCTACAGACACTTTTCCCCCAAGTTTCGGCCGAGTCAAACCCTCCCGGACTGGCTAAACACCATCCGCCAGTAGTCATAGAACTCTTGGCCACTGCCATACCGGTCCAGGCAAAGCAATACCCCACAAGTCAGCAGGCTAGAGAGGGGATTAATCCCCACATTCAACGACTGTTACAAGCTGGCATACTTACCCCATGCCAGTCGGCCTGGAACACGCCATTTTTGCCGGTCCAGAAACCTGGAACAAATGATTACTGGCCAGTACAAGACTTAAGGGACGTTAATAAATGGACTGTTGCTGTCCACCCAACCATTCCTAATCCCTATACTCTACTCAGCCTGCTCCCACCAGAACATACAGTATACACTGTCCTTGACCTGAAAGATGCTTTCTTTGCTATCCCTCTGGCCCCCAAAATCCAGCCGATTTTTGCTTTCAAATGGACAGATCCAAGATCAGGAGACACTACCCAACTGACTTGGACTCAGTTACCTCAGGGTTTTAAAAATTCCCCTACCCTTTTTGGAGAGGCTCTTCAGCAAGATCTTATACCCTTCCGAGCCAGTCACCTTAACTGTACTCTTCTCCAATATGTAGATGACATTTTAATAACAACTGAAACTATGGATGGTTGTCTACAACACACAAGAGACCTGCTCTACCTCCTTCAGGAGCTCGGGTATGGAGTCTCAGCCAAAAAGGCCCAGCTTTGTCTTCCCAGAGTGTCCTACCTGGGGTACAAGATAAACAAAGGAAAAAAGGCACTCACTAGTGCCCGGAAAGAAGCCATCCTGCGAATCCCCACTCCCGCCACCAAGAGACAGGTACATGAATTCCTAGGAGCCCTGGGATATTGTCGTCTTTGGATATCGGGGTTTGCAGAGATTACAAAGCCTTTGTATACTGCTACAAAAGGTAATGGCCCACTGATTTGGACAGACACCGAGGAACAGGCTTTTCAGAATCTGAAAAAGGCTTTAACTGCAGCCCAGGCTTTAGCCCTCCCAAATATCTCAAAGCCTTTTCATCTGTTTGTCCATGAGAGCCAGGGAGTTGCTAAGAGAGTGCTTACTCAGACTTTAGGAACTTGGAGAGGCCCAGTGGCTTATTTATCTAAGAAGGTGGATCCTGTGGCCTCAGGATGGCCAAGTTGTTTGCCAGCCATAGTGGCTACAGCAAGCCTAGTCCAAGAAACTGATAAATTAACTCTAGGCCAGAATTTAACCCTTACAGTTCCTCATGCTGTAGAGACTTGACTACGAAGTGCTTCAGGTAAATGGATGTCAAATGCTCGTATTTTACAATATCAGAGTTTACTGTTGGATCAGCCTTGTTTGACTTTCTCTCCCACAAGGTGTTTAAATCCTGCTACTTTACTCCCAGATCCAGATTCTAATACTCCTGTCCATGACTGTCAGGAGCTGTTAGAAGCTACCGAAACTGGCAGGCCAGATCTTCAAGATGTGCTCCTGAGAAAGGCGGACGCCACCGTGTTCACCGACGGCAGCAGTTTTCTCGAACAGGGGATACGCAAAGCTGGTGCAGCTGTTACCACAGAGACAGATGTGTTGTGGGTTCAGGCTTTACCGGCAAGCACCTCAGCACAAAAAGCTGAATTGATTGCCCTTACTCAAGCTCTCCGATGGGTTAAAGATAAACGTATTAACATTTATACTGACAGCAGGTATGCTTTCGCTACTGTGCATGTACATGGAGCCATCTACTAAGAACGCGGGTTGCTCAGGTCAGAAGGAAAAATAATTAAGAACAAAGAGGAAATTTTAGCCCTGCTTGAAGCTGTGTGGCTCCCTCAACAAGTGGCTGTAATCCATTGTAAAGGACATCAAAAAGAAAACACGGCTGTTGCCCGCGGTAACCCAAAAGCGGTTTCAGCAGCTCGGGAAGTGGCGCTGTCTTCAGCTCCGTCCATAAACCTGCTACCGGCAGTTTCTTTTCCACAGCCAGATCTGCCTGACAACCCCGCGTACTCAACAGAAGAAGAAAAACTGGCTGCAAACCTTAGAGCAAATAAAAATCAAAAAGGTTGGTGGATTCTTCCTGACTCTAGAATCTTCGTACCCCCAGCTCTTGGAGAAACTTTAGTCAGTCACCTACATTCTACCACCCATTTGGTGGGACAAAATTAGCTCAGCTCCTCCGGAGCTGTTTTAAGATCCCTCATCTACAAAGCCTAACAGATCAAGCAGTTCTCTGGTGCACAGCCTGCGCCCAGGTAAATGCCAAGCAAGGTCCTAAACCCAGCCCAGGTCACCGTCTCCGAAGAAACTCGCCAGGAGAAAAGTGGGAAATTGACTTTACAGAGGTAAAGCCACACCGGGCTGTGTACAAGTACCTTTTAGTATCAGTAGACACCTTCTCCGGATGGACTGAGGCATTTGCTACCAAGAACGAGACAGCTAACACAGTAGTTAAGTTCTTACTCAATGAAATCATCCCCTGGTACGGGTTGCCTGCTGCCATAGGGTCTGATAATGGACCTGCCTTCACCTCGTCCATAGCTCAATCAGTCAGTAAGGCATTAAACATTCAGTGGAAGCTCCATTGTGCCTATCAACCCCAGAGCTCTGGACAGGTGGAATGCATGAACCATACCCTAAAAAATACTCTTACAAAATTAATTCTAGACACCAGTGAAAATTGGGTAAAACTCCTTCCTTTAGCCCTACTTAGAGTAAGGTGCACCCCTTATCAGGCTGGGTTCTCACCTTTTGAAATTATATATGGGCGGGCACCACCTATCTTGCCTAAGCTAAAAGATGCCCATTTTGCAGAAATATCACAAGCTAATTTATTACAGTACCTGCAGTCTCTCCAACAGGTACAAGAGATCATTCTGCCACTTGTTTGAGAAGCCCATCCCAGTCCAGTTCCTGACCAGATGGGGCCCTGCCATTCATTCCAGCTCAGTGACCTGGTGTTTGTTAAAAAGTTCCAGAGAGAGGGCCTAACTCCTGCTTGGAAGGGACCTCACACCGTCATCCTCACGACGCCAACAGCTCTGAAGGTGGACGGAATTCCTGCTTGGATTCATCACTCCCACATCAAAAAGGCCAACAAAGCCCAAACAGAAACATGGGTCCCCAAGCCTGGATCAGGACCCTTAAAACTACACCTAAGTCGGGTGAAACTGTTAAATTAACTCTTTTTATTTGCTTCTTTTGTTTATCCTTGCCTGTAATGTCTTCTGTGCCTTCCTACTCCTTCCCCCTCACCTCTCTCACAACAGGACGTGTTTTCGCCAATACTACTTGGAAGGCTGGTACCTCCAAGGAAGTCACCTTTGCAGTCGACTTGTGTATACTGTTCCCGGAGCCGGCTGGTACCCACGAAGATCATCGCGACCTGCCAGTCATGGGAGCAGGAGGTGTCGACCTTGCAGCAGGATTTGGACACTCTGGGAGCCAAGCCAGATGTGGAAGCTCCAAAGGTGCTGAAAAAGGACTCCAAAAGGTTGACTTTTACCTCTGTCCTGAAAATCACCCTGATGCTAGCTGTTGAGATACCTACCAGTTCGTCCGCCCGGATTGGGCATGTGTAACTTTAGCCACTTACTCTGGGGGATCAACTAGATCTCCAACTCTGTCAATAAGTCGTGCTTCTCGTCCCAAATCGTGTTCTAAAAATAATTGTAACCCTCTTAACATCATTGTCCATGAACCTAATTCAGCTCAATGGTACTATGGTATGTCATGGGGATTAAGACTTTATGTCCCAGGGTTCGATGTTGGAACTATGTTCACCATCCAAAAGAAAATTTTGGTCCCCTGGAGCCCACCCAAGCCAATCGGACCTTTAACTGATCTAGGTGACCCTATGTTCCAAAATCACCCTGACAAAGTTAATTTAACTGTGCCCCCACCATTCTCAGTTCCTAAGACCCAGCTACAAAGACATCAACTCCAACCCAGTCTGATGTCTATACTTGGTGGAGTACATCATTTTCTTAACCTCAGCCAGCCTACACTAGCCCAAGATTGTTGGCTATGTTTAAAAGCAAAACCCCCATATTATATAGGATTAGGAGTAGAAGTCGCACTTAAAGGTAGTCCTTTATCCTGTCATGCACAACCTCATGCTTTCACATTAGGAGATGTGTCTGGAAGTGCTTCTTGTCTAATTAGTACTGGATATGACTTATCTATTTCTCCTTTTCAGGCTATCTGTAATCAGTCTCTGCTTACTCCCATGAGCATCTCAGTCTCTTACCAAGCACCTAACAATACCTGGTTGGCCTGCACCTCAGGTCTCACTCGCTGCCTTAATGGAACTAAATCAGAACCCCTCTTGTGTGTTCTAGTTCATGTCCTTCCCCAGGTATACGAGTACAGTGGATCAGAAGGACAACTCCTCATTGCTCCCCCGGAATTACATCCCAGGCTACGCAGAGCTGCCCCACTACTGGTTTCTCTTTTAGCCGGTCTTAGCATAGCTGGGTCAGCAGCTATTAGTACAGCTGCCCTAGTTCGAGGAGAAACTGGACTAATGTCTTTGTCCCAACAGGTAGATGCTGATTTAAATAATCTTCAGTCTGCCATAGATATACTACATTCCCAGGTAGAGTCTCTAGCTGAAGTAGTACTTCAAAACTGCCGAGGCTTAGATCTGCTGTTCCTCTCTCAAGGAGGATTATGCACAGCTCTAGGAGAAAGCTGTTGCTTTTACGCCAATCAATCTGGAGTCATAAAAGATACACTCCAAAAAGTTCAAAAAAATCTAGATAGGAGCCAACAAGAACGAGAAAATAACACAGCCTGGTATCAAAGCATGTTCAATTGGAACCCCTGGTTAACTACTTTAATCACTGGTTTAGCTGGACCCATCATCATCATATTATTGAGTTTAATTTTTGGCCCTTGTATATTAAATTGGTTCCTTGATTTTGTAAAACAACGTATAGCGTCTGTCAAACTTATGTATCTAAGAACTCAATATAACCCCCTTGTTGTAACTGAAGAATCAACGACTTGATTCCCCTAAAACACAAGTGGGGAAATGAAATGCCTAACGGTGTTTTTACTTTAACTCGTTACTTTGAATTTTGTCCTGCTTGTCTCTTTAATCACCTAACCTTGCTTCTCATGTAAATAAGACTCTCTCTAGCTAGGAAAGCCAGACAAACTCCAATTGACCCCTTAGTTTACAAGACACTAAGGGCTCCTCACCCAACCCCCTTTCGTGAGGAGTTGGCCTGGGTAAACAGATCCTCAGCATTTCAAAGGAGCCCAATTAACTGATAAGGTACCCACACCAACAATGTATGAAGTTCCCAGGAATTTTCTCCAAGAGATAACAACATGAAACCTTGAGTTTGTGTCCGGCATAGACCCTATATCTAATTATAATAAAAGATTTAGAACCTTGCACCTGGTACCGTTGCTCTTCTTGTAACCATTTGTCTTTTAAGTTGTTTATCACTCTGTAACTATTTTGATTATTTTGATTCTTGCATGTTTTTACTTCTGTAAAATTATTACATTTGAGTCCCTCTCCCCTTCCTAAACCTAGGTATAAAATTTACTCGAGCCCCTTCCTCGTGGCCGAGAGAATTTTGAGCATGAGCTGTCTCTTTGGCAGCCGGCTTAATAAAGGACTCTTAATTCGTCTCAAAGTGTGGCGTTTTCTTAACTCACCTGGGTACAACAGTGCAGCTGGTGGAGTCTGGGGGAGGCTTGGTAGAGCCTGGGGGGTCCCTGAGACTCTCCTGTGCAGCCTCTGGATTCACCTTCAGTAACAGTGACATGAACTGGGTCCGCCAGGCTCCAGGAAAGGGGCTGGAGTGGGTATCGGGTGTTAGTTGGAATGGCAGTAGGACGCACTATGCAGACTCTGTGAAGGGCCGATTCATCATCTCCAGAGACAATTCCAGGAACTTCCTGTATCAGCAAATGAACAGCCTGAGGCCCGAGGACATGGCTGTGTATTACTGTGTGAGAAACACTGTGAGAGGACGGAAGTGTGAGCCCAGACACAAACCTCCTGCAGGAACGTTGGGGGAAATCAGCTGCAGGGGGCGCTCAAGACCCACTCATCAGAGTCAACCCCAGAGCAGGTGCACATGGAGGCTGGGGTTTGTTTCCTGTCAGGATTTGGGACTTCCTCTGCTTCTGACAGTTTCTCTAGGGAAACTCTTTAATTTTAGATTTCTGTGCCCACCAATGTCATCTCTACATTTTTTTAATCATTGTAATATGATAGGAGGACTTATTCTCACATGCACAATATGTATATTGCCACCTACGGGAATGAAAACTCCTCAACCATGGTCACCAGCATCAGAGTCGTGAGGAAGCTCAGGGGTGCCTGGTGAGTCTTCTCCAGTCAGACTCAGGACAGTAACCTCAAGGGGATTCCCTTGTGAGAACTCACACACTTTCATGAGAACAGCACCAGGAGTTGGTTCTAAACCATTCATGAAAGACCCACTCCATGACCCAGTCACCTCCCACCAGGTCACCCCTTCACAATTGAGGATTATAATACAACATGAGATTTGGGGCAGGACACAAATCCAAACCATATCAGATACACATTGTGAAATGCTCATGATGGTCAGGGTAATTTGTATTTCTATCACCTCACAGCGCTACCATTTTATTATTTTTTTAAATTAACTGCATGAGTGAGTGTCTGATGAGAACACCTCAGATATACCCTTTCAGCAACAATCATTTTTATAATACAGTATTAACTATAGGACCATTGCTGTACGTTAGATCTCCAGAACTCATCCAACCTGCACAACTGAAACTGTACAATTTAACAAACATCACCCGATTTCCCTCTCCTCCCAGGTCCTGAGACCCTCTATTCTGCTCTCTACTTTCAAGAGCTTGAATATTTTAGATCCCACATGTAAATGAGATCATGCAGCATTTGTCTTTCTGCATCTGGCTTATTCCACTCAGCATCATGTCCTCCAGGCCCATCCGTGTTGTTGCAAATGTCAGAATTTCCCTCTTTTCAAAGCCAAATAAAATACAGATTTATGTATACACATTTTCTTTATACATTCATCCATTTACAGTCATTAAATTATTTTGCAAATCTACACTATTATTAATAATCTTCAATGAACACGTCTTTGGCAAAGTAATTTTATTTCCTTTGCATATATAATAAGAAATGGGATCACCAGATTATATGATAGCTTTATTTTCAACTTATCGAGTAACCAATCCTACCACAGTGTATTCCCTTTCCCTCACATTCTTGCCAATATTTGTCATCTATTACATTTCTGATAATAACCATATTAACTAGTGTGAGGTGATATCGCATTGTGCTTTTCATTTGAATTCCTCTGATAATTAGGAATGTTGAGAACCTTTTCGTTTTCTGTTTGCCATGCATGTATCTTCTGAAAAAAGTTATCCAGGTTTTTGCACTTTTTTATCAGTTCATTTGTTATTTGCTATTGAGGTATATGGGTTATTTATACATTTAGATAGACCTTCTTGTCGGATACATAATTACACATAGTTTTTCCTGTGCTTTGTTGTTAAATTCAAAGAAATCAGTTCCGAATTAATGGCAGGAATTTTTTTTGCTCCATGTGATTTATGAGTTTATGGCTTCAGGTATTATGTCCAATATTAGCTGATTTTTTTATATGGAGTTAGAGAAGGCCTAATTTTATTTCTTTTGAATATGAATGCCAGTTTTACACCATTATTGAAAAGACTGTCCTTTCTCTACTGTGTGCTCTTGGCACACAAAATCAGGAGAGACATAATGACAAAAGAAAATATCAGATGAATATTCCTGATGAACATAGACCTGAAAGTCCTCAACAAAATACTATCAAATAGAATCCAGAAGCACTTTAAAATGTAATACATCATGGTCAAGTGGGCTTTACCCCTGGGATGCAAGGCTCGTTCAATATCCACAGTAACTGTGATTCACAATGTAAACAGAATAAAAGCAAAAACCATATGATTATGTCAATAGATACTGAGAAAGCCTCTGGTAGGTTCTAACATCCACTCATGATAAAAACCCTCAACAGACTAGACATCAAAGAAACGTACCTCAGAATAATAGCCATCTACAGCAAACCCACAGTCAACACCATACTAAATGAGCCAATTAAAACACTTGTCTTTATAAATTACCCAGTCTGAGGAGTTTCTTTATAGTGTGAGAATTGACTAATACAGCATCCAAATAGGAAAGGAAGTCAATCCGTCCACCTTCAGCGATGATATAATTCTATACCTAGAAAATCCTAAAAAGTCTGCCAAAATAATTCTAGAATAAACAACTTTAGTAAAGTGTCAGGATACAAAATCAATGGACAAAAATTACCAGCATTTCTATAAGCCAACCACATCCAAGCTGAGAGTATAATCAAGAACAAAATCCTATCCAACTTACAGTATCCACAGAGAAAATGAAATGCCTGGGAACACAGATAACAAACAAGGTGAAAGATCACTACGAGGAGAACTATAAAGCACAGCAGAAATAAATAATAAATGATACAAATAAATGGGAAACATTTCATGCTCATGGATTGGAAGAATCAATATTGTAAACATTGTCATAATGCCCAAAGGAATTCACAGATTCAATGCTATTTACATAAAACTATCATCATCATTCTTCACAGAATCAGAAAAAAATCTATTCTAAAATTTATATGGAACCAAAAAAGACCCTGAATAGCAGAAGCAATCCTAAGCAAAAAGAACAATGCCAGAGGCATCATGATACTGACCTTAAACTACACCATAATGTCTTGCTAACAAAAGCAGCTTGGACTGGTACGATAGCAGACCTGCAGAAAAAAAAAAATAGATCAAAATTGAAAACAGAAATAAAGTTGCACACCTGCAACCTTTTGATCTTTGACAAGGCTGACAAAAGCAATTGGAAAAAAAAAATCTCTGTATTCAGTAAATGGTTCTGGGATAACTGGATTCTGGCAGGTATGCAGAATGCAAGAGTGAAGGAGCCTGTGCAGCTTCTACCTAGATTTCAGATGTGTAGAGAGCCCTGCATGCCCAGGAAGAAGCCTGCTGCAGGAGTGGATCCACCACAGAAAGCCTCTACTAGAGCAGTGCCAAAGATGGGGAAAGATGGAGTTGGAGCCCCCATTCAGAGTCCCCACTAGGGCGCTTCATAGTAAAGTTGTGGGAATGTGGCCACAACCCTCAAGACCCTAGAATGGTAGAGCTACAGGCAACTTGCACCCTCAGCCTAGAAAAGCTTCCAGCACTTGACTCTCACTTGTGAAGGCAGCCCCGTGGTCTGTGCCTAGCAAACCTATAGGGATTGGCTGCCTGAGGTTTTGGGGACCCACCCCTTGTTCCAGTGTGCCCTGGTTGAAGTACATAAAGTCAAGAGAGATTATTTTGTAGTGTTAGGATTTAATATCTGCAGTGCTGGGTTTTATATGTGTGTGAGGCCTGTTGGTTGTTCCACTGGCCAATTTATCCCTTTAGGATTGGAATTATTTACCCAATGCCTGCACCATCATTGCACCTTGGAAGTAAACAACTTTCATTTTTAAACTTGCAAGCTCACAGCTGGAGGGACATTGCCTTAAGACTCAGATGAGACTTTGGACATTTTAGTTGGAGGTTGATCAACTTAACATTTTGGGAACTATTGAAAAAAGGTGATTATATTTTGCAGTGTAAGAAGAATATGAGAACTTTGGGTCTGAGAGTGCAATGATATCATTTAGGGGTTTTCCCCTCCAAATGTCATGGTGAAATGTGACCCACAATGTTGGAGGTGGGGCCAACTGGGTGGTTTTGGGTCATGAGGAGATTTTTCAGGACTGGCTTGGCATCCACCCCATGGTAATTAGTGAATTCTTGCTGTATTAGCTACTGTGAGATTTGATTGTTCAAAAAAGTCTGGCAACCCTCCTACCCTCTCATGTCCCCCCTCCTCACCATATGACACAGCCTCCTCCCCCTTTGCCTTCCACCATGACTGTAAGCTTCCTGAGGCCCTCGCAAGAAGCAGATGCTTGTGCCATGCTTCTCACACAGCCTGCAGATCTGTAAGCCAAATAAGCCTCTTGTCTTTGTAAATCACTTGGCCTCAGGTATTAATCTATACCAATGTAAAATAGACTAATACACTGCCCAAAGCAATATACAGAGTCCATGCAATTTATATCAAGTAACTAATATAATTGATTACATATTTTTAAAAATCCTAAAATTCATATAGAACCAAAAAAGGGTCTGAAAAGCAAAAGCAATCTTGAGCAAAAAGAACAAAGCTGGAAGTACCGCATTCCCTGACTTCAAATTACACAACACAAAGATAACAAGAAAGGCAGCGTGGTAATGGTAGAACAAAAATCAAGAGCCCAGACATACAGCCAAATATCTACAACCAACGGTTCTTTGACAAAACTGACAAAAATATACACTGGAGAAACAACCCTCTATTCAATAAGTAGTGCTGGGAGAATTAGATAGCCTTATGCAGAAGAATAAAATGAGACTTCTGTATCATCATAGACACAAATTAACTGTGAATATGGATTCAATGTTTAAATTTATAAACTCATAAAAATTCCTGAAGAAAATCTAAAAAAAATCCTCTAGACATTTGCCTAAGCAAATAAAATATGACTAAGACTGACTTCAAAAGCAAATGCAATGAAAACAAAATTAGACAAACAGGATTAATTGAAACACAGATTGTCTGCATAGCAAAAGAAATAACCAACATGGTGAACAGACAACCTGTGAACAGTAAAAAAAAATTTGCAATCTATTCATCAAAGGGCTAATACATAGAATCTACAAGGAACTCAAATAAGTCAACAAGAAATAACAAATAACTTCATTAAAGAGTGAGCAAAAACCAGACATTTCTCAAAAGAAGACACAGACGTGGCCAAAACAAATAAAACATACTCAGCATCACCAATCATCTGATAAATGTAAATTACAAACAACATGATATAGCATCTTCCACCAGTCACAATGGCTGTTATTACAAATAAAAAACAGCAGGTGTTTGGAGAGAAGCATAGGAAAAATAATGCTTTTTATATGCTTGGTGAAAATATAAATTAGTACAACCTCTATGAAAAACAATACAGAAGTTTCTCAAAGAACTAATATTAGAATTACCGTTTGTCCCAGTAATCCCTCCCAGTGGGTATATTCCTCCCAAAAGGAAATTTTTATATCAGAAAAAGTCACCTGCATTCCTAGTGTCTTTCACAGCAACGTGAATAGAGTTGTAGGACATTAGCCTAAATAAAATAACTCAAAAAGATCTTCTCTTTTATAATTGGAAAGTAAACAATGGGTACACATGTACATACATAAAAAACAAAAGACACTGGGAACTGCAAAAGAGGGCAAGGTGAGAGGAATGTGAGGGTTAAAAAATCACCTACTGGCTCCAATGTTCACTAGTGGGCGATAGTTACACCAGAAGCCCAAACCTCACCTTTATGAAATATATTCATGTTACAAAATTGCACATGTACACCCTGATTCTACTGAAAAAAACAGAAATAAAACATGAACAGAATTGTTAGACTGCTAGCTAGATTTGTCAACAAAGAAAAATGCAAAAGGAGCAATTCTCTGTTTTGGAACCCTTTCTCATTTTCTGGTACAATTAGAAATTGTAGACTAATCCCTATATTCTCTTCTGAAGCCCTAGCATTAGCCATTTCTCAAAGACATGCTGGTTCCTTTTTTTTTTTTTTTTTTTTGAGACAGGGTCCAGACTCACTGCAACTTCCACCTCCTGGGTTCAAGCGATTCTCCTGTCTCAGCCTCCCAAGTAGCTGGGATTACAGGCATGCGCCACTGTGCCTGGCTAATTTTTGTATTTTTAGTAGAGACAGGGTTTCGCTATGTGGGCCAGGCTGGTCCAAACTCCTGACCTCAAAAGATCTGCCCACCTCAGCCTCCTAAAGTGCTGGAATTACAGGTGTTAGCCACTGCACCTGGTCACTGGTTTCTTTTATAGAAGAATAGTATTAAAAACTCAAATCTTGATTCTGGGTGTATTTTTTATTAATGTGCACTCATTTCTTGTAGAAATTCTCAGGTAAAAAATCTAGGAAGTATGTGTTGTGTATTAACCCATATATACACAGACATCTAAACTATTTTTATCTAATATATGTACCTATATTATGCTAAACTTGCAAATAAAATGACATGTCCACCCTAAGTTAATACCACATGGATGTTTATCGCATTCCTTCTATGCCTGACACTAACCTCCCACTCCAACCACAAGGAACCCCATTTCCCCATACGCCGTCCATTCTCTTTGTAGTCCAATTCCAAGATTCCTGTGGAGTGTAACAAGATGTGTAAGTTGTGCTCTTTTGTGGAACATCGTCAATTGGGGTACAATGCTGATGTGAAGTTTCTTTTTTCTTTAATCTTATTGCCTACACCATTTCTGAATCTACTTAGTACCTCTTTTGAATTCATACATTTGTAATGGAATTAGACATTTTCTATGTTATCTGCATTCCATCCTGGAATTCCTAATCACCTATTTTTAAAAAAAATTCTTTTGAAGTAAGATTGTATTAGTCAGGGTTCCCTAGAGGGGCAGAACAAACAGGATATATATACGCACACAGGATACACACACACACACACACACACACACACACACAGAGTTTATTAAGGAGTATTAACTCGTATGATCACAAGGTCCCACAATAGGCCATTTGCAAGCCGAGGAGCATGGAAGCCAGTCCGAGTCCCAAAGCTGAAGAACTTGGAGTCCCATGTTCGAGACAAGGAAGCATCCAGCACGGGAGAAAGATGTAGGCTGGAAGGCTAAGCCAGTCTAATCGTTTCATGTTCTTCTGTTGTTGTTGTTTTTTTTTCCCTCTGGCCACACTGGCAGCTAATGAGATTGTACCACCCAGATTAAGAGTGTGTCTCCCTTTTTGAGCCCACTGGCTCAAAAGTTAATCTCCTTTGGCAACACCCTCACAGACCCACCCGGGATCAATACTTTGCACCCTTCAATCTAATCAAGTTGACACTCAGTATTTAGCATTACAAGTCCACCCCGTCAACTTGAAACCATACACATCTCCTGAGATTATACATAATCTTCAAACAAAGACAATAATAAAGTCATAATTACACCTAATATAATACAACTTTATTCGTTCAACTGGAAATGCACCAATCCCCAATCCAAATGCTATTACATATGGTCCACTCCCTCAAGGACACAGCCAGGATCATCCTATGACTTGGTGTCTAGAAGACTCATGCACTTTTAATTTTACCTCCAATATTAGACTCCACTTTATCACATGCAGACACTGCAGAATATTTTAAGACATCGATGTCTTATGCTGAAAAATTCAACAGTACATAAAATTGCCTTCCCACCACAGCCAGTGGTTACTACTGAATAAGGATCTGCCATCCCCTAGGGAGGTGCTATAGTGGATGGTGTGCACTGTTAGTAGCTATGGAAATTGATCCATTGTGGCAAATGGCAGCATCTTTCTTTTATAACATTAAACCATATTATATTGTATACACATACCACATTGTCTTTATTCATTTGTCTGTATGCTGACCATCAGATAGTTTCCATATCTTCGCTGTTATTAACAGTGTTTCAATAAACATAGGATGCAGATATGTTTACAAGGTGGTAATTTCATCTACTTGGGTATACTCCCAGAAACAGGATTTCTGGTCATATAATATCTCCAGTTTTAATTAATTTAGGACGCTTTATGTTGCTTTCCATAATTGTGGAAATGTAGAATGGTATAGCCATTATGAAAAACAATTTTGGTTTTGAGTTATGATCCATAAACAGCATTTGCTTATGGCTCTCAATGAGAGTTTCTACTAAATATGATGGAAGGCCAGGAAGGATTCTCACCTTAAAGCTTGGATGGATTATGAATTTACCTCTTATTTCCTAAAAGCAAAAGTTTGGAAGCATACATGATGGAGGCTGTTGGCAGGTTTCAGGATGATCTCATAAAAGGAGAATCTGCTGGATAAAAATGTTGGGTTTTCAGTTATAGACACACCTACACTCAATATGAAATGATGAAGTCAACTGAGGATCTAGAACATGTTCACTTGAAGCAACAGCACATTCTCAAAGGAACTTATTGCTCCATCACAAGGGCGATGAACTTCTGAAACCAGTAAAGTGTGAGTGCACAGTAAGTGATAACGTTATCACGTTTACATGAAGTTTGTTTAATGTGCCAAAGGCTGGTACAGATTAATCTTACACAAATATATGAAACATATTTTTCCATACATAGATATCTAGAGGATAATCCTCTTAGCAAAACTTCTTCAGGTTACAGAAATCTGTGTAAGTTGTAGATCTCATGGGGAACTGTCTCTTTATAAATACTGGTCTGTTTTTCAAGTCAGGAAAAATTATCTCTGTTGGAGTAGGCTTCCAATTGTGTAGACTTCTGAATTGCTTCTTGAGTTGTAACAAATGAACCAAAAAATTTGACTAATTGGAGTTTTGTGGCTGTCTTAATAAAAATTTCTTATAAGCTTTCTTTCAATTATTTGAGACCAGTTTTCCTGATTTTATTTTTCTCCAATAGATAAATTTTCACAAGATCTCAGGAAACCACCTCTCTGGCTCTTTAGTTTAAAAGACTAGCTTCTTAGGAAAAGAAGCTTCTTTCTAACATTGAAGAGCTCATTTATTCTGCAAACCATGAAGTTTGAGTCTCATTGTCAAGAATCATGAAAATTTTTACTCCAATATACTGAAAGTCATGACTCTTGAATTCAATATTTATTGGCATTCACAAAAGTGATTCATTCTCAGATGTGTCCTATGTTGCTGGCCCAACATATCAGTGAACTGAGTATCCTCCCTTAGCTCTCTCTGTCTGTAGCACTGAGTCTACAATCTTCAGAGTCATCCATGAAGGGGAGTCCTGAGGTTCATGGGATTCTTGTAAACATTCAGGTCAACAGAAGAAATAAACAGGATTGAGGGCTGCCAGCCATTTCCACGCCATTAGGAATAATTACCATCTAAGTATAAAGGTCTACATCATACAGAATACCCCACAGGATAGGCTGATGCAAAAAATTCCAACCCCACAGAGGCTCCACAGCAACCCTTACAGTTCTTTCAGGGAAGAAATAATCTCCAAGTTAAATGAGTCAGTAAAGCTGCTCTGAGCTACAGGAAAAATTGGATTTGGCCCAGGTTTGTCTGAGTTCAACGTGATTATTATACTCAGCTCCTGCTCCAATCTGGACTGAGTACGGGGAATTTAAATGAGCCTGGCTGTGTGGTTTGTTATATGAAAATCTGAACTATATAAACATAAATGGCATGTCTGGACTAGCATGAGGGTGAGAGATCCTGGGAACTCCACCCCCCATACTCTTATCGCCCTTTCCTCCAGGAACCTCCAGGTTCTCAGGGTGAGAATCCACATAGATCCCTTCATGGCTCTATTTCTAGGAAACCAAATCTCTAATAAATACACCCAGACTTTCTTCAGACACAGAAACCATGGGAAAGGCATCTTTAGATCCTCATCTATGTGGGGAAAGGTAATCCATCCCCATTACAAGCCCATACTAGCAGCCTTCCTTTATCATGAAAATGGGTAAAATTAGCCAATAGATGTAAATTTAAAGAAAATTTCCTGTGATGCTCCAGCCAGAAAAGAGCAAAAATCAGCTTCACTTCTGGAGACTTCCCGTATAGGTCACAGCCCAGAGAAAGAAGATCACCACAGCATTAAAATTCAGCTGTAAGAACATGTAATGCTTCCGTGTTCCACACATTATGTCTCACCAGTTTAGTCAATATGGATTAAATACGAGAGTGTGGCAATGCACAAACTCTATCTGAGGAGGAAATAGGAGAAAAATGTTAAGGAAAATAGAAGAATTCGAAGCCTCTAATACCAGGAACTTCAGCACAAAGAAAATGATTTCACCCTTATTGGCCTCAAATTTATTTTTCCTGTGGCATCTGCAGGGTTCCAAAGTGAGAAAAATTAATTCACTGTGCATGCACTTCCGAAGTGTCCACTTGCATTCTGATATCTTTACTTCTATTTGCAGAAAGTAGACACATATTCAGCCTTAGTGCCAGTGTAGGGAGTGCTTTCCGTGACATGGATACCAGAAAAATAGGGTAAACATAGGGCCCATTAATGTGAAAATCAGACATTGTGTGTGTGTGTTTGTGTGTGTGTGCGTGTGAGTTGAATAGTAGAGTTGGAGTGGGCTTCTATCCACCTACACCTGCAGGTATTCTCAGGTGCCATAATCAACTGCAGGACCCTAAAGGAAATAAGAGTCCCCCCAAACCCCTGAAGAGTTTTTGGGTTCACCGTGTGTCCAATGATTCAGTGCCTCTTGAGCTCCAGGAAAGGGCTCCCCAGTGATGCATGAGATCTTTCTTGGGGTCTCCCTGCAGAGTTCACTGGGATTCCTAAGGCCAATTCAGTATTTCAAAAGATGGTGTGAGAAGCACAGGCTGTCACTAAAGGAGAATTCTGAGCCAGGGCACAGCCACTTTATACTTGGCTGGGGACACTGGTAGGAATATACTCTGTGAGATCAGACAGGAACCTCCTTGCAGGGGCAGGGCAGGGCTGCAGGGGGCGCTCAGGACACACAGAGCACAGGCTTCCGCCCCAGAGCAGGTGAAGGAGGCTGGGGAGGGGTTCCTCTCAGGGCCTGGGACTTCCTTTAAAAAATCTAAAATAAGTATTTCACAAGGACTGCCGATGTTTATATAAATATCCTATTCAATTGTGAGCATTTATGAAACTCGATGTTGTAATGAGAACCACTTTTACAATGGGAATTTCAAACTTCCCTAGACATCTTAATAGTAAGCAGCTGGAGGTCAGGAGGAGATCCTTTCTTATAAATAAGTGCAATTTTTGGAGAAACACACTCATTCCCAAAATAGCACATTCACATATTAAGGTCTAGAAATGATTCGAGTTGCCCCTGAGACAGTCAAATGTGGGTTCTAAGTGAGGTGCGTGTCCTGGGGGAGCTTGTTCTCCAGTGGGGGAAGCTCTGTCAACACAGAGTTCAGGGATGGGTAGGGGATGCGTGGCCTCTAACAGGATTACGGCTTGAACCCTCAGCTTCTACAATTGTGTCGTCCATGTGTCATGTATTTGCTCTTTCTCATCCTGGGTCAGGAATTGGGCTATTAAATAGCATCCTTCATGAATATGCAAATAACTGAGGTGAATATAGATATCTGTGTGCCCTGAGAGCATCACCCAAAAACCACACCCCTCCTTGGGAGAATCCCCTAGATCACAGCTCCTCACCATGGACTGGACCTGGAGCATCCTTTTCTTGGTGGCAGCAGCAACAGGTAACGGACTCCCCAGTCCCAGGGCTGAGAGAGAAACCAGGCCAGTCATGTGAGACTTCACCCACTCCTGTGTCCTCTCCACAGGTGCCCACTCCCAGGTTCAGCTGGTGCAGTCTGGAGCTGAGGTGAAGAAGCCTGGGGCCTCAGTGAAGGTCTCCTGCAAGGCTTCTGGTTACACCTTTACCAGCTACGGTATCAGCTGGGTGCGACAGGCCCCTGGACAAGGGCTTGAGTGGATGGGATGGATCAGCGCTTACAATGGTAACACAAACTATGCACAGAAGCTCCAGGGCAGAGTCACCATGACCACAGACACATCCACGAGCACAGCCTACATGGAGCTGAGGAGCCTGAGATCTGACGACACGGCCGTGTATTACTGTGCGAGAGACACAGTGTGAAAACCCACATCCTGAGGGTTTCAGAAACCCCAGGGAGGAGGCAGCTGCACTGAATTTGAGGAGATTACAGGGCTTACAATGTTTAAAGTTGTTTAGAAAATGAGCTGAGCAATTGAGGAATGTGAGTAATGGAAACATGGATGCACTCTATATAGGAAATGTTTCTTTCAACAGTCACCCTATATGCAAAATTCAGAATGGTAAAGGCAGCAATCAGTGAGGCTGACGCAAATATTCCCATGGAGGCCTTGTGCAGACATACGTTTTAAAATCAGATAGATAAATAATTTGGAACAAGATTGCTGGTAACGTGGCTAAGACTAAATATGATTCCTAAAAACTGGCCAAAATCTATTCCAAATTGTCTCTGCCACTCCTTTTACATAAATGTATTAAAAAGTAGTTTTAAGACCACAGCAAAATTGGACAGAAGGTGCAGAGAGTTCTCATGTGCCCCTGCTTCACCATGCACAGCCTTTCCCACTGTCACCATCCTGCCCCAGAGTCATCAATAAGTTACAATGGATGAACTTACATGGGCGGATTGGTTCTTTCCTCTTCTGGTGGTCTCTTGGCATACCAAGCCCAAATTATCTTGAAGCACCATAGGTTCTACTGTAATGCCTAACCTTGTTTTTTACTCTAGTTTGCTACTTTAAATTTTCCCTTTTTTTGTCTCCTTAATTGCCAGCCATGTTTCCCATATGAATAGACTCTCCCTGGCTGGGAAAGCTGGGCAAACTCCATTTGACCTTTTGATTTATAAGACATTAAGGGCTCCTTACCCAACCCCCTTCTTCAAGGAATTAACCTGTGTAAGCAGATCCTCAGCATTTCAAAGGAGCCCAATTAACTGATAAGGTACTGGAACAAACAATGTATGAAGTTCCCAGGATTTTTCTCAAAGAGATAACAACATAAAGCCTTGAGTTCATGCCCAGCATAGCATCATATCTAACTATAATGAAGGATTTAGAGCCCTGCACCTGGTAACGTTGCTTTTTGTAACCATTTGTCTTTTAAATTGTTTATCTCTCTGTAACCATTTGCTTCTTTTGATTCTTGCATGTTTTTACTTCTGTAGAATTATTGTATTTGAGTTCCCCTCCCCTTCCTAAACCAAGATATAAAAGTTAATCAAGCCCCTTCCTCGGGGCCGAGAGAATTTTGAGCGTTAGCCATCTCTTCGGCAGCCGGCTTAAATAAAGGACTCTTAATTTGTCTCAAAGTGTGGCGTTTTCTCTAACTCGTTTGGGTATAACACTACAAGTGGGTTCCTGGGAATGATGCCAGTTCAGAGGAAAAGTGGGTGGGGCTATTCATATTTGGGCTCTTTTTTAGAAGATTCATAAAACAGATATTTTCCTATACGTTCTGTGACTCCTGATTTACTATCCCTTCCCAGAGGGTAAGGTCCCTAAGTGTTTTGCGGTATATCCATGTCTATGGAAAGAAAGCAAGTTCTGGTGAATCCCATAAGGAATGTCCTTTGATGAGAAGTGGAGACCTTGGTCATGAGGCACATCATGTATGATTTTCTATAATTCCGTTAGATTCACTGTAATTTTGGGGGGTGTCCTGTGGAATGGGTCTTCTGTGTCCCTGCATGTTCAGCTATATCTGTGTGGTGCCACTTACACTTAATGAGATGAGATTCCTGCTGCTTGTATCAGGTCACTGGTGATCTCTGAAGCTGCTTCTGGTTTCTGCTTTAATATGTAAAGAGCATGTCAAACATCACCCACATTCTTACAATAATAAAAGCCTGGAAAATTGATTATCAATAATTTCTTGAATCTGTTGAAGAAATGAAATTGCAGGGAAAACCAGGACCCCCAAAACTAGAAAGACATTAAAATAGAGATAATCAGACTGATGGATCAAAGTTCTGTGGCAATAAGATACCAAATTATAAACAAGGCCTAAAGTCATGGATTAAGTCACTCACCCCTACACTTAAAAAAATGACTGTACTGTAACTTCCACAGGGCTTTTTTGTTTTCTGTAGCACCTAAACAAGCACTGGTTCTGAGGTAAGCATATTAAAACATTTGCAGCTCATGGAACTCCAAACGTGGTAACTGACCCTCTCCCACAAGCCATAAATAGAGCTTTGTTTGGACAAGAGACAGATTTCAGTAACTGTCTTCTGAGAAGAGACTACTGACCATGAACTTGTCCTGGCAATTTACAGAGACTGTGCAGTGTGTGTCTTTCTGCCTCTGCACAAAGCCCTTTTGATGAACAGGGCCCGATTGTCATTCATTTAGTTCTTAAGTCCTCATCCCCAAAGCAAACACTAAATGCATGTAACATGTGTGTTTGCTTATTAGACATGACAGCCTGCCCACTATGTGAACATCAACAGATCCTTCTATAGCCTGCTGAGTGTGTACACTTGGCCAATCCATTTGCATGAATTCATTTCTCCTCTTTCCCTCTCTTGAAGTGCCTGCTCACTGTCTCTGTGGGAGGCTTTGCTTCCCAGCCTGTTAAGGTGGCTGTCCTGCAGCTTTAACCATTTCTCAGAAGTAAAGTCTCCTTTCTAAATTTATAAATTATGTGACTGTTCCGTTGAAAGTGCAAGCTGGTGGGAACAGTTACATGGTAATTCGGTAAATTGCTGGTGGACAGGTGTGGACAGGGATAGGGTAAGAACTCCTGGGGGCTGCACACCCCACACTTCGATGGAATTTCCCTCCAGAAACTTCTGGGTTCTCAGGATGATAATCCAAACAGATTCCTTCATGGCTCTGTCATCAGGAGAGCTACTCTCTGATAAATATGCTCAGAACTTCCTCCAGACAGATCCTACAGAGAAAAAATGCTTTTCAAGATCTCTATTCTATGTGAGGGGAAGGTATTCTTTTCCATCCCAGGCAGTTTCATCTTAGCCTTCCTGTGTCATAAAAAGGTCAGGTTCAAGACAATAATATGTGGATGCTGCAGCCAGGAGGGGGGAGTAGAAGACGGAGGAAAATCAGCTGCACCACTGGAGACTCCTTGTAAAGGGCACAGTCTAGAGAAAAAACATCAAGAAAACATTGAAATTCAATTTCCAGTACATATACTGCTCCCCTGCCCACCACATCACCTCTTCACCAGTATGATCAATCTGGATTAAAGAGAAAAGTGTGGCAATGCACAGACTCTGTCCAAGGACTAGACCTTAGGGAAACCAAAGGCAGAGGGAGAGGAAAAGTTAAGGACAGTGAAGCGGTTTAAAGCCTCTGAGACCAACAGCTTCAGGACCAAGGCCACGGCCCCTCTGTCAATGGCCTTAGATTTACCTCTCACGGGGCATCCACAGGGTTCCCAGGTGAGAACAGGCAAAAACAAGGTGAAGACACTTTCCAAATCTCCAGCAGTACTGAGCTTGCTTTAGCTCTGTTTGAAGAAACAAAACAACAACAACAAACAACAACAACCGCAAATATAACCAGGATTAAGGTCAGCGTTGGAAGCACTTTTATTAATTTTTTTAAATTTTTTATTTCTCAGATGGGGTCTTGCTCTGTCTCCCAGGCTGGAGTGCAGTGGTGCGGTCTCGGCTCTGCAACCTCCACCTCCTGGGTTCAAGCAATCCTCCACCCTAGCCTCCCAAGTAGCTGGGATTACAGGTGCATGCCACGGCGCCCAGTTAATTTTTGTATTTTTTAGTAGAGACAGTGTTTTGCCATGTTGGTCAGGCTGGTCTCGAACTCCTGACCTCAGGTGATCCGCCCAAATTGGCCTCCCAGAGTCCTGGGATTACAAGTTAATTGAGTTAATAAAGCTGTTCTGAACTATGAAAAACATTAGTTTGCTCCCAGATTTTCTTGATTTCAGTTTGATTATTATATTCAGCTGCTGCCCTAATATGTTTGAGCATGTTACTATTTAAATGACCCTGGCTGTTTGATTTGTTATATATAAATCTAAACTAAAACAACTTAAAGGACAGGTTTGTACTATTATTAGGATGAGATATTCTGGGTGCCCCTCATTTGCTCCATGAACCTCCACATTTTTAATTTAGAATTCACATAAATTCCTTGTGAGTTGTGTCAGTCATCGAGAGACCTAATCTCTAACACCTTTACCCAGAACCTTCTCCAGATAGACCACCCACAGGAAGAACATTTATAGTAATTTATCTACATGGTGGAAGGTACTTCACTGCCATTGTAGAACCCTCTTCCCAGCCTTCCTTTATGAGGCAAATGATTGCCAGTATGGTAAGATTGAACAAAAGGATGTGCCAGTAGGGTAAGATTGAGCAAAAATAGTCCTGAGATGCTGCAGACAGGGAAGGACGTAATAGACAAATATCAGCTTTATTAGAGGAGACTCCTTGTAAAGGTCATAGCCAAGAAAAAGAAGACAAAATCACTGAGATTAAATTCTAAGAATCTTGGTCCAGTTCAATCAAGCCATCAACAGCCAGGTGGCTTCAGTGGCCACTATGCATATTACCCCATGCCTAAATGTTCTGGCTTGTACAAAGAGCTTCTCTGTAAATTGCACATTGCCATAGTGGAAGATGGCATGGGAGATTTTGTGACAAACACTTAAGGTGCAATAATAGCTATTTTTCCTTTATCATGACAATATGTGGCATGCTTCTAGATTCATTTCATGCCAAAGAAGTTCCTCAGAAGGGTAAGGAAATGGAGAATCTTACATGGTCCAATGCAGTCCCCAAGAAGGGACTTTGAATGGACAGTTACACTGGTTACTACAATGTTGTCTCTGACCTTCTCAGGATCGAAGATAGTCATGAGTATCAAGGTGGAGATGGGTCTAGGTGAGAGAAAAGGAAGTAGTGGTTCTTGAGAAGAATGGTATGGCCAAGATAAGCCTGAACTATCTCTCCTCTTCCAGTTCCTGCAACTTCATATTGCCTGATTGAGGTCACTTGCCTATGGTGGTAATGACATCAGCAATGCAATAAATTCTCTGGTGGCTTTATATCTGGTTTATAACATGGGAGATGTTTCCTCAAGAGTGGTGATGCCAGTGTGGCTTCTGCTCTCTGGTGGTGTTGGAATCTGCATTAGTCTGTGGGTTTGGAGGAAGGAGATTCAGGCCATGGGGAAGAATCTGACACTCTCACACCCTCTGGTGCCTTCGGTACTGGACTGGCTCCTGCCCTCACTATGGTGATTGCATCAGATATTGGCCTCCCCACCAGTACAACACGTTGTAACATGGGCTCCTTTGTACCTGGCTTTAATCCAAGAAAGTTGTCGACTTGACTCTTTCGTGACATTGTATAGCCTGGTTTGTCACAATCTTTATTTCTGGAATTATCAGTGCTGCCATCTTGGCTGTCTTCAAGTATGTCATCCTCACAGTGTGAAGCTGTTTGACATTAACATTTTTGTCAATGTTTGGGACTACCTTACATATTCCGGCTCAGTTCAAAATGAGCTATGTAATGTAGCCAGGTTTCCACTGAGTTCCACTTTGCTTCTTGGCTGTCTATTCCTGCGCAAGTTTCTATGTATTTTGTATCAGGCTTCAATTCCATTATGTTTAAAATGTTGTCTCTAAAGATAAACAAAGATTTTTTTAAAACAACCAAACATGCAGCCATTTGACCGAGTGTGGTCTGCATTGTTAGTCTCACCATCTTCTGCCCTAACAAGCACCGAATCTAACAACACAAATATCATGGAAGCTTTCCTTGGAGTAGCTCCTGTAATTAGAATCATTGTATTCTGCCCTCCTGTCAGTGGTGGAACGTTCTATTGGCACATGTGGAAACCTCTTAGAGGGACGAGTTTCTTTGAACACAATAAAATTTTAAGTTAGGAATAACTTATTTGAAAGCAATTCATTGAAGGTTATTGCTAAGAAGAAGTTAGAAACAGTCTTTTGGCAGTCATTTCTTCAAGATGTATGGCAGTGTGGGAGGGATATATAAAGTGGAATAGGAACTTGGGCTAGTTAAATGGAATAGCCTCCAATGTTAATCTGTTTACCTTTTAACTGAATGAAAAAGCCTATAGTTGTAAGAAAAGAAAAAAAACACAATCCTCACACATTCCCTTCCCATCAGCATTGAAGATGAGTGTGGCAATGCAGAGACTCTATATAGGGAGGAGAACATAGGGAAATGCAAAGACAATGGGAGAAAAAAGTCAAGGACAGTAGAGCAACTGGAAGCTTCTGACACCAACAGCTTGATGAACAGGGTCACTCAACCCTTGGTGGACACAGAGTCACTTCTCTTAGGGAAACTGCAGTATTCTCAGGTGACAATATGCAAACATGATGAATGTACACTTGCTACGTCTCCAGTTGTGTACTGTTTTCCTTACTTCTGTTTGGAGAAGGAAGTCATATACTCAGGTCTAGTATCCGTGTAGAGGGTGCTCACCATTTGCAAGATACTAGGAAAAATGGCAAGTTAGAGGCCCACTGTTGTAAAAATCAACCAGTTCTGTGTGTGTGTGTGTGTGTGTGTGTGTGTGTGTGTGTGTGTGTGTTATTGAAAAAGAAGACATGGAGTGGGCATTGATCCACAAGTATATATACCTACAGGTATTCTTAGATGTAATATTCAATTGCAGGAGACCAAACAAGATAAAGCATCCCCCAAAACCCTTGAAAATTTTTGTGCTCACTATGTGTCCACTGATTAAATGTATCCTGAGCTCCAGGGAAGGGCTCCCCGATGGTTTCTTAGAGTTCACTGGGTCTCCTAAGGTCAATGTTTTCAAAAGATGGTGTCAGTAACATATGGTGTCACTGAAGGAGCATTTTAAACTAGGGCATGACCTCTTCCTATAGCCCTAGAGACACTGAGAGAGAAATCCTCTGTGAGCCCAGATGGAAACCTCCATGCAGGGCAGAGGCAGTGCTGCAGGGGGCGCCCAGGACCCACCCAGAACAGGCTCCAGCCCCAGAGCTGGTGCACAGGAGGCTGCAGAGGGGATTTCTCCCAGAATTGAGTGTTGTTTTATTGAAAACCAAAAAATTATAACATGTTAAAATTAGAATTTTGCAAAGACTATTTCTATTATCTCTATACATTTAGAAATAAACAAATCAACAATTCAGTGAGAACCACATTTAAAAGGCAAAATTGTTACTTGTTTGAGATATTTTCCTAGTAAAAAGATGAAGAACAGGGATGGTTTTATTAAATCAAAAGGTACACATTTCAGAAGACACAGAGATCCCAAGAGTAAGACTGCAGACAGCAAAGCCTAGAAAGGGCGGAGGCTGTCCATGTGCCATGTCCTGTGTGAGTCACCTTCTTAGTGGAGAAGTTCTCCCTTCACAAAGTTTTGGGCATATAAAGGGAAACACGACATTAAATAAGAACGAGGACTTGTACCTCAGCATCCCACAGTTGTGTGGTTCATGTGAGATCTATTTTCTCTTTCTCATGCTGGATCAAGGGTAAGGCTATGAAGTAGTAGTTCTCGTGAATATGCAAATCACCTGAGGTGAACACTACAGATATGTCTGTGCCCTGAGAGCATCACCCAATAACCACACACCACAAAGACACTCGCTGAGAAGAGCAACCCTAAGACACATAATTGTCAGATTCACCAAGGTTGAAATGAAGGAAAAAGTTTTAAGGGCAACCAGAGTTGTGCCATGGCACAGTGTTGTGCCATGTCCTTTCTCTGTTTTCTTGCCTGTTTATTTATGTCAGATGTGCCACCTACATGGAATAAGGTCAGAATTCTGCCTCCAGTAACACATCAAAGGTGACCTTTGATTGTACTTTTGGTTTATGCTCCAAAATATTGATTATAAAATTCATCACCGTCATATTTTATGTCAAAATAAATCTGCATAATCTGAATGTCAGTACATTTTGGAATCTATTAAATAACTGAAATTGCAAGAAATATTACCCACTCCAAAAACTGGAGAGATGGGCATGTCCAGAATGGCAGTTAGCACTTGCTTACCTGGTGCAGAAACTGCAGAAGCCACAAGCTGTTGAGGGCACTTACATGGTAACCACTACGGACGTCTGAAAGACAAATGTGGACTCGGTAAATGTGACCGTTCCAGAGGGTCTTATACTTCTAAGGTTTCTGGACTTTCTCTCCAGAAACCTCCAGATTCTAAAATATACAATCCAAATAAATTTCCGATGGGTCAGAATTGAAGATGAAATGAAGATGATTAATTACAGAGAAATATACCAGGAGCCCACTTCAAAAGCTTCTAAAGGGAATGACTTTTCCAGAACCTTATCCTATGTGAAGGAAGACAAATCTCCCATTCCAGATTCTCCCCCATTCTTCCATTATTATATGAATGAGTAAAGTTAGCCAAAAGGGGTAAGACGTACATAAATAGTCCAGGGAGGCCGAAACCTCAAAAGGGAGTAACAGCCAAAAATGAGCTTTTCCCCTGGAGATGCTTTGTCAAGGTCACAGCCCAGAAGAGGAAGCCTATTGAATCTCTAGGTTTCCATTGGAAGAACAGGCAGTGCTTACCTGCACTGCACAATCCATTCTAACTAGGATGATGGCTATGGATTAAAGATGAAAGTGTGGCAATGCACAGACTCCATCTGAGGAGAACACAGAAATACTAAGACAATGGCAGAGGGTGAGACAAAGACAGTAGAGCAATGTGAAGCCTCTGACATCGTGATTTTTAAGACCAACATCTTGTAAATGCCATCATAGTTCTCAGCTTCTTTTATTATGGGACCTTTGCTGGTTTCCTAGCTGAGAAAGTGAAAATAACAACCTGCATGGACTTCCCAAGTCTCCACCTGTATCCTGTTTGCTTTAGATCTCTAGGAGAAGAAAGTCAGATAACTGGGCCTGGTGTCAGTGTAGGAGGCACTTCCTAAAAGCCACATATTAGGAAGAAGGGAAAATGTGTGTTATTGGAATAGTGGATATGGAGTGGGCTTTCATCTGAATGTATCTGCACCTGCTAGTATTCTCAGATGCAACATTCAACTGCAAGAGCCCAGTGAAGAAACATGGCACTCGCAAATCTCTTGTAAGTTTTTGTCTTCATTTTGGTTCCACTAATGAAGTGAATCTGGAGCTTCAGGGAAGGGGCTCCCTCCTGTGTCATTGAATCCTTGCTCTGGGTCTCCCTGCAGAGTTCAATAGGTTTAGTAAGGCTAATCAATTGTTTCAAGAGATGGTGTCAGCAGCATATGGTGTCACTGAAGGAGTATTCTACACTAGCACACAGCCATTTCATGCTGGGCTAGAGAAGCCTGGGGGAAATGATTTGAAGTCTCAGCAAGGAACCTCCTTGCAAGGCAGGGGCTGGGCTGTCGGGGGCACCGAGCAGGTGAGTCAGAAATCAATATGTAAAGATGAGGACCTATGGATATGAATTGAAAATATATAAATACTTCAAAAAATTCCAGTAAATTGAGTCCAAAATTAACCCCAAATTATTCAAAACACAAATTCCTTGACAATTATTTTGGGAGCAGTGAGTTCATAAAGAATTCAAAACTACTGTTTCAGCTTCTGATTCTTATTGTTCCTGAGATGAGAAAATCATCTCTAATCACACATCACACAGCAAATCTGTAAACAAGAGTGTTTCTATGGAAGATCCTGGGGGATCTGAACACCAGGCAGGTGCTGGAGACCCTGTTTCAGGAGCGCCCAGCAGATCTCAGAGGGACCTGCTGGTCACTCACGTGGGACATCAGCAGTAACTTTCTCAGTCACCAGTCAGCTGTGCTGGTGACTGATGGACCCAGGACAGAACCAAGGCACCTCCTCAGTGTCATGGAGAGTGATGGTTCCAGAAATCATCCAGGTGCTCTCTGTGCTTATAAAATGTAGGTTCACTGTGAGGAGCGTGTTCTGAGGGGGATTGTTCTGTGAAAGGACCTCTGTTCACGAGTGTTCATAAATGGAGCAGGGCATGCATTTCCTCAAACAGGAATAGCGCTTGGACCATCAGCATCTCACTCTTGTAAATCTGATGTGTCATTTATCTTCCCTTTCTTATTATTGACCAGGCTTTGCGCTATGAAATGCTCTGTCTCATGAATATGCAAATAACCTGAGATCCACTGAGGTGAATTTGGATGTCTGTGCCCTGAGAGCATCACCCAACAACCACATCCCTCCTCTATAGAAGCCCCTGAGAGCACAGCTCCTCACCATGGACTGTACCTGGGGGATCCTCTTCTTGGTGGCAGCTGCCACAGGTAAGGGGCTCCCAAGTCCTAGTGATGAGGAGGGGATTGAGTCCAGTCAAGGGGGCTTTTATCATCTCCTCCCTTCTCCTCACAGATGTCCATTCCCAGGTTCAGCTGTTGCAGCCTGGGGCTGAGGTGAAGAAGCCTGCGTCCTCAGTGAAGGTCTCCTGCCAGGCTTCCAGATACACCTTCACCAAATACTTTACACAGTGGGTGCGACAGGGCCCTGGACAAGGGCATAGTGGTTGGGATGCATCAACCCTTACAATGATAACACACACTACGCACAGAAGTTCCGGGGCAGAGTCACCATTACCAGTGACAGGTCCGTGAGCACAGCCTACATGGAGCTGAGCAGCCTGAGATCTGAAGACATGGTCGTGTATTCCTGTGTGAGAGACACAGTGCGAAAACCCACATCCTGAGAGTGTCAGAAACCCCAGGAAGGAGGCACCTGTGCTGACACAGAGGAGATGACAAAGATTATTAGATTAAAGATTTTCTTAGAAAATGACACTAAGTCATTAAAGAAAAGGAACAATATTAATGTGTATTTGAGAAATTTTAATTATTTGAGAGATTTTTCATACAGCATTTATTCTGTAAACAAATTTCAATGATTACAGAATGAATCAAATTAATGAAACTAATACAGAACTTCCTCTGAAGGTATCTTTGTAAACATTAATTTCTTAATCAGTGCTGTAAGTATTTTGGAACACAGACACAAAATCACATTTTAAGTCTGCATTTATGTCTATTAAAAATGCCAAAAAAATCTCCTTTTGTGCATGTAGCATTTTGAATTCCCACCATCAATGCATGATAGTTCTTGGTTTTCCACATTCATATTGTCATGTATCCTTACGAGAATTGTGTGTTTTAACCAATCTAGTAGGTGAGTAATGGGATCTAATTTTTATTTAAATGCACATGTCCCTCCAAAAGTTCATATTTAACAATTTTCGTATAACTTCTGTTGAGACGCCTCTCCTGACATTCGGTTCATTTTAACTGCATTGCTTCATTTCGATTCATTGCAAGTTGACTTGCATATTGTTTATAAAAGTCATTTCACAAATTAAAAGAATTCATTTCACAAATATGTGACTTGGAAGTATTTTCTCCAAGTCTGTGGCTGTCTTTATTCCCTTATCAGTGTGTATTGCAGAAACATATGTGTGTGTATGTGTCTGTGTGTGTATGTGTCTGTTTGTACAAATTTAGACTCAAAAACATGTAAAATTGCATTCATTCATAGATGATGTATTTGGCAATATATATGAAGTCTCATTATAAAATACACTAATAGTGATTATTTTTTCCATGTCTCTCAACTCAGGCCACAATCAACTCATGAGTGTTTAAACTTCATCTACTTGATTGGAGGACTATCCATTTCAGATATTTGGAATACTTCTGTAAGGAAATGTGTTCGTCTTCCCAATATTTATTTATATAATCATCTATTAATATGTGTATTGGTTTATGAATATATATTTCATACTCTGAAGAAGATCCATGCTATATTATTCATTTTATCGTTCAAATCACCACAGCTTTATTAGGTCCTGGGAGCTCATTTAATTTGGATCCTGTATCCTTACAGCACACCTCATCCTTTTGTTTTTGAATACTTCCCTGTTTCCTTGTATTACAATAAATTCTAAGCTCATTTTCTATATTACCTTTTTTGTACATAGAATTAGCCTTTTTTCTAAAGATTGCTTGTTTCTAATGTTAACGAATAGCAGTAAAATAAAAAAAATTGTGATACCGTGTACAATTACTTCTAGGACCTCTCAACCTACTGGCCTAGTAGACGTGCATGTTTATATGAACCCATGTTTGTGGACGCATCAAAACTATTTATGTAACTAATCTTCTGTAACTTTATTATATTAAAAATGAGAACACACTGGTCTCCTGACCCAACTATGCTACCACATGGACCTTTCTAGCCTTCCTTCCTTGACTGTCCATAACCACCCACTGCAAAGTGAGGAATCCTATCCTACCAACTGCCTTATTATTACCTAGTTGCACAATTTTAGGACACATGCATAGCGGTATCAGAAATGTAAAGCTCATTGGAAATATGTTTATCTACTAGAATAGAGTGTTATGTGTAGTTTCTTTACATTTTAAACTTATAGAATTTCCTCATTTCCAAAGTTAATTAGATTAGCAACTTCATTTTCTACTTTCTTTAGTGAAGTCATTTCAATTACATTATATAATATCATTTATTTGAAATTCGGTATAAACCAAAACTATAGTCAAGTAAACAGATAGAGGATATTCAAGGAACTTAGAGAGTGAGTATTAAATAAGTACAAATGGCACTGTTTAAGAATAGTAAAATTATTTTTAGTGATATAAAATGGTTGAGACACGATGCAGTTAATTTGTCTAAGCTCATAAATGTGTGATGGAAAATATAAACCTAAATATATACAATTTTTGTAAAAAGTATTTAGCAGTTCATTAACCCCAGGATTAAATGCAGACTGTATCAAGTTATCTAATAACTTATTTGGTGAGGGTGGGGATGTCATGAGATGCATGCAAAAAAGAATGAAGTAATTTTCCTCATTTGCATTTAAGATGTTACCATTCACTAAAGACCTTTAATTTTAAAAAAATCAATTTTCTACGTGACCCAGGTTTTTTCTTCCTGACGAGCAAATAACCCAGATAATTCTTTTCTTTCCTTGGTTGAGAAAGATTTTCCCCAAACTTCAGCTCAGTTCAGGCACACACTGTCCCTGAATGGGCATTTACCCTCAGATGGGTAACACACCTGTCAACATGGGGACTCTTCTGTCAGACAAACACACCTTTACTCACGTGGATTCTTCCCTCAGACCAACACACCTGTCCCCACATGGACTCTTTCCTCAGACCACCACATATGTCCTTACATTTACTCTTTCCTCTAGTAATGACATTTCCTCAAGTGGACTCTTGTCTCAGACAAACAAACATGTCTGCATGTGAACTCTTCACTCTGATAAGTACAAATATTTCCACAGTGACTGTTTCCTGACACAAGCACATATATCCAATGTTGAACTGTTTTATGGCAAAATGATCTCAAGATAATAATTATAAAATCCCTCCTGACAAGGTGTAGATCTGCATTTTTTTATTGTACCTTAACTTTGCCTTATTGTCAAGAACAATAGTTTGCAGCTCTATATGCACCGATTAGAGATTGGTGTCCATTTTCTCTGGAAATGTATTTTTATATTCTTACTGGATGTATTTTTTTGATAATGTTTGCTACTGTGAAGATACCTGAACAGGGTCCACACTAGAAAATAAAAAAGACTAATCGGCAGATTAACCCTGTGCATCCAGACCCACGAGTCCTTTGATCCTGCCCCCCTGAAATGGAGACACAGAGGACAGATGAGCAATGCTGAGCGGTGCACCCAAGACCACAAAAAGAAAGACAAGGAAATGTGTCCCCTCCCCTCCTCATGAAAGGCAGCTCATCCCCTGTTCCTTCAGGCCCTGGTGAGGAGCCAACCCATGTCTGTTCCCTTCCTCGGTGTCCACACCATGGGGTCTGCCCTGATTTGGGCTTCCCTTCTCATCACCCTCAATATTAGTGTCCCTTGTGAATCAGGTCCAGCTGCGGCTGCTCCACATGGGGCCGTTCTTCCATTTCCTCTGTGTTTGCAGAAGTCCTGTGTGAAATTTACTGATAGAGTCAGGGGGGAAAAATTGTACAGCCCAGTGGTTCACTGAGACTCTCATGCAAAGCCTCTGATTTCACCTTTACTGGCTACAGCATGAGCTTGGTCCAGCAGGCTTCATGACAGGGATTGGTGTGGGTGGAAACAGTGAGTGATCAAGTGGGAGTTCTCAGAGTTACTCTCCATGAGTACAAATAAATTAACAGTCCCAAGTGACACCTTTTCATGTGCAGTCTACCTTAAAGGGACCAAACTGAAAGTCAAGGACAAGGCCTTGTAATACTGTGAGAGACACAGGAGAGGGAATATCTGCGTGAGCCCAGACAGAAAAATCTCTGCAGGAAGACAGGAGGGAGCTGCATGGTAGATGCTCCTCAGAACCACCAGGGCACCTTGGGGACAACCTGGGGGCACTCAGAACCACCAGGGTGTGCTTAGGACCACGGGACACTCAGGATATTAGGGGGTGCTCAGGATCACGAGGGGGCGCTCATGACACCAGGGGACACTCAGAATCACAAGGGGGCGCTCAGGACACGAGGGTTTGCCTGGGACCACCAGCAGGCACTCAGGTCACCAGGGGGTGCTCAGGACCACCAGGGGGCGCTCAGGACACCAGGGGGCGCTCAGAACCACCAGGGGGCGCTCAGGACACCTGGGGGCGCTCAGAAGCATCAGGGGTGCTCAGGATATCAGAGTGCCCTCAGTACCACGAGGGGGCGCTCATGACACCAGGGGCACTCAGAACCACCAGGGGGCGCTCAGTACAGGGGGGTTCTCTTAGGAGGCAGCTCCAAATCAGAAGCCTGAGAGGCTGTGGTTTTCTTTTAAACCTTGGTGATTCCCGACCTGGTCAAGCAAAAGTCTTCCCCAGGATCTCTCACCATTTCTTCCTTGTAAGTCCATGATTACTTTTACCTACAAAACATTAACTTAGAACAGGAATTTAATTCAACTTTTAATGCTGCATATTTTCCAAGTAATACTAGCAATGATCTCTCAGGACAATTTTTACAATAGGTTATTTATATATTTTCTTGATTAAAAATAATACTATTATTAAAATAGTAAAGTTATAAAAATCACACCTGTAATCCCAGCACTTTGGGAGGCTAAGGCAGGCAGATCACTTGAGCTCAGGACTTTTAGAACAGCCTGGCAGCACAGTGAGGTCTTTTCTATATATATATATAAAATAATAATAATAATAATAAATACCTGGGTATGGTTCCACCTGTGGTAGCAGCTACTTGAAAGGCTGAGGCAGGAGGATCCCTTAAGCCTGGGAGGTTAATGCTGCAGTGAGCTGTGATTGTGCCACTGCACTCCAGCCTCGTTGACAGAGTGAGACCCTATTTAAAGAAAATGTATATCCTCAATACAAACTGTTTCAATGATTAGAGTTTTGTATTTTTGTGCTGTAATAGTCAAACAATTGTACATGTTTTTTAACATTAACTCAGCATATACATGGTATTTTGTTTATTTTTCTTTCATCTGCTGTTTTTGGAAATTAAACACGACTTTAAATGCTCTTGTTCTCCATTTTGGTTGGCTTCAGGTGTCCTGTTTTTCAGACTATTTCTCCATCTTCCCTTTCTCTTTGAAAGTATTTTACTTTCCTCAGTCTCCATGAAGGAAAAAGAAAGTCCCTTTACTTTCTGACCTCCAAGTCTGGTGAATCAGTTCTCTTCTCTTCATAATCACTGAAGCCAACCAAGTTTAGAGGATAATGGTTCTCCTTAGAATATGCTCGTCTACCTGCAGACTCTCTGCCCTAACTCACCCTTTTCCAGGGTCCTGCAGACCATCTCCTCGTTTCCCTAAGTACCACAGAGTGGGCTCTGCAGCTCCTGCTGCCCTCTGTGTGCTCAGCCCTGGGGCTCACTAGTGTTTTGATGATCAAGTCCAAATCCCCATGTGCTTGGACCCTCTGAGACCACCCTCTAGGAAGATGCCATTGTGAGTGAGCCCTGAAAATCATGGACTGTGTTCAGTTTCATATTCCTGGATGTTCTCTGTTGTAAAGGAATATTGACAAATAAATACTAGAGTTTGTATTGAATATTCATGCCAAAAAAGTTTTTTAAAAATTTTTCAAATGAAACAATTTTATCTTGCCTAGTTTGAAAACTACAATCTAAATTTAACAAATAATGTAATACAACGTTTGTCCTATTAGTTATTCAATTTATTAAAAACAGACTGATATTTAAAGTTAATACCATTGCACATTTGAGTGACATATTTGGCAAGAACAGCATTTACATTCAGCTTTAACAAAACATGTATTTAAATATATTTGTCTTTTTAGTATTGGAATAGGCAGACATACACGTAGAAGAGCATTATTTTCTACTACAACCTCAAACTGCAAACACAATTTAAATTCAATTAAGTAATTAAAAAAATATGAAACAAATGGGTGTGCTGTTTTGGTGTTTAGATATACATTCACTTTTGCATGGGCACATGTATGTGTCTTTGCTGGGCTGTTGTGTATGTATGTGTGTTTGTAGAACCATGAAGTTTTCAAATACATCATTAAATGACATAGTTATATTAATCTTGGCCAGGCATGGTGGCTCAAGCCTGTAATCCCAGCACTTTGGGAATCTTAGGCAGGCAGATCACCTGGGGTCAAGGGTTTGAGACCAGCCTGGTCAACAGGGTAAAACCCCGTCTCTACTAAAAATACAAAAATTAGCCAGGTATTGTGGCACAAGCCTTTAGTCCCAGTGTGGCAGGGAAATGTGGGGTCGGAAATCCCACACAGAGTTTCTACTGGTGTACCACCTAGTGGAGCTGTAAGAAGAAAGCCACTGCCCTCCAGAACCCAGAATGGTAGATCCACTGACAGCTTGCACCATGTTTCTGGAAAAACCACATACCCTCAATGCCAGCTCGTGAAAGCAGCCAGGAGGGAGACTGTGCCCTGCAAAAGTTTTTTAAAACTTTTCATTTGAAAAGTTTTAAAAAAGTTCTGTCACAGGGGCAGAACTTCCCAAGACCATGTGAACCCACTTGTTACATCAGGTAACCTGGATTTGAGACATGGAGTCAAAGAAGATTATTTTGGAACATTAAGATTTGACTTCCCAGCTGGATTTCAGACTTGCATGGGACCTGTAGTTTGGACCAATTTCTCCATTTGGAATGGCTGTATTTACACAATGCCTGAACTCCCATTCTTTCTAGGAAGTAACTGACTTGGTTTTTATTTTACAGGCTCATAGATGGAAGAGACTTGCCTCATCTCAAATGAGACCTTGGACTGTGGACTTTTGAGTTAAGGCTCAAATGAGTTAAGACTTTGGCGGACTCTTGAACAGGCATGATTGGTTTTGAAATGCGATAGCAATCATGACTCTAGAGGACCACACGTGAAGTGCAACAAGCAGGCGCAGAAGACAAGTGATTCGTGATTTCACTGTAGTTTGTTTAAATGGTAGACTCACAGAAGTAGAATAGAATGTTGGTTACCAGGGGCTGGAGGGGTGGACTGGAAAAGGAGAGATTGTGGTCAAAGTGTAAAATGTTCCAGTTAGACAGAAGGAGTAAGTTACAGTGTTCTAATGCACAAGATGGAAAATATGGCTGTGAATGCATTATATATTTCAAAATGGCTAAACATGCAAATGTTAAAATTTTTTCCCACTAAGAAATTATACAGGTCGGGAGCGGGGGCTCACACTTGTAAACCCAGCACTTTCGGAGGCCGAGGTGGGTGGATCACAAGGTCAGGAGTTCAAGACCAGACTTGCCAAGATGGTGAAACCCTGTCTCCACTAAAAACACAAAAATTAGCCAGGCGTGGTGTTCACCACAGGAGAATTGCTTGAAGCAAAGGCTGCAGTGAGCCAAGATCGTACCACTGCACTCCAACCGGGGTGACAGAGTGAGACTCAGTCTCAAAAAAAAAAAGAAATACATTTATGAGGTGCTGGATATGTTAAATAGCTTGATTAACAATTCCATAATGTATGCATGTATGATAGCATGTGTGAATGGACCTGTATGAAGGTGAGGTGCCCTGGTCACGTGACAGTGAGGTGACTTGGGGGAGGTGTAAGGTTACCTGGGGGTATGTGTGCAGTGAACTTGGGCACATGTGAGGTGACCCAGGGTGCATGTGTGGTGGCCTGGGTGCGTGTGAGGTTACCTGGACATGTATGAGGTGACATGGGGAATTCGTGAGGTGACTTGGATATGTATGATGTGACCTCAGGCATGTGTGAGGTGACCTGGCGGACGTGTGAGGTGACCTGGGGGACGTGTGAGGTGACATGGGGAATGTGTGAGGTGACCTGGGGGAATGTGTGAGGTGACCTGGGAGCATTCGAGGTGACGTGGGGGGTGTGTGAGCTTAGCAGGAGTGTGTGTGAGGTGACATGGGGTATATGTGAGGTGACCCCCCTGACGTGTGAGGTGACCTGAGCACATGTGAGGTCACCTAAGGCACATCTGAGTTGACCTGGGGGATGTGTGAGGTGACCTAGGGAAATGTATGAGCTGACAAAGGGCATGTGTGCAGTGACCTGGGTGCATGTGAGGTGACCTGGTGCATGTGTTAGTTTACCTGGGGGATGTGTGAGGTGAACAGGGGCAGGTGTGAAGTGCCTGAGGAATGCATGAGGTGACCTGGTGCATGTGTGTGGTGACCTAGCAGATTTACGAGGTGACCTGCGGGATGTGTGAGGTGAATAGGGACTTGTGTGAGGTGGCCACAGGAATGTGTGAGGTGACCTGGGGGATGTGTAAGGTGACATTGGGGATGTGTGAGGTGACTCAGGGCACATGTGAGGTGACCTGGGGGATGTGCAAGGTCACCTTGGGTGAGTGTGAGGTGACCTTGGGGATGTGCAAGGTCACACTGTGTGAGTGTGAGGTCATCTGGGATATTTCAAACTTCGTAAGGAAAGCCTGCAACAGTATATGGCACTAAAAGCTTCACACTCCAACACCGTTAATGCGCACATCCTCAAGGAACTCTAAGTGTTTCCAGGTTAGCTTAAATGCCATGGAGCGACACCTGCCCCAGGCACACTCATATATGCATCCTGGGTCTCCCTATCAACCCCTATCCTCAAATTTTCAGTTTATGTTTGCTCCATGATATCAACTCTGATATGTTGAAGGTTTTTTTTTTTCTTTTATTTGTAGTTGTTCAGGTTTGCTATTTCACTCTCATTACTCTGGGCTCAGTCCTCTCCTCAGGTGTCCCACTTCAGAGCTTGCTATATAATAGGAGACATGCAAATAGGACCCTCCCTTTTCTGATGAAAAGCAGCGCAGCCCTGACCCTGCAGCCCTGGGAGAGAAGCCCCAGCCCTGGGATTCTCAGGTGTTTCTATTGGGTCAACAGCAATAAACAAATTACCATGGAATTTGGGCTGAGCTGGGTTTTTCTTGCTGGTATTTTAAAAGGTGATTCATGGAGAACTAAGGATATTGAGTGAGTGGACATGAGTGAGAGAAACAGTGGATATGTGTGGCAGTTTCTGACCAGGGTGTCTCTGTGTTTGCAGGTGTCCAGTGTGAGGTGCAGCTGGTGGAGTCTGGGGGAGGCTTGGTACAGCCTGGGGGGTCCCTGAGACTCTCCTGTGCAGCCTCTGGATTCACCTTCAGTAACAGTGACATGAACTGGGCCCGCAAGGCTCCAGGAAAGGGGCTGGAGTGGGTATCGGGTGTTAGTTGGAATGGCAGTAGGACGCACTATGTGGACTCCGTGAAGCGCCGATTCATCATCTCCAGAGACAATTCCAGGAACTCCCTGTATCTGCAAAAGAACAGACGGAGAGCCGAGGACATGGCTGTGTATTACTGTGTGAGAAATCCTGTGAGGGGACACAAGTGCGAGCCCAGACACAAACCTCCTGCAGGAACACTGGGCGAAATCAGCTGCAGGGGGTGCTCAGGGCCCACTCATCAGAGTCAACCCCAGAGCAGGTGCACATGGAGGCTGGGGTTTGTTTCCTGTCAGGATTTGGGACTTCCTCTGCTTCTGACAGTTTCCCTAGGGAAACTCTTTAATTTTAGATTTCTGTGCCCACCAATGTCATCTCTACATATATTTTTTTAAATCATTATAATACGAGGACTCATTCTCACATGCACAATATGTATATTGCCACCTACGGGAATGAAAACTCCTCAACCATGGTCACCAGCATCAGAGTTGTGAGGAAGCTCAGGGGTGCCTGGTGAGTCTTCTCCAGTCAGACTCAGGACAGTAACCTCAATGGGATTCCCTGACTAGAATGGCTTTTAGGGATTTCGATTACAGCCAAGAGAGAGGCTGGACCAGGTTCAGTGTCATGTAGGACCTCACAGATTTTATGTATGACATTTCTCCTGACAATAAAGTATGCAAATGAGTATCAGCACTGATCTGGTGCTTCCTGACTTTCATTTTTAGTGGTTCTCGCTTTTCCATTTGATTTTCCTGCTTTCTGGATAAAAGGATGTTGTCCCTGTGGTCTAAATCCTGGGGCTCAAGCCCTTTCCCTGGAGCTTAGGTGGGGCTCAGGCTGTGACTCCTGCAGCCATTGGGAGAGGCTGCTGAGACTTTCTTCTCTCTCATTGTTCAGGATACTCCACTCTGTTTTCTGGAGACGCGTCTGAGAACGCGTGTGGCCATTAGTAATGAGGGCACAAGCTTCTTTGGTCAAAATGGGGTGAGGATGTGGAATTGATCCTGTGCTGTGTAAACTGTCACAGAGTCACCTTCTTCACCAGTAGTGTTAGAAGAGCTTGTAAAATTTGTCGGAATCCAACTGGAGTCCCCTGTGTTCAAACCCTGACAAATGGAGCTGGGGAAGGCCATGGATGGAAGCTTCTCATGCACATACCCCTGAGAACAAGACCTAGCTTTATAACACTCCAAAAAACCACAAATTGAACAAAGGCAACCACAACAATAAAAGAATTACTTATATCCCTGAGAACAAGAGCTAGCTTTATAACACTCAGAATAACCACAACAACAAAATAATTACTTATATCCCTAACAACAAGAGCTAGCTTTTTAACACTCGGAAAGGCCACAATCTTGCACAAGGCAACCACAACAATGAAAGAATTACTTCTGTGAAAATATCTGCACAGCAACTGCCTATCCAACCTTACACTGATGTCAACCTTGTTATTGATGCTTCTAGCCCAGGATCGTCCTCATCAAAATGTCATTCAGATCCTGCGTATGAAAAAAATTGTGTTTTTCAGTGCACTCATGTTCTAGTAAAGCCCTCAGAGACCCTCTCCTTCACCTGTGCTGTCTCTGGATTTCCAATCATAACCAGTACTTCCTCCTGGAGCTGTATCTGCCAGCCCCCAGGGAAGAAGCTGAAGTGGGTCAGGTGTGTAGGTCACGAGGAAACACACAGTGCAACCCGCTTCTCAAGAGTCCAGTCACCACCTCCAGATCCACATTCAGAAAACAGTTTTTCCTACAGCTGAGCTACCCGCACAATGAGTAAACCACCATGGATTTTTATACAAAAGACACAGAAGGGGAGGTCATTGTGAGGCCAGACACAAACCTCCCTGCAGGGAAGCTCAGGACACCAGGGGGTGCTCAGACACCAAGGGCTCTCAGGACACATCAAGGCAGGTGCAAGAGGGGAAAAAAGGTGCTGGAGGTGGGGTTTTTCATCACTGTCATATTTTACTCTCCACTATATTTATTCTAATGTATATTATTTTATTATTAGACAATGATATTTATATAAATATATAGCCATACGTAGGTGCACCAAGTTGTCCTTTCCATCTTATGTGGACCTTGTCCATTAGGACGAAGTCCCTGTATGTATTTGAGCACCTCATAAGTTATGGTTAATTATGTAGGATCTCTCACTTTTTCTGTGTCCCTTCCTCCCTCCTCTCTCACACACAAACTGACACCCACAAAGAGTTCTACAACTTTAATTACCTGATGCGTTGAAGAAAATTTACTGAAGTGCAGCTTTTTCAGTTTAACTGCTGTTCATGTTGATGTAGGAATAAGAACATTGTCTTTCTCAACTGTGTAGTTCTCTAAGCTGAGTAGCACCTTTATTTATAATACCCAGATACTGAAAGCAATCCAAATATTGATCAGCAGGTTAAGCAGTAAACACTTTGTTCTAAATTCGTTCACTTGAATAATACCCACTGTTCAAACAAGTACGGCTGGAAATGCTCAACAAGGGTAAATTCACAAGTACTTATGACGAGTAACATAAGCCAAAGAAATACAAGTACATACATACAGTTCCACTTTTATAAATTTTATAAAATGAAAACTAATCTAAAGTTACATAATGAAAACCAGTAGTTGGCCGTGGACATGGTATGAGAAGGGAAGGTGTAGCAAGTGGAAATTACAGGACAACGAGAGGAAATTTTGAGGATAATTTTTTCTGTATTGAGAAAGGTTATGGTTATGTCATTATTTGTCAAATTGTACACATTAAGTGAAGATTATTACTTTCTAATTTCGACTTCTTAAAATACTACAAATTTAAACATATATAATTTGGTAGAAAAGGAGTTAGAGATGGATAAAATATATGAGAAATAAAAAAGAAAATCTCAGAACGATGGCATAAGGATTCAACCATCAAACTAAATAAATTTTAAATTTCTCAACACAGAATTATAGATTCATAAAACCAGCTCCTGGATTCATTGATTTTTTGGAATTGATTTTCATGTCTTTATCTCCTTCAGTTCTGCTCTGATGTTAGTTATTTCTTCTCTTCTGCTAGCTTTTGAATTTGCTCTTGCTTCTTTAGTTCTTCAAATTGTGATGTTAGGGTGTCAGTTTTAGATCTTTCCTGCTTTCTCTTGTAGACATCTAGTACTATAAATTTCCCTCTACACACTGCTTTAAATGTGTCCCGAAGATTCTCAGATGTTGTGTCTTTGTTCTCATTGGTTTCAAAGATCATCTTTATTTCTGCCTTCATTTCTTTATTTACCCAGTAGACATTCAGGAACAGGTTTTCCAGTTTCCATGTAGTTGTGCAGTTTTGAGTGAATTTCTTCATCCTGAGTTCTAATTTGATTATTGCACTTGTGGTCTGACAGACTGTTTGTTATGATTTCTGTTCTTTTGCATTTGGCGAGGAGTGTATTACTTCCAATTATGTGGTCAGTTTTAGAATATGTGCGATGAGGTGCTGAGAAGAATGTATATTCTGTTGACTTGGGGTGGAGAGTTCTGTAGATATCTATTAGGTCTGCTTCAAGTCCTGAATATCCTTGTTAATTTTCTGTCTCGTTGATCTGTCTAATATTGACAGCGGGGTGTTAAAGTCTCCCACTCTTGTTGTGTGGGAGTCTAAGTCTCTTTGTAGGTCTCTAAGGACTTCCTTTATGAATCGGGGTGCTCCTGTATTTGGTGCATATATATTTAGGATATTTAGCTCTTCTTGTTGCATTGATCCCTTTACCATTATGCAATGCCTTTCTTTGTCTCTTTTGATCTTTTTTGGTTTAAAATGTTTTATCAGAGATTAGGATTGCAACTCCTGCTATTTTTTTTTTTTGCTTTCCATTTGCTTAGCAAATATTCCTCCATCCCTTTATTTTGAGCCTATGTGTGTCTTTGCACATGAGATGGGTCTCCTGAATACAGCACATCAACAAAATAAATAGACAGCTATCCAGATTAATAAAGAAGAAAAGAGAGAAGAATCAAATAAATGCAATAAAAAGTAATGTAGGGGATATCACTACTGATCCCACCGAAATACAAACTACCATCAGAGAATACTATAAATGCCTCTATGCAAATATACTAGAAAATCTAGAAGAAATGCATAACTGCCTGGACACATACACCGTCCCAAGTCTAAATCAGGAAGAAGTCAAATCCCTGAATAGAACAATAACAAATTCTGAAATTGAGGCAGTAATTAATAGCGTACCAACCAAAAAAAAAGTCCGTGACCAGATGGATTCACAGCTGAATTCTACCAGAGGTACAAAGAGGAACTGGTACCATTCCTTCTGAAACTATTTCAAACAATAGAAAAAGAGGGACTCCTCCCTAACTCTTTTTATGAAGCCAGCATCATCCTGATACCAAAACCTGGCAGAGACACAACAAAAAAAAGAAAAGCTCAGGCCAATATCCCTGATGAACATCAATGCACCAATTCTCAATAAAATACTGGCAAACCAAATCCAGCAGCACATCAAAAAGCTTATCCACCACGATCAAGTGGGCTTCATCCCTGGGATGCAAGGCTGGTTCAACATATGCAAATCAATAAATGTAATCCATCACCTAAACAGAAGCAATGACAGAAACCACATAATCATCTCAAAAGATGCAGAAAAGGACTTCAACAAAATTCAACACCCCTTCATGCTAAAAACTCAATGCTCTAGGTATTGATGGAATGTATCTCAAAATAATAAAAGCTATTTATGGCAAACCCACAGCCAATATCATACAGAATGGGCAAAAACTGGAAGCATTTACTTTGAAAACCAGCACAAGACAACGATGCCTCTCTCACCACTCCAATTCAACATAGTATTGAGAGATCTGGCCAGGGTAATCAGGCAAGAGAAAGAAATAAATTGTATAAAAATAGGAAAAGAGGAAGTCAGATTGTCTCTGTGTGCAGATGACATGATTGTATATTTAGAAAACCCCATCATCTCAGCCCAAAATCTCCTTAAGCTGATAAGCAACTTCAACAAAGTCTCAGGATACAAAATCAATGTGCAAAAATCACAAGCATTTCTATAACCCAATAACAGAAAAACAGAGAGCCAAATCATGAGTGAACTCCCACTCAAAATTGCTACAAAGAAAATAAAATACCTAGGAATAGAACTTACAAGGGATGTGAAGGATCTCTTCAAGGAGAACTGCAAACCACCGCTCAAAGAAATAAGAGAGGACCCAAACAAATGGAAAAACATTCCATGCTCATGAATAGGAAGAATAAACATCATGAAAATGGCCATACTGCCCAAAGCAACTTATAGATTGAATGCTATCCCCATCAAACTACCAATGACTTTCTTCACAGAATTGGAAAAAACTATTTTAAAGTTCATATGGAACCAAAAATACATCCTGCATAGCCATGACAATCCTGAGCAAAAAAAAAAAAAACAAAGCTGGAGGCATCATGCTACCTGACTTCAAACTATACTACAAGGCTACAGTAACCGAAACAGCATGGTATTGGTACCAAAACAGACATATAGACCAATGGAACAGAGCAGAGGCCTCACAAATAACACCACACATCTACAACCATCTGAACTTTGACAATCTTGACACTAACAAACAATGGGGAAAGAATTCCGGAACTATTTAATAAGTGGTGTTGGGAAAACTGGCGAGCCATATGCAGAAAACTGAAACTGGACCCCTTCCTTACACCTTATACAAAAACTAACTCAAGATGGATGAAAGACTTATCCAGACCTGAAACCATAAAAATCCTAGAAGAAAATCTAGGCAATACCATCCAGGACATAGGCATGGGCAAAGACTTCAAGTCTAAAACACCAAAAGTAATGGCAACAAAAGCTAATACTGACAAATGAGATATAATTAAAGGAAAGTGCTTCTGCACAGCAAAAGAAACTATCATCAGAATGAACAGGCAACCTACAGAATGGGAGATTTTTGCAATCTATCCATCTGACAAAGGGCTAATATCCAGAATCTACAACAAATTTACAAGAAAAAAAAACCCATCAAAAAGTAGGTGAAGGATATGAACAGACATTTCTCAAAAGAAGACATTTATGCAGCCAGCAAACATGAAAAAACCCTCCTCATCACTGGTCATTAGAGAAATGCAGATCAAAACCACAATGAGATACCATCTCACACCAGTTAGAATGGTGACCATTAAAAAGTCAGGAAACAACAGATGCTGGAGAGGATGTGGAGAAATAGTAACATTTTTACACTGTTGGTGGGAGTGTAATTAAGTTCATCCATTGTGGAGGACAGTGTGGCGATTCCTCAAGGATCTAGAACTAGAAATACCATTTGACCCAGCAATCCCATTACTTGGTATGTACCCCAAGGATTATAAATCATTCTACTACAAAGACACATTGGGGCACCATTCCCAATAGCAAAGACTTGAAACCAACCCAAATGTCCATCAATAATAGACTGGATAAAGAAAATGTGGCACATATACACCATGGAATACTATGCAGCCATAAAAAAGGATGAGTTCATGTCCTTTGCAGGGACATGGATGAAGCTGGAAACCATCATTCTCAGCTAACTAACAGAAGAACAGAAAACCAGACACCACTGTTCTCACTCGTAAGTGGGAGTTGAACCATGAGACCAGGTGGACACAGGGAGGGGAATATCACACACTGAGGCCTGTTGGGAGGTAAAGGGCTAGGGGAGGGATAGCATTAGGAGAAATACCTAAGGTAGACGGCAGGTTGATGGGTGCAGCAAACCACCATGGCGTGTGTATACCTATGTAACAAAACTGCACATTCTGCACACGTACCCCAGAACGTAAAGTATCATTTAAAGAAAGGATTACATATTCCATTAAATATATATGAGAAATCAGAGACTCCTGAATATACACATGAATACACACTGGGTCTACCTATATTTTTAGGGAAACACTAGAATACAGCAAAATAATGTCATGATTTTATTAAAAATGGGGGTTTATCAAACCACACCAGGCATGTCCAGCTCTGTCCTGGAGCTGGTTCAGGGAACAGGTGGGTCCTGTGTTTGGGAGCCATGACAACAAGCTCACAGCGTCAGTTCTAGTTGAAACCTCAAAAAGGCAAAGGGATCTCAATTAAAATATCATGTAGATGTCACATCTGTGGGTGCTGCATACTCCCCCGATGTGAATATGGAAAGGTTAATTACCTCTTGAACTCTCTGCCGAGATTAGTGCTGGTCTCTCAGGAACACCCAAAATGGCTCGATAGAGCCAGAAAGCAGACTGGCTCAGGGTTTTTGTGATGGTTTCGTCGTGGGTCAGAGTGAGGCTTCCCACGCACAGGAAGGGGATTGTACAGTGCGAAACACCCACTGGTGTCAAATGAGGAAGCTCCCGCAATTCCTAACTAGATTCACATTGTGTGATAAAAGACACACAATAGACATAACTTCATGGTCGGATATCACAAAATGCCGTTAAAAGATGTGGTAAAAAGGCAACTTTAAATTTTTAGTCATTGGAGTGCGTACAACACAAAAATCATTTTCAATATTTGTAACACATGCATGCAATAGGACAAAGGTATGTGATGAGGGTAAAATCTCGAAAGTGTGAATCTTCCAGCTACCAAGTCGTAGGGTAATAACTGATGTGTGCTGAGGGAGGAAACCATCACGCCATAGTGCTAATGGTATAACCCTTGGTGAAGAGAGTTCAATATTTTATTGAAGTTTTCATAATTTTTATTTAAAGATGCCATTTTTCAACATACTCAGATGATTGTGAGTGCCATTGATTCTGTATCGTATGAACAATGGCAATACCTTCCATGTTTACATAATATTAAAAACCACGTTAAGACTGAATATTTGGTGTCATGGTGCATCACGTTATTCTAGCTTCCATACTAGTTGTTTTATTTGTTTGTTTTCTCCTTTGTTGGCATTTGGTTTCGAATTCATATGTCAGGTCTCTATAATGTAGGAATTTATTTAAAAGTGTCTTTTTTTGTCCATTTTGATGGGGCTTCCAGGAGACGTAAGAACCTCCTCTGCTTGCAACACATTTTAAAATTACGCACTAATGTAGAACATCTGTATTTAATCCTGGTTTTTAGTTAATTGACAAGCTCTAATAAGTGAAGTAACTTCTCCATTCTGGGCTGATTTTACATCAGGTATAGGAATATATCCTAGGTGAAAGTTTGTACCAGTAATATGAATTATTAGGTAATAACCTCCACCTTTATGATTTACATGTTATTCATCAAGAAATAGTGTTAAATCAGGAGTCTCAATGAAAGTATTACCTAAGGGATATACAAAATATATTGCTAATCTACATAAAACAGATGTGAACACACTCTTAGTATCCAGCCATGTTTCCTGTCAACCACACAGTAACTTTGACTTCACTTGGGACTTGTTCTAATTTTCAAATTAGTTACTTATTAATCTTAATGCTTCTAGATATTATGTGTGACTATTTTAGCAGAGAGTGAAGAAAGACAGCCTAGGCCGACTAAACAATGAGGAAAATCACAACCTGATGAAACAGGAAGCCTCTGGATGTGAGTGGCTCCAGGATTGAATAATTTGACAACTCATGTACCCAGGAAGTTTCTTTTCTCAATTTTCCACACTGATGCATCCAGAAAGTCAGCTTCACCCCCCAGGTGACTCCCATAATGCAGTGACATGGTGACAATATTCCCATGGTCACATACGTATTTTATATATTGGCTGGAAAAGGGGCAGAGACAGTTCTGCAATTCTCCTCTGAAGGACCAGGAACACCTCAACAGACCACCTCCCCTGCCCCCATGACTAGAACTGCACCACGTGCCCACATGGACACTCATCCCTGATGGGGATAAGAAGACTCCATTGATGAGGCCGACTATTTTAGCATATAAATTAGTAAAGACTGATATAAAGGTTTCAACAACTAATTGAAGTCTGTTCTTCTATGTCCACCAGAGATATAGATGCTCCAGCGATATCTTGTTTTTCTTTGCTGCGTGACTGTGTCTCTTCTCCTTGTTCCATCCTCCAGAGAATCTCTTTCAGCTCCCACAGGTGCATTCCTCTGTTACATGTAACTGACAATTGATAAATTAGTGGAAGCCCTTACACTAAAGGAAGAGTCTCTGACCTCATCTTGGTCCATATTCCTAGAAAGGCATTGTGCCCGTAAGTCTGGGTGTGACCTTCTGAGTGTTCCTGTCCCTCCTCCAGAGGAGATGCTCATCTGTGTGTTCTTGTCCCTTTCACTGGGGTAGAACCACCCTGTTTCCCCCAGGTGTTCCCTCCCACAGCTCCAGTGTTCCGCATCAGTGTCATCACCTCCCAGATCTGCTGCCCTGCCCTGCAGACTAAAGCTCTGATTCCATAAGAAGGAGAGTTATGTCTCAACAGAACTTCGTGGCAGTGACCTCTGTTCCCATCTCAATTCCTGAGGGGTTGCACCAGTGCCCCTAGGGTACTGGTTTTGGTGGTTCCCCTGCAAAGTAATTTTTGGTTCTGTAGTGGATATAAGGGAGTCGAGTCTGAATGCCTTTCAAAAATGGGGGCTCTTGTTCTCTCCCAGACAGACACTTTGGGAAAGGAAGATTTTGTGACTGCCCCTTTTTTGGGGAAAGGGATTCAAGAGGATAGAAAAGCTCTTCAGTATGTGGTCCCTTAGAATTTCAAACTACAACAAGCTTACCATATTCAGTTTCAAGCAATCCCATATATATTTGTATTTTTATCTTTAACAGACTATATTTCATATGCCAGACTCTGCCTTAGGTAATCTCATATGCTGGCTTTGTTACTCTCTACAAGAACTTGCTTCTTGTTAAATTTAAGATTTTTTTTAACTTCAGTTATCCTAAGCATTCAGAAATTTGCAAAATTTCATCTTGACTGTTTATCTGTTATTGTTGATGTAGTTGTAAGAAATAAAGAATATATATCCCTCATTTATGTACATTTTCAAGTCGAGTAGTAGATTTTTAGTACTACCAGAGTAATAAAATAATTTGAACATTGTTAAGCTGCTTAACAGAAAATCAAATTATGGTAAATTTGTTCAATGGAATACTACACAACATTTATAATAAATAATTGTCTGATACATGCAACAAGAAGGTAAAATATCTAAGTATTTTTGCTGAGTAAAATAAACCAGACAAATGAGAAGATTTACCATATAATTTCATTTATATAAATTCTGGAAAATAAAAACTGAACTTACTTAAGTAATATAACAACAAGGTAAAATATCTAAGTATTGATGTTCAGGAAAATAAAGCAAATGAATAAGAATATGTACTATGTTATTCCATTTTAATAAACTCTGATAAATTAAATTGAATCTACAGCAATATAAAGAAGAACAGAATTTACCATTTGGGGAAATGGTAGAAGAAGGGAAGAGGAAAGGAGGAGGAATATAGAAGAATGAGAGGGAAATTTTGTGAATTTTCTGGTTCACCTTGGTAACTAGGATGGTTACATCAGGTTTATCAATTGTACACTTTAAATATGTGAAGTTTATTATCAGTAAACTGAAATTTATAAAATTTATTACCAGCAAACAAATGAAAACTTGCACAAGAAATAAGTGACATAAAGATAGAAAAAATATTAAATTTCAGAAACACCTAATAATTTATCTTCGTGAACCCTAGTTCTCACCATATTTTTAGGTGAATGCTAGAATGCAGCAAAATTACACATGCTCTCAATACAGAAAGTGGGTTTCACAAACCACACTAGGCATGCTCAGCTCTGTCCTGGAGTTGGGTTAGGGAGTAATATAGGGCCAGTGGATGAGGAGCACAGGCCTAGATACTGGGGCTCACTAACCTCAGGTATGAGCTCTTAGATACATACAAAGCCCCTCCACGCATGGGTTTACTTCCCCATCTGTAAATTGAGAAACCATTGACCCCTAAAAATATGATTTACACAAATATGTAAAAATGTAAGAGAGTGATTAGTGCAAAGTGTTTATCACAGCACAATTTCATAACAAGACAGCAAGTTTTCCAAACAGCATCATTGTCATTAGATTCCTGCAGGGCATCATTACCTTATCTGGGCCCTGCCCTCTGCTCAGGCATCCCACCCCAGAGCTTGCTATATAGTAGGTGACATGCAAATAGGGCCCTCCCTCTCCTGATGAAAACCAGCCCAGTCCTGACCCTGCAGCTCTGGGAGAGGAGCCCCAGCCTTGGGATTCCCAAGTGTTTTCATTCAGTGATCAGGACTGAACACAGAGGACTCACCATGGAGTTTGGGCTGAGCTGGATTTTCCTTGCTGCTATTTTAAAAGGTGATTTATGGAGAACTAGAGAGATTAAGTGTGAGTGGACGTGAGTGAGAGAAACAGTGGATATGTGTGGCAGTTTCTGATCTTAGTGTCTCTGTGTTTGCAGGTGTCCAGTGTGAGGTGCAGCTGGTGGAGTCTGGGGGAGGCTTGGTAAAGCCTGGGGGGTCCCTTAGACTCTCCTGTGCAGCCTCTGGATTCACTTTCAGTAACGCCTGGATGAGCTGGGTCCGCCAGGCTCCAGGGAAGGGGCTGGAGTGGGTTGGCCGTATTAAAAGCAAAACTGATGGTGGGACAACAGACTACGCTGCACCCGTGAAAGGCAGATTCACCATCTCAAGAGATGATTCAAAAAACACGCTGTATCTGCAAATGAACAGCCTGAAAACCGAGGACACAGCCGTGTATTACTGTACCACAGACACAGTGAGGGGAGGTCAGTGTGAGCCCGGACACAAACCTCCCTGCAGGGGCGCGCGGGGCCACCAGGGGGCGCTCGTGACCCACTGAGGGCGGGACAGGTCCCAGGAGCAGGTGCCGGGAGAGGTTTCCTTTCTCCTCAGCTGGAAAAGTCAGGTTTATCTTCGCAGGACTCTGGAGTCTTCTAGGCTGTGATATTTTGTTACTTATATTTATTATGAATTTTATCATTAATACTTAAATTTTAGTAATTATTAACATTCTACATATTATTATATTTTTAAGTATATACTTTCAAGAAATAAACATTCCTAATTGCATAATAATTATTGTAACATAATTATTGTAACATATAATTATATCCTAAATGCATAATAATTATTGTAACAATCACATTCTCATTTTGTATTTGAATTTTCATATTTATTTTACTAAGATTTTAATTTTAATATAAAATATTTTTCTACAATTGTCTGTTTTCCATTTTTGTGAGATAAAATTAGCATATACAAAAATGCACAGATTCTCCAGGTACAGTTAGAGGGTTTCAGGCAAATGTGCACATACTTGTCTACAGCAGCTAAGTGAGGGTGAGGAACAGGTGAGGTCCATCTCCCCACAAAGTGTCCTCTTAGTGCTTCCAGTTAGTTCTCACATAAGGATTTTTTTTTATTTCAACTTTATAATTTAGATACAGAGGGTTCATGTGTGGATTTGTTACATGGGATTACTGAGTGATGCTGAGGTTTGGAATACAGATTTCTTCACCCCCTCCCTCCATGGTCTAGCAGTCCACAGTGTCTGTTGCTCCCATATTTATGTCTATGTGTGCTCAATGCTGAGGTCCCACTTACAAGAATATGTGGTGTTCAGTTTTATTTTCCTGAATTAATTTGTTTAGGATTAAGAACTCCAGCTCCATTTGTTTTGCTGCAAAGGACATGATTTCATTCTTTTTTATGGCTGTGTAGTATTATATATTTTACATGTAACACATTTTATATATCCACTCTACCATTGATGTGCATCTGGGCTGATCTTTGTCTTTGCCACTGTGAATAACACAGCAATAAACATACACATGCATGTGTCTCTTTGGTAGAATTATTTGTTTACCTTGTAGTGTATACCCTGTAATAGGATAGCTGGTTCATATAATATCTCCATTTTAAGTTTTTTGAGAAATCTCCAGTCTGCTTTCCAAAGTGGGTGGACTAATTTATATTCCCATTAACAGTGTGTAAGTGCTTTCTTTTCACCACAGCCCCATCAGTATCCATTGGTTTTTGACTTTTTAGTGATAAAAATTTGAGTGGTGTGAGGCTGCACACCTACAACCATATGATCTTTGATAAGGCTGACAAAAAAACAAGAAATGAGAAAGGAATTCCCTGTTCCATAAATGGTGCTGGGACAACTAGCTGGCCACACGACAAAGATTGAAACTGGATGTCTGCTTTCAACATATATAAAAATTAACTCAAAATTGATAAAAGATTTAAATGTAAGACATCAAACTATAACAATCCTTGAAGACAACGTGAAAATACTCTTCTCGACACCAGCTTTGACAAATACTTTTTGGCTAAGTATGCAAAAGCAATTGCAACAAAAACAAAAATAGATAAGGAGAGACTAATTTGCTAAAGAGTTACTACACAGCAAACCAACCAGCTAATCAACCAAACAAACAAATAAACAAACAAAACTATCAGCATAGTAAGCAGACAACCTACAGAATGTGGGAAGTTATTCACAAATGTTGCATCCAACAATGCCCTAATATCCAGAATTGTATTAGCTGGTTTTCATGCTGCTAATAAAGACATACCCGATATTAGGAAATTTATCAAAAAAGAAGAAGAAGAGGTTTGATCCACAGTTCCACAAGGCTGGAGAGGCCTCACAGTCATGGTGGAATGTGAAAGGCACGTCTCATATGGCAGCAGACAAGAAAAGAGAACTTGTGCAGGAAAATCCCCCTTTATAAAACTATCAGATTTTATGAGACATTCACTCTCAAGAGAATAGCATGGGAAAGACCCACCCCCATGATTTAATTATCTCACAGGGGGTTTATTCCACAACATTAGGAAATTACTGAAGCTCCAATTAAGATGAGAATTGGGTGGGGACACAGTCAAATCATATCATTCTGCCCCTGGCTCCTCCTAAATCTCATGTACTCACATTTCAAAATGGATCCTGCCTTCCCAACAGTCCCAAATTCTTATTTCAGCATTAACTGAAATGTCCGCATTCCAAGGCCTCATCTGAGACAAAGCAAGTCCCTTCTGCCTATGAGCCTGTAAAATCAAAAGTAAGTTAATTACTTCCTAGACACAATGGGAGTACAGGTATTGGGTAAATAGAGCAATTCCAAATGGGAGAAGTTGGCCAAAACACAGAGGCTAAAGGCCCCGTACAAGTCCAAAATCCAGTGGGACAGTTAAATCTTAAAGCTCAAAAAAGATCTATTTTGACTCCATGTCTCACATCCAGGTCATGCTGATGTAAGTGTTGGGTTCCCATGGTCTTGGGCAGCTATGTGCCTCTGGCTTTGCAGGGTACAGTCTTTCACCCAGCTGTTTTCACCGGCTTGCTCTGAGTGTCCATGGCTTTTCTAGGTGCATGGTGCAAGCTGTTGGTGGATCTACTATTCTGGGGTCTGAATAACTGCGGCCTTCTAATCATAGCTTCACTAGGCAATGCACCAGTGGGGACTCTGTGTGAAAGCACCCACCCCACATTTTCTTTCCTCGCTGCCCCTAACAGAGGTTCCCATGTGGGCCCCTCCCTGCAGCCACCTTCTGCCTGGACATCCAGGCATTTACATACATCCTCCGAAATCTGGGCAGAGGTTATTAAACCTCAATTCTTGACTTCTGTGCACTTGCAGGCTCAACACAAAATGGAAGATGCTAAGGCTCGGGGCTTTCACCCCCTGAAGCCACAGCCTGAGTTATATGTACCTTGGCCCCTTTTAATCATGGCTGGAGCAGCTCTGATGCAAGGAAGCAAGTCCCTAGACTGCACACAGCAGAGGGACCCTGAGCCCAGCCCATGAAATCATTTTTTCCTCCTAGGTCTCTGGCTTATGATGGGAGAACCTTCCACAAAGGTCTCTGACATGCCCTGGAACATTTTCTGCATTGTCTTGGTGACCAACATTTGGGTCCTCGTTACTTATGTAAATTTACGCAGCTGGTTTGAATTTATCCTAACCAAATGGGATTTTATTTTCTATTGCATTGTCGGGCTGCAAATTTTCTGAACTTTTATGTTCTACCTCCTTTTTAAAACTGAGTGTGTTTAACAGCACCCAAGTCACACCTTGAATACTTTGTTGCTTAGAATTTTTTACTGCCAGATACCTGGTATCATCTCTCTCAAGCTCAAAGTTCCACAAATCTCTAAGGCAGAGGCAAAATGCCACCAGTCTCTTTGCTAAAGCCTAACTAGAGTCACCTTTGCTCCAGTTCCCAACAAGTTCCTTGTCTCCATCTGAGGCCACCTCAGCCTGGATTTTATTGTTGACATCATTATCGGCATTTTGGCCAAAGCCATTCAACAAATCTCTAGAGAGTTTCAAACTTTCACACATTTTTTGTGTCTTCCTCTTAGCCCTCCAAACTGTTTCATCCTCAGCGTGTTTTCCAATTCCAAATTTGCTTTTATGCTTTTGGGTATCTTATCAGAAGCACTTCACTCAACTGATACCAATTTACCGTATTAGTTGCTTTTCATGCTGCTGATAAAGACATACCTGAGACTGGGCATTTACAAGAGAAAGAGGTTGAATAGACTCACACTTCCACGTTGCTGGGGAGGCCTCGAAATCATGGCAGAACATGAAAGGCACATATCACATGGTGGCATACAAGAGAAGAGAGGACATGCAGGGAAACTCCCCTTTATAAAATCATCAGCAAGACAGGAGAACTCATGCAGGGAAACTCCCCTTTATCAAATCATCAGATCTCATGAGACTAATTCACTATCATGAGAATAGCATGGGAAAGACCCCCCCCCACCATGATTCAATTATCTCCCACGGGGTCCCTCCCACAACACATGGTAATTATGGGAGCAGCAATTCATGATAAGATTTGTGTGGGGACACAATCAAACCATATCAAGAATGTATAGGAAACTTAAACAAATCAAGAATCAAAAGACAAATAACCCCATTAATAAATGGGCAAATAACAAGAACAGACACTTCTGAAAAGAAGACTTACAGGTGGCCAGCAATATTTTAAAAGATTCTCATCATCACTAACCATCAGAAAAATGCAAATAGAAAAATGTTCTAATTTTTGTCATTATAGATTGATTTTTTCTGTTTTGAACTTATTTTTGCTATTTTTTAGGTTTATTTATGTAATTTCATGTCTCAAGGTTTTGTCATCGTATATATACATATGTATGTACTAATACACATATGAATATTTCATATCTGAATCAATCCATAACATCAGTAAATGACAGTTTATTAAGTAAATAAATCAGTTTATTATGTGAAATAATGACGATATGTATATTTGTTTTCCTGTTGATGAAATTTAAATTTGTTTCCAACATAAATATTATAAGCAAACTGTTATAACTATTTTTGTGCAAGTTTTTCTGTTTATATTCTCACATATTGATAAAATATGTAGAAATATAAGTATGCTTTTTTATTATAAGACTTACATTTTCAGCTTTATGGAGCTAAAGTTGACAAATAAAATTGTATGTATTTAAGGTACACCACTTGACGTATTGATATACATGGGAAAATGCTGGATGGTAGATAAGTAAACAATGCTAAACAGCACTAATTATCAGGGAGATGCAAATTAAAACTGCAGTGATATTTCTTAAACCAGTCAGAACAGCTACTATTAAAGAGCCAAAAATAACAGGTATTGGTGAGGATTGAAGGCAAAAGGAACGCTTGGACACTTGTGGTGAGGATGTAGATTAGCACAGCCTCGATGGAAAACAGTATGGAGATTTTTCAAAGAAGTAAAAGTAGAACTACTTTGATTCGATAACCACAAATAACTACCTAAAGGAAAAATAAATCATTATATCAGAATGATAAGCAGACTTTTGTTTTCCTGCAGAACTATTCATAATAGCACAGTCATCAAACTTAGGAATTAACCTATGCCTAACAACAGATAGTTTTATAAAGAAAATGTTACATATATATACATTTAAATACTATCCAGCCATATTAAGGGATGCAATCATATCTTTTGCAGCTACATGGATGGAATTCATCATTATTTTAAGTATAATAATTGAGAAACAGAACATCATACACCACATGTTCTCACTTATAAATGAGAGTGAACTCATATGTGCACAAGGACATAGAGAAAGGAATGATGGACATTGGAGACTCAGAAAGATGGGAGAGCAAAAGGTGGGAGAATGGTGAGAAATTACTTAATGGGTATGATGTACATTATTTGGATCATGGATATGTTAAAGCCAAGACTACTATGCAATATATATATGTAACAAAATTGCAGTCACTCCCCATAAATTTATACATATAAAATAAAAACAAATACAATTAAAATGATTAACAGTTGATAAACAATACTGAAAATTAAAATTTGTGATCAATAAATGAAAATAATATTAGTTGAACTTCAAATTTTAAAACATTTTCTACTCAAGTGACTATCAAGAAAATTAAGGACAAGCTGCAAAGGAAAAAATATTTGCAAGTCATATATCTACCAATGTAATTATAACAAGAACCGGCAAACCTCAAAGATGTACAGATGACACATCAGCATAGGAATGTGATTTTCCACCAGAGAAATGCAAATCAAGACCAAAAGGAGACACTACTATAGACTTTCTAGAAAGACAAAAAATAAAAAAGAAATACTGACAATATCAGAGTTGGTGAGGAAGTCAGTCACCCTAGAGACTAATATATTGCTAGTGGGAATGCAAAATGAAACCGTTTCTGGGAAAATCATTTACAGTTTCCCATAAAATTAAACATGTCCTTAATCCATGACCTAGAACTCTCACTCCTAAGTATGTCCTACAAAGGATTAAAATCATATGTTCACACACGTATTCAGATGTTTAACATTGTGTGTGTGTGTGTGTGTGTGTGTGTGGTGTGTGTGTGTGTGTTAGAAACTAAAAACAACATGGACGTCTTTGAAAATTTGACACAAACCATTACAGGTGAACTCCAGACTTTCTTCTGAGTGACAGAAGGCCTGCCTGAAAGATCCCCAGAGACACAGTCGTGGATTTCACTGTCACCCTCGCATGTCACTGGCTTGGGCTGGGCTCTCTCTGGCTCTTCCCTGACCAGGACCAGATGTTGAGCTCCACTACCTGCAGTTGGAAGTTTATATTTTCAACAATGCACTGAGGTCTAAGTTGCTCTGCAGATGGAACCAAACAAACATGGGCGCCTTTGAACAAACAGTGCCTGACATTTGTACTGACCCCAGGAGAACTCTTTCCAGCTCTCATTCTTCTTGGTTCTCTCCTGCAGGCCAGCAGCCCTGAAGTTTAGCCTGGATCTCCCATGCATCCACCCATCTCCTTCCAAGTGCATTTTACCACAGCCTCCACTGTTTTTGAAGCACTCTTGGGCTTTGTAATTCTCCACACTCTGTTGTAAAGGAAGTCAGGTCCTTCAAGACCAGATTCGGGACTCTATTTTATGACCAAATTTCAGCCTCACCCCTGCTCCTGAGACAGAGCTCCTAGATAAGATTCTGCAGGTGGAGATTAGGAGTGTTTTTCTTCTTCAATGTAGTTGCTGAGCGCTCAGTGCAGGGTTGGGGAGAAACTTTCCACTTTGTCAGCATGCAGCTCCTGCTGGGGTAGACCTTCTTCCATAGAAGCAGGGTTGGGAACCAGGGGGCCAATGTCCTCAGTGCTGCTGCACCCAGGGCAGAGCCTTCATCCATCAGTGGGGCTGTGGAAGAAGTGAGTCTCTGGTTCTCAGTAGCTCTTGTCCAGAACTGAGCCTCTGCAGCATGTTCTGTCGGCCCCAGTGTCCTGGCCCCTAAGGAGCAGCATCCTAAAATGGGAGCTAGCGTATTTGAGAATAACAACACCTACACATTCAGAAGCTCTTTGGCTTTCTTTCCAGCTAATATAATTTCCTTTTTTTTGTGTAGCAACCTGTACACACGCATATTGATGCATACAGACCTATGACACTTTTTTCTCGATAAGTAAAAAATTATTGATCACTGTGATCTTTTCTCCAAGTTCACCATTTCCCTGAAGGTGAGCACAGGTCCTTCTGCATGTGTTCAAACAAAAGGCCCAGAGACTACCTGGTAAGTGAGGTGCTCACCTGGTTCTGGATGTTTGGTCTGTCTCCTCCCCTCTGTTGCCCCACACAAGGTCAGCCCACTCTTTCCAGGTCCGAAGAAGAGAGCACAGGTTTGTCCTGATTATATGACTCACCCAGCTTCTGATGACTCTCCTGTTGCCAGCGTCCATGGCCTCAGTGAAGGTGTCCTGCAAAGCTCTGGATACACCTTCGCCAGCTACGACATTCACTGTGTGTGACAGGCCCCTGGATAAGGGTTTGAATGGATGGTAGGGAGCTACTCTGGCAATGGTAACACAGGCTATGCACAGAAGTTTCAGGGCAGAGTCACCATGACCAGGGACACGTCCACGAGCACAGCCTACATGGAGCTGAGCAGTCAGAGATCTGAGGACATAGATGTGTACTACTGTGCGAGACACACAGTGTGAAAACCCACATCCTGAGAGAGTCAGAAATCCTGAGGGAGGTGGCAGCAGTGCTAGGCTTGAGAGATGACAGGGATTTTATTTGCTTTAAAGACTTTTTTTAGAAAGCGAGGTTAATTCATTGCAGAAAAAAGGAAAATAGAAATGTGTATGGACTCTAATTATGTGGGAAATTTTCCATACAACTTTTGTTCTCTAAGCAAAATTCAGGGAGTGGAAAACAAATCAAATTAATAAACCTGATAAAAGAATTCCTCTGAAAATTTAGTGTGAGCATAAGTTTTTGAATGGGTGTTGTAAATATTTTGGAACACAGCTGCTAGATCACATTTTAACTCTACACTTATCTCCATTATATAAAATATCAAAATGTTTTAATGTTTTCCATTTTGTGCAATTATAATTTTGTGTTATAATCACATTTTAACACTTTAACTCTACACTTATCTCCATTATATAAAATATCAAAATGTTTTAATGTTTTCCATTTCGTGCAATTATAATTTTGTGTTCATGCCAGCAATGCATGATAGATCTTGTTCTTCCGCATCCTCATTGCCATTTGGCACTAAGAGTATTGTGTATTTTAATATTCTAATAGATTAGTAGTGATAGCTCATTGCTGTTTAAATGCACATATTTCTAATTAAAATTTTGTATTTAATTATTTTATATAATTGTGATGAAGTGTCTCGTATGGTATTTGGATTATTTTTTATTGCATTGTTTCTTTTTGATCAGTTGTAAGTTTCCTTATATACCCATTATATAAGTCACTCACAAAGTTAACAAAAAATTGATTAACAAATATGTGTTTTACAAGTGTATTCTCCAAATTGTTGTTGTCGTTTTACTCCCATATCAGTGTCTGTGGGAGAAAAATATTTATATACATATATATGTGTGTGTGCATATATATATATATATATATATATATATATATATATAGTGTGTGTGTGTGTGTGTGTAAACTTAGATAAAATAATTATTTCATAAATCATACTTTTGGCATCATATCTAAAAACTAATTATGAATTCCACTAACAGGATTTTTCTCTTGTCTCTAATCTCAGGCCACAATCACAGCATAAGCATTTAAATTTCTCCTATTTGATGAGAAGATTATTAACTTAAGATGTTTAGAATTCTTCTGAATGGAAGGTGCCTTTTTTCTAATTTTCTGTATTCAATAATCTGTTAATATCAGTATTGGCTCATGAATGTTTATTTTTTACTATGGAGAAGATCTAGTGCTACATTATTTATTTTATCGCTCAAATCACCACAGCTTTTTTTTAGGTTCTGTGAGCTCATTTAGTTTGGATTCTGTATTTTTACAGCATGCCCCATCCTTTTGTTTTTGATCACTTCCCTATTTCCTGGTATTACAAGAAATACTAAGCTCATTATCTCTATTATCTTTTCCACACATAGAATCAGTTATTTCTCCAAGGATTACTGGTCCCTGATATTAAAGAATTATATTAAAACACAAAATTATGATGTTGGATGTGTGTGTTGTTAATGTACTGTCAGTGTTTCTAGAATCTCTAAGCTAACAGGCCTAGAAAATGTGTATGTGTATATTAACCCATGTTAACTGACCCATCTAATCTATTTATGTATCCAATCTTCTGTATGTTTATTGCATCAAACTTTAGAACACTGGTATCTACAATCTACTATGATGATACATGAATGTTTCAAGCCTTCCTTCCTTGCCTGTCCATACCACCTACTGCAAAGTGAGGAACCCCTCCCATCATTTGCCGTTCATTCAATTTGTTGTACAATTTTAGAATATATGCGTCGTGGTATTAGAATTGTTAACTTGTACCCCTGTTGGAAGTATGTTTATTGACTAGAATAAAGTGTTTAAGTGCAGTTTCTTTATACTTTAGACTTACAGAACACCCTGAGTTCTAAGTTATATAGGTGAGAAACTTTATGTGCCACCTTCTTCAGTGAGGTTATTTGAAATATGTTGTATACATTTTATTTGACATTCTGTAAAAGACAAAACTGTAGATGTCATAAATATATGAGGATTTTCTAGAAATTTAGAGAGAGGGTATGCATTAGGAGAAACAGGTACTGTTTGCAAACAGTGAAATTTTTTATGATCTGCAGTAGTGAACACATGACACAATTTGTTAATTCTCACAATTTTATGATGTAAACTGTGAATCTAAATATATACAACTTACAAAATTATGTAGCACATCATGAACATGCAAAGTGTACAAAAATAAAATATCAAATACATTTACACCGCGTGGGCAGGGAATTGCATGAGATGCAGGCAACAAAGAATGAAGTAACCTTCCCCATTTGCACATAAGATGTTTCCATTCACAAGAGACCTTTCTTTTATCAGGTTCATGTGCAACCAAGTTTCCCTGCTGACAAGCATTTAAGCCAGATGATTCGCAACTTCCTTTGACTGAGAAAGATTTCCCTCAAACTTCAGCTCAGTGCAGGCACACACCATCTCTGAATGGGCATTTACCATCAGACAATGCCCACACCTGTCCCCACATGGACCTTTCCCTCAGACAAACAAACACATCCTCAGGTTGACTCTTCCCTCAGACAAGCACCCCTGTCTTCATGTGAACTCTTCCCTCAGATAAGCACACATGTCCCCACATTGACTTTTTCCTCAGACAAGCACATATAGCTGACAACGAACAGTTATGTGGCAAAATGAGCTCAGGATAGTGGTAATTATGGACTCCAGCTCTGATAGTTTGTAGAAATTGTCATTTTTAAAATTCTGACTGAAGACTTTCCTTTATTGTAGAAGACAGTCCTTTACAGCTCTAATTGCACAGCCTACAGGCAGGAGTCCATTTCCTCTGGGCAAGGTTTATTTTTATTTGTTTACTGTACTTATTTGTTGATAAATATTGATACTACAAAGATAGCCTATAGGGTCCACATACGAGAAAAAAAGAGTAATGGGCAGATCAACCCTGCAAATCCAGTCCCAGGAGTCTTTGACCCTGCCCTCCCTGGAATCCAGAGACAGAGATGGAAGAGGCCTGCTGAGCAGTGCACTCATGTCCCCAGGGAGAAAGACATGGAAATGAGGCCCCTCCTCTGCAAATGAAAAGTAGCTCATCCCCTGTTCCTGTAGATCCTGGTGAGGAGCCATCCCACATCTGTGCCCTTCCTCAGTGTCCACACCATGGGGTCTGTGCGGATCTGGGCTGCTCTTGTCATCACTCTCAATGTTTAGGTTCCCCGTGGATCAGGCCCTGCTGTGGCTGTTGCCTCTGTGTTTGCAGAAGTCCCCTGTGAAGTTAACTAATGGAGTCAGACAGAGAAATACTACAGACCAGGAATTCTGCCTTTTCTGCAAAGCCTCTGGATTCACTTTCACTGAAAACAGCATAAGCTTGATCCAGCAGGCTTCATGACAGGGGTGGGTGTGGGTAATAACAATAATTCAAATAGAAGTTCTCAGTGGGACTCTCCTTGAGTAAAAAGATGATTAACAATCCTCAAATACACTCAGTTCAGGAGATTCTCTTTTAAGATGATTAACCTGAGAGCTCAGGAAAAGTCCGTGTATTACTTTGAGGGACACAGTGAGGGGACATCTGTGTGAACTCAGACACCAACCTCCCTGCAGGGAGACAGGAGGGGACTGCCTGGTAGATGCTTCTCAGAACCACCAGGGGGTGCTCAGGACATCAGGGGGCACTCAGAACCATCAGGGGATGCTCAGGACACCAGAGGGCACTCAGGACACTGGGGGGCGGGGGGTCACTCAGAACCACCAGGGGGCGCTCAGGACACTGGGGGGGGGGGGGTCACTCAGAACCACCAGGGGGCGCTCAGGACACTATGAGGGGGGGTGGTCACTCAGAACCACCAGGGGGCACTCCGGACACGGTGGTGAGGGGTAGCTCAGGATAGCAGGGGTGCTCAGAACCACCAGGGGGCGCTCAGGACACTGAGGGGGGGTCACTCAGAACCACCAGGGGACACTCGAGACACCAGGGAGCCCTCAGGACACTAGGGGGAGCTCAGAAACACCAAAGGGCAATCAAGACACCAGGGGGATCTCAGAACCACCAGGAGGTGCTCAGGACACCAGGGGTCTCTGAACCACTAGGGGGAGATTAGGACCCCAGGGGGCTCAGAACCACTAGGGGGTTTTCAGGAGACCAGGGGGCGCTCAGGACACCAGGGGGCGATAGGGACACCAGGTGGTTCAGAACCACTAGAGTGTGCTGAGAACCACCAGGGGTGCTCAGAACCCCAGGGGGCTGCTAAGGACAATAGGGAGTGCTGAGAACCACCAGTGGGCGCTCAGGACACCAGGGGGATCTCAGAATCACCAGGCTGTGCTCAGGACACCGGGGGGTGCTCAGGACCTCCAGGAGCACACACGACACAAAGGATAGCTCAGGACCTACAGGGGGCGATCAGAACGCCAGGGTGCGTTGAGGACAACAAGGGGCTCACAGGACACAACGATGTGCTTAGTAAACCGGGGGACACTCACAACCACCAGGGGGTACTCAGGACACCAGGGGGTGCCCAGGAAACCAGGGAGCACTGAGGACACCACCGCTCCCTTAGGAGGCAGATCCACATCAGGTCCCTGAGTGGGAGCAGGGAGGAGGGTTCCTCTTGTATCTTGTCACTAACATGTTGGGAGTTTTTCTGCTTCCTTTGTGGTTTCAATTATTGGCTGATTCTTCGGTATAAAGCAGAGCAAGTATAAAGCTCTGCTTTCTTGGATTATGTCATGTTTTTGGCTTTGGATGCTACCAGAATTACATTGTACTTTGAGAGGATTCATTCATGGTGTGTGCAATAGTGAATGAAACCTGTAATTTTAGGGGTGGCTTTGAAAGCTATGTTAGGTGTGGCTGAGGGAAGTTTACAGGAAATGGTCATCACTACAGAAGGCTACTCATTTCTTTGCACATTTGCGTAAGCAATTGTAGTTTATGAATTAAAAACTGCCTGTTTTCTTGGTCCTTTTTCTTAAATGGTCCCACTCTAAGGGCAGTAATGTAATCAAGCTGTGTTTCAAAGATCTGCAATCAAGTTAAGTCTGTTTAATGAAATGCTTTGTAAAGAAAATGTACATCTATTTTTTAGAGTCACCTTTACATTTTACATTGCTTTACAAATATTAATTTGGTAAATTTAGTCTCATAATTATCTTCAGTAATTAAAAATCTTAAAGTCATGTCATGTTAAATTAAGTAATCCTAGGCTTCTCACTGTGAATTAGGGTTACTAAAAATTAGAATAGTAAGAGAGTATAATCAATTTATGGTGAAGTTTATTAAGAAAGATGAAGATACGTTTTTTGCTTAAAAATATTTTGTTTTCCAGTTTACAGGGCCTTTCTACTGGTTTTAAGATGACAACCACTGTTTACATCTAACCCTTTTTTGTTGAACATCTGTTGAGTTTCTATTCATATTCCACAGCTAGAGTTTTAAAGTAAAAGCTCTAGTATCTTTGTATTAGTGTGAATGTGTGCTTGTATGTATTATGTACATATATATATATTTTTTGTTATGTGTTATGGCTACAAGGTACAAAATTGACTTTAAAATAAATAACTATTTTAAATTAAGTCAATGAGCCCTAATGCATCTGAAGTACATGTAACTTAAATAAATATGTAATAAATAAGCTGGCTTCAAAATTATTGGTAAAATAAAATTGGAAATATTTTAACAATTATTAGAATACCTCATAGTTTATATCAATTGATCAAGTGATTTTATATTTAAAATCACAGCTAGATATTATATGGTGTGAAACATTTCTATGAAGATTATAAAATTATTAACCTAGTTAAAACCAGAATGATCTTTGTAATTTGACAAATAAGATGTTTAATACTGTTGTTTTAATAAAAAACAGGTAAATAGTTATTGGAAATACAATCATTTATTTAATAAGAATTTTACTTAGGTAAACACCTGAAATTCATGGGTTATAATATGGGTAACAGGGAAAAAACTTTAAAGGATGAGTATTACTGTTTTCATAAATGATCTAGGTAAGCTATTTAAAAAATAAATTAGGTTAATGTAACAAAATAAACCTTTTAAATAAACTTGTTCTACAATTTAAAAATCTAAAGTTTAATTAAATAATAGATATTAACTAAATGTTTAGGTCATTACTAATTGTTTTAAAAAATGTATACTATAAGAAAATATTTTTGTAAAAAATTTGTTCTTACAGAAAGATTTTATTTAATTCAGAGGTTACTTATAAAACATCCTAAACATAACCAGTAAATAAGAGAGATGCCACTGCACTCCAGCCTGGGTGACAGAGCAAGATTCTGTCTCAAAAAAAAAAAAAAAGAAAAGAAATTTTTAGACATAGAGGAGTACTTTTGGTATGAAAGGTTAAAATAAAAAAAAATAATTTTATATGAGAAAGAATCTTGTAACTTTTTATCCTAAAATAAAAATGACTTTATTTAAGAAACAGTGATGTTTAGAATAAAACTATATGCTCAAGTATGCCATAAGCGTTTTGTGTAAGTCAAACTAAGGTTTGTAAAAAGTTAATTAATTAAAATAACTTCATATTATGAAGTTGACTATAATTAAAAAGGAAGTATTTATAATAGTCTTTATAGATTTGTAGAGATCTGGCTTTCATATAAAAATATATAAATATACTAAAGATTGGTTAGAATGAAAAATTGTCTTAAAGTATTGATTTACTCAATAAAATTATAAGATATTTTAATTTTTTAACCCAAAAGTTTAACTCTTACTGCATCTTGCCAGTTTTATTTTATTCTCTTTTGAGAAGGCTTGAGAGGATCTCAAATTTTTCATGAGCTCCTCTAACATTTTTTTTCTTACAGCAGTTAGCCTCTAACGATGTTAACTTCTAACTGTTGTTAGCTTCTAACTGCTATTATTGCCTGATGCTAAAAATCTTTTATATTAAAGTTCTTAATAAAATGTTTTATTTCAATATAGTATTCTGCACTCTTGGGTTTTTTTAAATGTCTATATTTGTCTATGGAACCAAAATCTTCACTTGTAATCCAAGACACATTCTTCCTATGTCTAATTAATCAAATACTTTGTTTCATTAGAGTTGACTTGCAGGTTATCTGCATGGATTTCCCCACAGGGAAACACAGTCACACTGCTGAAGGTGTTTTTTCCCATTTGGTAACTGGCATAAAACAAATTTTATATTTTCTTGAAATACTTCCTCTGTAGCTGTTTTTAAGTTTTTCAACTACTTAGGAATACTGAGATTTTGAGAAAATATAAATTATTGTTATTACGTTAATGTAACTATCTGCATAACTTTTAAAGGACTTGTCCTGCTACATTACTGATCTTTGATTCCTAGGTCTAAAAAGGATACACAACACTTTGGGAGGCTTCAGAGGGTGGATCTCCTGAGGGCAGGAGTTAGAGACGAACCTGGCCAAAACGGCACAATCTCATTTTAATAAAAAATACAAAAATTAGCTGGGCGTGGTGGCGGGCGCAGGTAATCCCAACTACTTGGGAGCCTGAGGCAGGGAGAATTGCTTGAACCTGGGAGGCAGAGGTTACAGTAAGCCGAGATTACACCACTGCACTCCAGCCTGGGTGAGACTCTGTCTCAGGAAAAACAAATAAATACAATAAAAATAAAAAAGACACCGAGTCTTGCTAAATTTTAAACTCTGACAGCAATTGAAGCCCCATCTAGAGATGTGGAAGAAAATGACAATAAAAATTAATCACACACTTAAGACACAAGGCCGGAAAATTGAATCTACTCAACCACTCCAGGCCCAGGGACTGTTACAGAAGAAGCGGTTTGTAAGATTGTAAAAGCTAATTTTGAAAGATGAAATTACTTGAGAGTTTTTTATACAGTAAACATTAATATTAAAGGCACACTAATGCCAGGCTAGTAGCTGGGCCATGTGTCAGATTGACAAGGGTTTCTTGAAGAATTAATCCACTTTTTAATTTGAAAAACTTATAAAAGTTTATAAGAGATCATTTGAAATTAAATTTTATGGTAAAAGTAATTATAATGTAATAGATTTATTTTTCAGAATTGAGAGACAGTTTTAACTTCTCTCATGCTGTTCTTATAAGGGGCTATTGTTTAGAAAATTAATTCTTCTCTTTGAAAAATAAAAGTTTTTGCTTTCTTTCAAAATCACTGAGTTCTCACTGGGCTAAATAAATAACTTACATTACAGCAATCTGTAATCCTATTTTGTAATATCAAGCATTGTAAACTTTTGATATTTGACAAACTTCACAAAATAAAATTCTAAATTCAGTCATTTGACCTCATTATTCTTTTATGATATTAGGTCCCCAAAGCCAAAATTAAACATATTCAGCTTATTTGGTATAATTAAAATATGCAGGAAGCAATGTCAAATTTGCAAAAGTGTTTAACTTTGGACTATATTTAAATAAATGTGGACTATATAATTGGACTATATTTATATAAATTAAAGAGTATATTTTCCAAAATTGTATGAGATTCAAGTGATTTGATATGTCTTAGTATATTTTATCAGTAGTATTTATGATTATTATGTAAAATTTCTGTTTATTGCAGAAATAACCAAATCTTCCCCTCAATTCTGTCTTTAACCATGGCTATTCTAAAACTTCAGTCATCCACAGTTGGTGTTTTACTTTGATTCTTTATCAGGTGGCTTATAGTAATCTATAGAATTTTGAGGAGTACTCAAATATACGATTGTGACAATTTTATAAATTGTGCCATTGGTATAGAGATTAAAACTTCCATGACTCTCATTGATACCTGATTCATTTATGATGATTGTTAATCTAATATTAAGCAGGACAGGACTTAATTGCATGAACTGAATTGACAGAAGACTGAAATTGTTTTTATGGCTTATTCTTTAATGCATTTGCTAATTACTTATGTTCTGTTTTTTCAGAATCAGGAAAAGTTTGTCTTTTAAGCTCTTCACAGTTGTTAACAATTGAGTATGGTATACTTTACTGATAAAAAAATAAAAACATAATATCTTCTTATTTACATAATTTCTCCAAAATTTGGAAACTGTGAGTATTCTTATATCAAAATAGTTATTTGCATAGGTTCAATAAAAACCTGCTTTCTTCCATAACAGGGCACAATTGGAGACAATGGTCATTTTACTAAGGCTTTAACTTGAATTATATATTTTCAGATTTACTTTATAAAATGAATCTAACCTGGAGAGCTGATAAAGCCCCTTGGGAAAACTGGCATGCACATTTTTTTTTTTTTACAGGGCCCTGAACTGTAGTAAGTAAACAATTTAATTTCTGACAGACCCAGGACTCCCAGGTTTTCTTGGAAACTTGAAAAAAGAGAAAGTAACCCAATTCACATAGCTATCTGGTGGCACAGATAAAATATTGGCTGGGCTTGAAGATTTTAAAGATTCTACCCTTTGATTCCTTATAAAAAATTTCCAGCAAAGTCAATTTATGAATAAAATTGCCTATGTACAAACAAAAAATAGAAAACAAAAAGAGAGCTAATATGTTAAAGGATTACTTTGCTGCATCTTATACAAAAAAACCAGGCCAAGTCTCATAAGCCTAAAACTGATTTTACAAATAGATTAGTCCTACTATGATTTTGTGTCTAATAAAATTGGGGAATTATAGAGAGAAATATTATTTCAAAATAAACTATAGTGCATCAGTTAATAGATTTTAACCTTGTCCACTTGCTTTTCAATTTATATTATTTTCTACAATTTGGACTGAATTTTAAAGCGTATCTTTGCACGAGTCTCCAAAATAATGTTTTCAGTTATTTCCCTTTTTAAATATTTTTCCTGGCTTGAAATCAGCAGAAGTTAAACTGTGCTTTCTTACAGCTAGACAATGTAAATTCTAAAAGAAAACAAAATCAATGATATGGTTTGGCTCCGTGTCCCTACCCAAATCTCACCTTGTATTGTAATAATTCACACATTGCAAGGGTGGAATGAGGTGGAGATAATTGAATCATAGGGGCTGTTTTCTTCATGCTTTTCTCCTGTTAGTGAGTGAGTTCTCACAAGATTTGATAATTTTATGAGGGGCTTCCCTCTTCACTTAACACTTCTCTCTCCTGCAGTCATGTGAAATAGCATGTGTTTGCTACCCCTTGCATCATGATTGTAAGTTTTTTGTGGCCTCCCCAGCCATGCAGAACTGTGAGTCAATTAAACCTATTTTTCTTTAAAAATTACCCAGCCTCGTGTATGTCCTTATAGCAACCTGAAAATGGACTGATACAAGCAACTTAACTACATACGAAGTCTCCTTTTGTACCTGCCTATTGTGAAGAGAAAATAAATCTTGAGACCCCAAAATCACTAAGCTAAAGAGAAGAGTCCAGCTGGTGTAATAGGAGATAGAAAGAAATTATTTAGGTAGATAGTTAGGATGAAAGAGTCTCTGGCAAAACTTTTCTTCTCACAAGAATTAGCTCAGAAATAACTTCTTTTCTAATCAGACACAGTTCAAAGAGATCACTTCTAACAAAGAGCAGCCTGAAAGATCGGGCTGTAAAACATAGATAAACAACTCTGGCAGAGAGGGTATTTCTGTGTGTAATCACCAAAGTTCACATACATAGGATGGGTCCCAATAAAAACATTGGGTCTTAATGAGCACATTCCTTTCCTTTTCTGGGGTCACACTGAGATAGGAAAGCTGTTAGCTTGCACGGGGTTTGGGATGCCTCCAGCTGCAAGGAGGTACCAGGGACCTGGCATGGAAACTCCTCCCCCCTTTTTCAGCACATGCATGGTGGAAGGAGATAAGGAACGTGGAGCAGACCAAGCTAAGTCCCCACCTGCATAATAAAAGCATGAGATGGGGCTGCCAGAGACTTCGCTCTCTGCAGATGGCACACCTGGTCCTGCTTTTGCACCTTATGTTGATAAGAAGCCATCTCCCCACGAGCACATTTATAAAAATCCTTACGTTGATAAGATACTGTCTCCCCACGAGCACATTTATAAAAATCCTTACATTTTACTGCGGCACAGCAACCCATCTGGGACCCTTTCTGTGACAGAGAGATTTTTTTTCCTTTTACACATTAAATTTCTGCTCTAACCTCACTCTTTGTGTGTCTGTGTCCTTGATTTTCATAGCCACGACACAAAGAACCTTTGGTGATATTCCAGATAACAAAGGTGCTTTACTGGAGAGGGCTTTGGGCAACCTGCCTCCCATTCTATTCAAAGTGATTCCTCTGAGGCCCACACGAGACAGATACATATCTGATTGCTTCCTCTTCAGTATCATTTATGAAAAAATGAAGATTCACTAAGTCTGACTAAATTGTGGATTCAGTGGTAGGCTGATAAAGGACTTAAAATAATGCAACCTACTGTGTCTTATCTACTTCTAAACTGCAAAACCCCCTTTCAATTTGTCCTGTCTTGAAGGAAAAAAAATGTACATTTTACATATATTGATTGATGTCTCATGTCTCTCTAAAATGTATAAAATCAAGCTGTACTTCAATCGCCTTGGGCACATGTCTCAGGACTTCCTGAGGCTGGTCATGGGTGGGTTCTTAACTTTGGCAAAATAAATGTATTAGTCTGTTCTCCTGCTACTAATAAAAACATAACCAAGCCTGGGTAATTTATAAAGCAATGAGGTTTAATGGACTTATAGTTCCACATGGCTGGGAATGCTTCAAAATCATGTCAGGAAAGCAAGGGACATCTTACATGGTGGCAGACAAGAGAGAGCTTGCACAGGGGAACTCCCCTTGATAAAACCATCAGATCTAATGGGACTTATTCACTATCATGAGAACAGCATGGGAAAGTGCTGACTTACTGCAGGAGAACTACATAATTTTATATTTTCCTATATGCTTCTTTTTCATTACACATGTAAATTTTCATACCATCCAAATTTCCCCTTACCCAGCTTTTCCTCTTTATATATTGAAAGCCCTAAAAATTGTCTTTGGGGAATGGCACTAACCACACACAGTTTCTGTGATTACTTTTATTTTTCTTCCAGGCATGTCCTGGAAAGACATAATTTCCTTTGGGAAAATTAATTTTAATTTGATTAAGATCTGTCTCAGAAACCTTCGGTTTACACTAGGAAAGATCCCAAATTAGGAGCCAATTACTGTAAAAATCAGCCATACCACTCTGTGAGTGTGTGTGTGTGTGGCGGGGGGTGTATATGTGTGTGTACATGCATGTTTTCATTTCTGTGGGCTTTAAGCCATGTAGTTCTCTCTGCGAAGATACTATTTGGCATGACCTTTGAATAGAGAATTGTAAGAGAAATAAGAGGCTCCTATGAATTATCCGAAAGTTTCTGGACTCACCATGTATCTTGACTGTGTCATTGCATCTGACAGTCCCAGGGAAGTGACTCTCTGGTGGTTTCATGAATCTGTGCTTGGGCTCTCTCTGCAGTTTACTGGGTATAGTAATGACAAATCACTGTTTCAAGAGACAATTTCGAAAGCATTAGATGCTGCTGAGAGAGGATTATGAACCAGGGGACAGCCCCTTCATTCTGGGGGAGCGACATTGGGAGAATATGCTCTGTGAGCCCAAACAGCTTCCTCCCCTGCAGGGTGAGGGCAGAGCTGCAGGACAGGCCCAGAACCCACTCAACACAGATGTCAGCCCTGGAGCTGCTGCAGAGGAGTCTGAGGAGAAAATTTTACCAGCACCTGAATTACACTTATTTCAAACAAAAATGCATGTCCTGTGAGTGTTTGTTTCCCTATTGGAGGAGTTCTGTACTCATGAAGTTCTGGACATGCCAGCGGACAAATATCAGTAAACAAACATCAGAACTTGAACCTCAGCTTCCCACTGTTGCATTCTCCATGTGTCATCTCTATTATTTCTCATGCTAGATCAGGTATTTAGCTATGAAATATTCCAGCTAATTAACGTGTAAATAGCTTGAAGTCTACTGAGTTAAATACATATATTTTCTCTTGTTTTTGCCAGGTGTTCCCTCCCACACCTCCAATAGTCTCCACTATTATCATCATCTTCTAGATCTTCTGCGATGCCCTGGAGATTAAGGATTTGATTCCATGACAGAGAGGAGGTGCATTTCGATGGAACTTTGGTGAAAACCTTGGTCTTTATCCCATTTCCTCTGGGGCTCCACCAGTGCCTCTGGAATCATGGTTTCAGTGGCTTGCCCCTGCATGGTAGGTCATTCCTTTATTCTGTAGTGCTGATGAGGGAGGTGGGTCTGAACGCATTTCAGTAGTATGGGCTCTCCTTCTGTCTCAGACAGACACTTTGGGAAAGGAAAATTTTTCTGAGCGTCCTCATTCTAGAACAAAGGGATTCAATTGTATAGGAATGCTGAAAATAGAAAACCTTCAGCCAAATTAAGGTTAATAAGATTAATTGAGCAATGGATGATTCATGAATTGGGCAGCCCCCAGAATCACAGCAGATTCAAAGAGACTTCAGTGCAGTCACGGGGTGGAAGAAGATTTATAGATTAGAAAAATGATGTACAGAAATCAGAAGTGAGGTACAGAAACAGCTGGATTGGTTACAGGTTGCTTTTGTCTTATTTAAACAAGGTGTGCACCCTCAAGAGTGTACGAGTGGTTGAGGTATGGCTGCTGGAATTGGCCAAGACTCCGCTGTTGTTACAGGCGCATGCTCCAAAGTTGGCTTTTCAATCTCGTCCACCTATTCAGGTAGGTTACAGTTTGTCCACAAGGACTCAAACACAGAAGTACGGAGTCCTTTTCAGGCCATATTTAATTCACTTTATCAGTGCCCTTCAGTATGTGGTTCCTGAGAATTTCACATGACAACACGTTTACCACACTGGAATTTAAGCAATCCAACACGTTTGTAGCTTTGTCTTGTAATGGGCTATATTTCATGTGGCAGCCTCGGCCTCAGTTTAGCTAACACTATGGCTTCATTTCTCTCTACAAGAACTCATTTCTTCCAAGATTTCCATGTTCCTGAAAGGAAAATAAACCTTTGGGACCCCCATATCACTAAGCCAAAGGGAAGTCAAGCTGAAAATTGTTTGGGGCAAACCCACCTCCATTCTTTCCCTAAAATGAGAGCTACTAAGGTTTTTAAAAGCTACAGACCTCCTTCAAAATTTGACCACAAGTAAAATCCTTGTGGACCCAGGACAGAGAGAGTCATTTCTCTGCTCATGTAAGTCAAACGCATACCTGATTGCTCCCTGTGCTCTACTGTTTCACTAAGTCAGACTAAGGCCTACGTGACTATTCCTGTAAATTGTGCATTCAGTTAAAGGCTAATCAGAAACTCAAATAATGCAACCATTTCTCTCAAACCTACCTATGATCTAGAAGCCCTCTCCCCACTTCAAGTTGTCCTGCCTTTCTGAACTAAATCAATGTACATCTGATATATATATATTGATTAATGTCTCATGTCTCCCTAAATTGTATAAAACCAAGCTGTGCCCACAAGCTTGGGCACATGTCGTCAGCACTCCCTGAGGCTGTGTCACAGGCATGTCCTTAATCTTGGAAATTGAACTTCCTAAATCTATTGAGATTAGTCTCAGATACTCTTTGGTTTACAGGTTTGTTTTTATTTCATAACTTCAATTATTTGACATGCTAAAGAAAATTTGCCAAATAGCGCATTCTCTTGTTTATGTGTTATTGTTGTTGCAAAAATAATATATTTTATATATAATTTATCATCTATGTACATTACCAAATTGAGTAGCAGATTTATTAGTAAGACCCAAAGTAATGAAAAGTTCAGATACCAATTAGCAACTTAGAAAAACAAATTATGCTACATTTGTTTGCTGAAATGCTACCTATTATTTATAAAAAATAAACAATACAACATAAAAGGTTTAATTCTCAGTATTTCTATTGAGAAAAATAAGCCAAATAGATGAGTACATACTATATTATTTCATTCTTATAAATTCTAGAGAATAAAAACTAGTCTAAAGAAATATGAAAACATCAGTACTTTTATAAAGAAATGGTAGAAGAAAAGGAGAAAAACAAAAATATATCTATAAAAGAGCAAGAGGAATTCTGAGGTGAGTTGACTTGTCACCTTCTTGAAAATAGAGACTTTCTTTATCAAAGTTTACTATTGTACAGGTTAAATATGTGAATTTTATCATCTGTCAATTAAAACTCATAAAATTTATTACAAGTAAACAAGTGAAATTTTAGACAAAAAAGGGATGATAAGAAGGAACAAATAAATACATTAAATGTCAGATACACCAAAAATGTATCTGCCTGACGCCTAGTTGTCTCTGTATTTTTAGGTAAATGCAGCAAAATCACACAGGTTGTCGTGGCAGGAAGTGGATTCTGCAAACCACACTAGGCCGTTTATCTCTGTCCTGTAGTTGGTTCAGAGCAACTGAGGCCAGCTGTGAGGCGCATAGGCCCAGGTACTAGGACTCACTCATGCCAGATATAAGCCCTGAGACACGTACATAGCCCCTCCATGTGTGGGTTCACTTTTACATCTGTACATGAAGAAACCACTGACTCCTAAATAACATCATCTATACACATAGGTAAAAAAATTAAAAATATGATAGTTGTTAAATGTTTATCGCAGAACAATTTCAAAATAAGGCAGCATTTTCCCAAATACAATCATTGTCATCAAAATCCCCCAGGACGCTCTCATCTACTCTGCGCCCTGCCTTCACCTCAGATGTCCCACCCCAGAGCTTGCTATATAGTAACAGACATGCAAATAGTTGACTCCCTCTCCTGATGAAAACCAGCCCAGCCCTGACCCTGCAGCTCTGGGAGTGGAGCCCCAGCCTTGGGATTCCCAAGTGTTTGTATTCAGTGATCAGGACTGAACACACAGGACTCACCATGGAGTTGGGGCTGAGCTGGGTTTTCCTTGTTGCTATATTAGAAGGTGATTCATGGAGAACTAGAGATATTGAGTGTGAATGGGCATGAATGAGAGAAACAGTGGGTATGTGTGGCAATTTCTGACTTTTGTGTCTCTGTGTTTGCAGGTGTCCAGTGTGAGGTGCAGCTGGTGGAGTCTGGGGGAGGCTTGGTACAGCCTGGGGGGTCCCTGAGACTCTCCTGTGCAGCCTCTGGATTCACCTTCAGTAGCTACGACATGCACTGGGTCCGCCAAGCTACAGGAAAAGGTCTGGAGTGGGTCTCAGCTATTGGTACTGCTGGTGACCCATACTATCCAGGCTCCGTGAAGGGCCGATTCACCATCTCCAGAGAAAATGCCAAGAACTCCTTGTATCTTCAAATGAACAGCCTGAGAGCCGGGGACACGGCTGTGTATTACTGTGCAAGAGACACAGTGAGGGGAAGTCAGTATGAGCCCAGACACAAACCTCCCTGCAGAATGCCTGGGGGAAATCAGCTGCAGGGGGCGCACAGGACCCACTGATCAGAGTCATCCCCAGAGGCAGGTGCAGATGGAGGCTGGTTTCCTGTCAGGATGTGGGACTTCATCTTTTTAGAGTTTCTCTAGGGAACCTCTCTAAGTTCAGAATTCTGTGCTTACCAATGCCATCCCTACATATTTTTAAAATGATTATTTTAATATGAAAACCTATTCTCTTATGCACGAAACACAGACTGATGCTTACAGAGATGAAAAGCCCTCAACCATTGTCACCAGGATCAGAGTATTGAGGAAACTCAGGGGTACCTGGTGGGTCTTCTCCACTCAGACTCAGGACAGAAACCTCAGTGAGTTTCCCTGACTAGGACGGTCTTTAGGAATTGTGATCGCAGCCAATAGAGAGTCTGGGCAAGGATCAGTGTCATGTAGAACTTCACAGGTTTCACTTCTGACCCTTCTCCTGACACTAAAGTATACAACTTAGTGTCAGCACTGATCTGGGGCCCCTTTTGCTCTTAGCCCATTCTATTTCTTTTTATTTGTTGTTGTTGTTCTTGCTTTTCCTTGTAGTGTTCCTGCTCCCTGTAAAGTGGGGATGTGGCTCTTGCTGCCAAAGCTCCAGGTCTCAAGCCCATTCCCTGCAGCTCAGGTGGGGCTCAGGCTGTGGCTCCTGCAGCCACGTGGAAGAGGCTGATGGGACTTTCCTCTCTCCCATTGCTCAGCACCCTCCAGTGTGTCACGTGGAGACTCACCTGCGAATGGAAGTGGCCAACAGTAGTGAAGGGGATGAGCTTGTGTGGACAAAATGGGATGTGGATGTGAAATTTATCCTGTGCTGTGCAAAGTAGCACAGAGTGAGTCACCTTCCTCACCAGTAGTGTTAGAAAGAGGGTGTGAAAGTTGTCAGAATCAAAATAGATCCACTTGTGTTAAAACCCTGACAAATGGAACTAGGAATGACCATGAAGGAGGTTTCCCATGCACATACTCCTGATAACAAGATCGACCATAAATGGATTCTGCTTAACCACAACCTTTGATAGAAGCCACCATGACCTTATAAAAATCACTTCTACAAGGACATCTTCCCAGCAAATCACGGTTTAACCCTATACTGATGCCAACCTTGGTATTGACTCTACAAGCAAGGAAAATCCTCTCAAAACAATTTATGCAACCCACCTCATTTTCACTCATAAACCTATGGATTGACATCCTGGAGCCACTGCTGCATTTGTTGTTAATGGTAATTAGCCCCTTTTACAATATTTGTGACTGTTTTTCTCCGATGTCTCTTGGAAAATAAATAATTTACAAGCTGATGGCAGTAAAGAAACTATTTAGGACATTTTTAACATCCTGTTGAATATTTCTGCATAGCACATCGGTCCCCTAAAATACTTCGCTGTATTGGCATGTGATGAATCAGAGTATAATGCTGAAGGTAAAATGGGAAATACATGGGCTTTTGATGAATCAAGTCATAGGGTGAGAATGTCTGTGTCCTTGAGGAAGGAGACCTTGGGCTGTAAGTTCTAGTGGGAGTACCTTTGGCAAAGGGATTTCATGAGTTTCTGAACGTTATGCTACTTTTAATTTAAGAATGCAACTTATCATTTATTTTTACTTAAATCTTTCCAGAAGATATTTGGCAGTAAGGACAGGGTAGCATTCGTGTGATACTGATGACTTAGAGAGTTATTTTGTAATTTCTCCTGTAAGGTATGCACATTGCTCACTTGATACAGAAGTTCAAATGTCACAGGCGGGAAAATAGGAATAAAGCAAATTTTATTAAATGTCACGACTGTAGTTTTTGGCAAGGAAGTGCTTCATGTCAACCTGAAAATAGACAGACAACAATAAAACATATTCAAATCCAAAGGGAGTCAGACCTATGTCCCTCTCTCTTATAAGTACAAGGCTTTGCCACATCCAAAATATCCTTTAGGCTCCAGGGTATAAAATGCTTTTGGACTGTGAAGCTAACAGCTCTCCCCTCAGACAGGGATAAGGCATCTGGGGAATGCAGAGTTGTGTTCATGAAGAAGATGGCATTACTGTGTCTTCTCCTGTGCCTGGTGATGGCTCCCCCAGGGTGAGTGTCTCAGATGTCAGATGTGGGTCTATGGGGTGAGTGTAGGTACATGTGACTGACGGGGACTGATTCCCCATGTATTCACATGCCCTGTCCCAGGAGCAGCTGCAGGAGTCAGCCCTGGACCTGAAGAGCACACACTTACCCTCTGCTTCACCTACACCATTTCTGGCCACTCCATCACAACCAGTCCTTACTACTGGACCTGGATCTGCCAGCTCTCAGGGAGGGGCTGCAATGGATACAATGCATTGCTAGTGGTGGTGGGAATCCGTTTGTCTTGTGGAAAATGGCAGCATCTCTTTATTTTATAAGGCAGAATAATGTTATATTGTGTACACATACCACATTGTCTTTATCCATTTGTCCATCGACAGACACTTAGTTTCCATATCTTGGCTGTTGTGAATAGCGCTGCAGTAAGCACAGGAGAGCAGGTATCTTCACAGGGTGGTAATTTCATCCCATTTAGGTGTATTTCCATAAGCTGGATCGCTGGTCATATGGTATTTCAGTTTTAATTTATTTAGAAGCCACCACACTGTTTTGCATAATGGTAATGATGGGAATGTAGAATGTCATAGCCGCTACGAAGAACAGTTTTAGATTTGAGGTATAATCCAAAAGCAAATAATGTTTGATCATGGTTCTCATATGAGGCTCTAATAAATCTAGTGGAAGTCCAGAAAGTTTTCCCACCTTGGGCAAGGATGAGTTTGCCCCTAATTGTCTTTGAGGCAGAATATTTGCAGAATGTGAGATGGAGTATGTCGGCAGGATTCAGGATGATTCAGCCATAAATAGTAATGGCACAGAAAAACAGGGAGTTAGAGACATGCAGAGAAAGAAAGAGATAGAGAGAATATGAATCTCATAAGAGGAAAATCTGCTGGATATCAGTGTTGGGTTTTCATTCATAGAGACATCAGTGTCAGCAAGAAACCATGAAGTCAAGTGAGGAGTGGAGAACATGTTCAGTCTGAAAATCAGCATATTCTCAGAGGCACCCATTGTCCCATGACACAGGCAGAGAATTTCGGAAACCAGTGAAGTGGGAGTTCACAATAAGTGATGAAGTTATCATTTTTCCAAACTTTCATTAATATGCAAAGTATTTCTATAGATCACTCATGCACATACACACAAAATGTGTTTTTGCATTTATGGGTGTCTAGAGAAAAATAAGTGAGAAAATTTTTCCAGGTTGCAGAGATCTGTTTAAGTTATAGATTCCACAGGAGAGTGTCTTTGAATGAATACTATTCTATTAATTAAATAGGACAAAATTCCCTCTGTTGGAGCAGCCTTCCAATTATGTAGATTTCTTTATTGCTTCTTGAGTTGTGAAACATAAACCCAAGGATTGACTTACTGGAATTCGAGTGCTGTGTTGATAAAATTTCTGATAAGTTTTCTTCCAATGATTTGAGAATAGCTTTCCTGTTTTTTTACTCAAGGAAATGAATTTTCACAAGGTTTCAGGACATCACGTTTCAGGTGTTTTACTTAAAGAGACTCTTCCTGGGTGCAGTCAGCTTTCTTCTAACCATGAGCTCACTTCTTCAGCAAACCATTCAGTTTGTGCCTCTATTAAGAATTATGAAGCTTTTAAACTTCAATGCACTGAAAATCATGCCCCTTGAATTAAATGTTGATTGGCACTGACATGAATTGTCCACTCTTGGATATGTGTCCTATGTTATGGGCTCAACATATCAGTGGACTGAGAATCCTCCATTAGCTGCCTCTGACTGTGGCACTGACCAGATTGAGAATCCTCAGAGTCATCCATGAAAAAGAGAGTCTTTAGGTTCATGGGGTTTTTGGAGACATTCAGGTGAGTGGAGGGGAGAAACAGGACTGGGGGTGGCCAGCCATTTCAACAAGACTGGGAAAGATTAGCATCTAAGTTTAAAGGTCTACATCATTCCAAACACCCTGCATGACAGGCTGACAGGAAGAAATCCAACCCCACAGCGGCTCCATAGCATCTCTTTAGTATACTTGGTAGTGAAGCTGTTTCAGGGAAGAAACGTCCACTCAAGGGAGTCAGTGATGCTTCTCTGAGCTACAATAAACCGTGTATTGGACCCAGGTTTCTCTGAGTTCAATGTGATGATTACACTCAGCTGCTGCTCCAGTGAGTTTAAATGAGCATGTGGCAATTCAGATGAGCCTGGCTGTGTGGTATGTTATATGTAAATCTGAACTATGTAAACATAAAGGGCATGTCGGAACTAGTGTGAGGGTGAGAGATCTTAGAGGCCCCACACCTCACACTCTTGTGCTTATTTGCTCCAGGAACCTCCAGGTTCTTTGAGTGAAAATCAACATAGATCCTTTCCTGGATAAATCATCCAAATATCTAATCTCTGAGAAATACACATGCACATTTCTCCGGATAGACCATCCAGGGGAAAGACATATCTAGAACCTTATCTGTGTTGGGTAAGGTAGTCCATCTCCATTACAGACCCTCCCAGCAGCCTTCCTTTATCATGAAAGTGGATAAAATTAGCCAATAGAGAAATAATCCTATAATGTTATAGCCAGAAAAGGGAAAGCAACAGTTTCATTTCTGGAGACTCTGCGTATAGGTCACAACCCAGAGAAAGAAAGGATGACTGAATTATTAAGAATCAATTGTAAGAACATATAATACTTCCAGGATGCACACTTTGTTTTCTCACCAGTATAATCTGGGTTAAAGATGAAAGTGTGGAAATGCACAGACTCTATGTGAGGAGGAGAACATAGGGAAACTGAAAGACAATGGCAGAGAATAAGACAAGGACAGTAGGAAAATCTGAAGCCTCTGACATAAATTTTTTGAAGACAAGGTCTTGGCAAATCCATTGACCTCAGATTCTTTTATCATGGGGCATTTGCAGGGTTCCTAGCTGAGAAAAAAAATGCATGCACTTCCCAAGTCTCCACTTGTATTCTGTTTGCCTCAGATCGCTAAGTGAAAAAAAGCCATAAACCTAGGCCTAGTGTGTGTGTAGGAGGCACTTTTTATAGGCTAGAAAATAGTAAGAAAGGAGAATATGTGTTATTGGAATAGCATATACAAAGGTGTCTTTATTCTGAATTTATCTGTACCTGCAGATATTCTCAGGTGCAACATTCAACTGCAAGAGCCCAGCGAAGAAACTAGGCACTCCCCAAATCCTTCAAGTTTTTGTGTTCATTGTGTGTCCACTGACTCAGGAAATGTGAAGCTTCAGAAAAGGGGGTCCCTTCTGTGTCACAGAATCTTGTCTGTGGGTCTCCCTCTGTAGGTTTAGTAAGGCTAATCAATTGTTAAAAGACATGGTGTCAGCAGCATGTGGTGTCACTGATGGAGAATTCTAAACCAGGACACAGCCACTTCATGCTGGGCTAGAGACTCTGAAGGAAAATATTTGTGAGCCCCGACAGAAACCTCATTGCAAGGCAAGAGCTTCTGTGGAAGGGGGCACTTGGGAGCCACCAAGCGCAGGTTCCAGCCCTGGAGCAGGTGCACAGCTGGGGAGGAGGTTTCCTCTCAGTGCCTGGGTTTTCGTTTGTCAGGAAAAAACAATCTAAAATAACTGTTCAAAAAGTCGCTGATGTGCTTTAAATATTCTATCACATCAAAACCATTCATATAACTTAAGGCACTGGGAACTATTTTTTAAAGTGGGTTTCTAGAACTATAATATCTTAATAGTGAGAATATGAAGGATAGGCATGTTTTTACTAATTCTATGGGTACAGATTAGTTGAAGAAACTACATTCCTATGAATAAGAAATTCAGATTTCAGTGTTAAGTAATGTTGCTTACATTGTGTGAGTGACAGGGCAGTGGTGGATCTGAGAGTGTGGCAGGTGCACAGACCAAGTGAGTCAGAAATCAATATGGAAAGGTGAGGGTCTGTGGATATGAACTGAAAGTATGTAAATACTTGACAAAATACTAATAAATGGAGTTCAAAATAACCCAAAATTGTTCTAAACACAAATTCCTTGACAATTACTTTGGGAGTAGAGAGTTCATAATGGACTCCAAACTCCTGCTTTATCTTCTGATTCCCATTGTCTGTGAGATGAGAAAATCAGCTCTAATTATGCATCACAGGGCAAATCTGTAAATCAAGAGTGTTCAATAGAATTGAAGACCCTGGGGGATCAGGACATGAGGCAGGTGCTGGAGACAGTGTCTCAGGAGCACCCAGTAGATCTCAGAGGTCCCTCCTGGACACTCATGTGGGACATAAGCATCACTTTCTCAGAGTCACCAATGAGCTGTGCTGGTGGCTGATGGGTCCAGGAAAAGACCAAGGCACCTGCTCAGTGTGATGGAGAGTGATGGTTCCAAAAATGATCCAGGTGGTCTCTATGCTAATCAAATGTAGGCTCACAGTGAGGAGCCTGTTCTATATGGGCTTATTCTTCAGTGAAAGGACGTCTGTCCACAAATGTTTGTAAATGGAGCAGGGCATGCATTTCCTCAAGCAGGATTAGGGCTTCGACCGTCTGCATCTCACTCTTGTTAGGCTGATGTGTCATTTATCTTCCCTTTCTTATCATGGATTGGGCTTTGAGCTAAGAAAGGCTTTGTCTTATGAATATGCAAATATACTGATATCCACTGAGGTAAATATGTTCTGTGCCCTGAGAGAATCACCTGAGAGAATCCCCTGAGAGCACATCTCCTCATGGGCTGGACCTGCAAGATCCTCTTCTTGGTGGCAGCAGCCACAGGTAAGCAGTTCCCAGGTCCAAGTAATGAGGAGGGGATTGAGTCCAGTCAAGGGGGCTTTCATCCACTCCTGTGTCCTCCCCACAGGTGCCCACTCCCAGGTGCAGCTGGTGCAATCTGGGGCTGAGGTGAAGAAGCCTGGGGCCTCAGTGAAGGTCTCCTGCAAGGCTTCTGGATACACCTTCACCTACTGCTACTTGCACTGGGTATGACAGGCCCCTGGACAAGGGCTTGAATGGACAGGATTTTAGTTATTTGAGAGATTTTTCATACAACATTTATTCTGTAAGCAAATTTCAGGGATTGTAGAATGAATCATATTAACAAATCTGACACAGAACTTCCTCTGAATCAATCTTTGTAAACATCAATTTCTGAATCAATGTTGTAAATATTTCAGAACACAAGCACAAATTCACATTTTAACTCTACTTTTATCTCTATTTAAAAAATATCAAAAAATCTCATTTTGTGCATGTAACGTTTTGAATGCCCACCATCAATGCATGACATTTCTTGTTTTTCCACATTCATGTTACCATTTATCATCATGAGAATTGTGAGTTTTAGCCATGCTGATAGGTGAGTAATGGCATCTAATTTTTATTTAAATGCACATGTCCCAAATAAAAAATTCGTATTAAACAATTTTTATATAATTTTTGCTGGGATGCCTTTCCTGATATGTGGTTCATTTTTATCTGCATTGTTTTCTTTTCATTAGTTGTAAGTTTACTTGCATATTGATTATAAAAGTCACTTAACAAATCCAAAGAATTGATTTAACAAATAGATGACTTGGAAGTATTTTCTCCCAGTCTGTGGTTGTCTTTTTCTCTCTTATCAGTGGGTATTTCAAAAAATATATGTGTGTCTGTGTGTCTGTGTGTGTGTGTGTGCACAGATTTAGACAAAAAACATAAAAAATTATTCATTCATAGATCATGTATTTGGCATTATATCTGAAGTCTCATTATAAAATACACTAATAGTGATTATTTATTCCATGTTGCTAATCTCAGGCCACAATCAACTCATGAGTGCTTAGCCTTCACCTATTGATTGGAGGACTATCCACCTGAGATATTTGGAATACTTCCATGAGGAGATGTGTTCTTCTTCCCATCATTTCTTTATTTAATCATCTATTAACATCCGTATTGGTTTATGGACATCTATTTCATACTCTGAAGAAGATCCATGCTACATTATTCATTTTCTTGTTCAAATCTCCACAGCTTTATTAGGTGCTGGGACCTCATTTAGTTTGGATCCTGCATCCTTACAGCAAAGCTCATCCTTTTGTTTTTGAACACTTCCCTGTTTCCTGATATTACGATAGATTCTAAGCTTGTTTCTTTATCACCTTTTTCATACATAGAATTAGCCATTTATATAAAGATTGCTTGTTTCTGATTTTAAAGAGTAGTGTTAAAATAAAATATTGTGATAATGGGTATGTGTGTTGTTAATGTGGTATAAGTACTTCTGGGACCTCTCAACCTTCTGTTCTAGCAAATGTGCATGTTTATATGAATCATGTCATGTCCATATATCCAATGTTGAACTATGTTGCGAAAAGTGATCTCAAGATAATGGTAATTATCAACCCCCTCCCTAACAAGGTGTAGATCTGCATTTTTTTTTCATTGTAACTCAACTTTGCCTCATGGTCAGGAACAGTGGTTTCCAGCTCTAAATGTACTGATTACAGCGAGATGTCCGTTTTCCCTGGAAATGTATTTTTAAGTTCTTACTGGATGTATTTGTTGATAATGTTTTCTACTATGAAGATACCTGAACAGTGTCCGCACTAGAGAGTAAGAAAGAGTAATGGGCAGATTAACCCTGTGCATCCAGACCCAGGAATCCTCTGATCCTGCCCTCCCTGAAACGGAGACACAGAGGATGGATGAGCAATGCTGAGCGGTGCACCCAAGACCACAAAAAGAAAGACATGGAAATATGTCCCCTCCCCTCCTCAAGAAAGGCAGCTCATCCCCTGTTCCCTCAGGCCCGGGCGAGGAGCCACCCCATGTCTCTTCCCTTCCTCAGTGTCCACACTGTGGGGTCTGCACTGATCTGGGCTTCCCTTCTCATCACCCTCGTATTAGTGGCCCTTGTGAATCAGGTCCAGCTGTGGCTGCTGCTCATGGGGCTGCTCTCAGTCTGCTCTCTCTGTGTTTGCAGAAGTCCTGTGTGAAGTTTACTGATGGAGTCAGAGGGAGAAAGATTGTACAGCCCAGCGGTTCACTCAGCCACTCCTGCAAAGACTCTGGATCACCTTCACTGATTGCAGCATAAGCTTGGTCCAGCAGGCTCCAGGACCAGAGTTGGCGTGGGCAGCAACAGGGAGAAATTCAAGAGGAAGTTCTTACATGCACCCTTACGTGCACGGTCTCACTGAGATCTTTACTTCCTTTATCACGTTTGTTCTGTAAATCACAACGAATGGTGCATTCTTCATCTATTATACACTTGTTAAGTCTTTTTTTGGCATCTTTTAAAAAACTGGTAACTTTATCCTGTGTAATATCCCTGTTAAGTCCTAAAAGTCTTTTTTGATGTCTATTTTTTCTTAACTTTACACAGCTACTATAGATTTATTTTGGTTCATATTTTTGTAATCCATGTTTTCTCATCTTTAGTTTTTACATTTGTGAATACGTACAGTAATTTTCTAATACATAGCTTCTAGTTGGGGCTTGCTTTTTAAAATCAACTATAATAAGCTCTATTTTTAAACTAATATTATTTTTCTGTTATATTGTTTAAATTAGCATTTCACAATGATGTTTATTTCTCTACTAACATATAATCTAATTCACTTTTATAAATATTATATTGGTTACCATAAGTTTTACAATAAGAATTGTATATAATTAGATTCTATAAGAATTGTATATAATTGGATTCTAATGCAGATACTGTGATGGCCTTGATATGAAGAACAGAGACAGTGTAACTGTGTGCTTTGAATTCCTCCTTCTCACTGCTCTTTCTTGTTTATTCCCAGTTTGCACTTACATATACTATAAAACATAATATATAAATTTTTTATTCCTTTCATAGTTATATAATATAGCAATTACAAAGATAAAAACTGCACTTCATCTTGATTTTCCCATTTTGTACAGTCTTAATTTCTTCGTATAGATTTATGTTTTGAATGTATATCACACGGCTACTAGCAGAGAAAGTTTGTTAAAATGTGCACTGAAGCATGAATGTGCTGACAATAAATTGTCTCAAGATCTTTTTGTAATGACAGAATTTTATTTGCCTTTCACTTTTAATGAAAATGTAATGCACGTAGAATTCCAGTTTGCATTTCACTTGTAATTTATTTTCTTGTGTTTATTATTTTGTTCATGGAGATGATCACACATTACATTCTGCTGGGCCTTTATTAACCACATTTCTATGAACCTAGTCAGGGTTGGGTTTCAAGTGTATGGTTGCCACGGCTATCAGAGTTGAAGTCAGCTTCTCCTGTTCACAAAAAGTTCAGGTTCCTCCAGTGATACCCACTTTTGTGTCCCGGTTTGGCTCTTCCCATTTCTTTCTCCCCAGAGAGAGCCTGTCTCTTTCATCTGTGGCAGGTGCATCCTGCTGACACTTTTACTTGGTGATTGTTTGTGGGGTGAAGGGGCTTGGACACAGGGGGATGTTCTCCAACCTTCTGACCAAGCATCCTTCTTAGCTATGGGTGGTGAGAGTGGCTCTGAAGCATGGTCTTCCAAGCGTTCCTGTTCCTTCCCTTCCCCAAGTCAGAGTGTCTCTTTCTAGCCACAGTGGTCTTCCATCAGTGTCCTCAGCTTCTGACCCACTGTCCTTACTCCACAGACTCAGGGTTTCATTCCTCAGGAAAGAGACGGGAGGTGTTTCTGGGTAGAGTCTCCTTGGTGTCCTCTGTTTCCTTCTGTTCTAGTTGATTCTACCAGTGCCTGAAGGACACAAGATTTAATAAATGTCTCCCACATATCGTGAAGAGGGATTCAGCATTGAACGGAGCTACTGTTCTTCCTCCCCAGTCAACACCACAGGACAGCAGGTGGCTGAGTTGTCTGGGGATTTCCCCAATTCTGTAGGAAAAGCCCGCAAGTGCCAGTAGTTTCACACTCTCACAGCGTTAGCACACACATCCTCAACAACTCATGAAACATTTCCAGGTTAGCTTTTTCCTATCTTCAATACCATACAATGAGTGGCACCTGCCCCAGGTACTCTAATAAATGGACCTAGTTTTCTCTGCAGGCTCCCCATTTTCTCAGATTTCAGGGTTTTTTTCTCTGCAACATCAACTCAGATATGTTGAAGGGTTCATTTTTTGTAGTTCTTCAAATTTCTTGTTAATGAGGTCAGAAGAAGATCATTTTCTCATTTTTTTTTTTACATTCCCGTGCTTAGTATCTGCTTTCTAAATAAAATTCGGAAACTAAGACAAAATATCAAATATCCACTATTTGGTGCATTGTTAAACTATTTGAGAAATATTCATGTACTGAAATACAATGAACAATTGAAATCAAGGCATGCCTCAGTCACATAAGAATGTGAGGACATTATCAAATAATTGTGCTGAGTGAAGGAAGCTAAAGAATTCACAGTAAATCTCCTGTGATTTCTTTTGTATAAATTGTAGAAAATGCAACTATTCTAAATTAACATGGAGAAGATCTGAATTTTTCTGAGAAAAGTGTGGTGAGGTAACAAGATGGTGAAATAAAATTACAGAGAAGTGAGAGAAAAAAATTTGGAGGTTAATTTAATTGCTAATAGCACGATTGAAGTGCTGATTCAAAGGCTGCACACATATACCAACATTTTCCATATCGTACACTATAAATTTGAATTCACTATTGATTGAATTTTTGAATAAAGCAGTAACAAAAATGAGTATATTGGCTGAGGAAGAGCAAGAAAGAGATGAATATTGACACTTGAATAATCACGGACTCCTGAAAATACACACATGTGAACACTGATTGCATATTTCAGGTAAATACTAGAAAAAGCAAAGTCACATAAAGTCGTTATGACAGGTGGGATACCCTGCAAATCACACTAGGCATGTCCCACACTGCCCTGGAGCTGTCTCAGGGGAGCAGTCTCCTCCAGTGTTTAGAGGCACAGGCACGGATAATAGGGCTGACGCTGTCCAGATGTGTGATATTGGACACATTGCACAACTGCTCTGTTATGTATGTAATTCATCTTCTCTAAAAATGTAACATTGACACTTGCACTGAATATATTCTGCAAATATGTAAACATTAAATAAGATGATGACTGCTAATTGATCATCAAGTCACAATCACATAATCTGAAGTTATATTTTCCTGAGAGATAGGATTACCTCCAGTGTTTTCCGGGACCCTCTCATCTGCTCTGGGCACTGCCCTCTCCTCCAGCGTCCCACTAGAGCTTGCTATATAGTAGGAGACATGCAAATAGGGCCCTCCCTCTGCTGATAAAAACCAGCCGAGCCCAGACCCTGCAGCTCTGGGAGAAGAGCCCCAGCCCCAGAATTCCCAGGAGTTTCCATTCGGTGATCAGCACTGAACACAGAGGACTCACCATGGAGTTTGGGCTGAGCTGGGTTTTCCTTGTTGCTATTATAAAAGGTGATTTATGGAGAACTAGAGACATTGAGTGGACGTGAGTGAGATAAGCAGTGAATATATGTGGCAGTTTCTGACCAGGTTGTCTCTGTGTTTGCAGGTGTCCAGTGTCAGGTGCAGCTGGTGGAGTCTGGGGGAGGCTTGGTCAAGCCTGGAGGGTCCCTGAGACTCTCCTGTGCAGCCTCTGGATTCACCTTCAGTGACTACTACATGAGCTGGATCCGCCAGGCTCCAGGGAAGGGGCTGGAGTGGGTTTCATACATTAGTAGTAGTAGTAGTTACACAAACTACGCAGACTCTGTGAAGGGCCGATTCACCATCTCCAGAGACAACGCCAAGAACTCACTGTATCTGCAAATGAACAGCCTGAGAGCCGAGGACACGGCTGTGTATTACTGTGCGAGAGACACAGTGAGGGGAGGTCAGTGTGAGCCCAGACACAAACCTCCCTGCAGGGGTCCCCAGGACCACCAGGGGGCGCCCGGGACACTGTGCACGGGGCTGTCTCCAGGGCAGGTGCAGGTGCTGCTGAGGGCTGGCTTCCTGTCATGGCCTGGGGCTGCCTCATTGTCAAATTTCCCCAGGAACTTCTCCAGATTTACAATTCTGTACTAACATTTGATGTCTCTAAATGCAATACTTTTTTTGTCCTTTTTGTTTCTTTGTTTTTTTGCAACAGGAGTACATATCCTCAGCTCCACAGAAGCCAGGGTGTCACTTTGGGGGCAGAAATAATCCTTTCATGGTTACCAGGATAAGAGTCCTGAGGAATCCCAGGGAAACCTGGAGAGTGTTTTCCAGTTAGACTCAGGGCAGAGACCTCCATGGGAATCTCTGATTAGAACAGGCCTTGAGCTCTGACGGGAGCCAAGAGAGAGGCTCGCCCAGGGTCAGAGTCCTTAAAACCTGATGGTTTTCACAGCTATCCCCCCTCGTCTTGTAAACTCAGACTGATTCAGTTGACCCTCTTTCTGCTAATCCATTTCCTTCTCTGTAGGTTTGATTCTCACAGTTCGCTTTCTTCTTCTCTTCCCTGAAAACAGACGATGTGTTTTCTGTAGTCAAAATCCCAGGGCTCAGGTCTGCAGGACCTGGGTAGGCTACGGGGACTTTCTCACTCACCATTGTCCGGACACTCTTGTCTTCTGTGCATGGAGGCATTTGGAAAATGAAGTGGACATTAGCCATGAAGGGAATAATACTAGTTTTCTCCAATAGGATATTGATGTAGAGCTGATCTTGTGCTTCTCACACTGTCTCAGAGTTTGGACTCTCACCTGTGACTTTGAGAAGAGCTGGGGATGGGCACTCCATTGTGCTGTGAGCTCTGGGTAACGATAATTGTAGAATCTGCCTAGGCAGTCTAAGGTCAATACTACTCGTCATCAGGAAAGACAGCTGGAATTCCTGGGAAGATCTGCATCTGCCGTCCACCATGGAGTCCCATCGTCTTCTGTTATGCTCTCTTTGAATCAGTCCCACCTAGATTATCTAGAACACTCTTCCTGACTTAGGAAAAATAATGGCAGGCTCCACTAACACCTGTGTTATGCCATGGGAGCAACACCTAAGCTAGTGTGTGAATGAGTAGATGAGACTGTGGTCTAGTCAAGGTGACAGGTAAAATTGATTGTTGCCATTATGATATTTTATTTTATATTTGGCAATATAGTCATGCTCCTATTATAAATATTCTTTGAGACGGAGTCTTGCTCTGTTGCCAGCCTGGAGAGTGCAGCAGCACGATCTCGGCTCACTGCAACCTCTTCCACCTCCCAGGTTCAAGCAGTTCTCCTGCCTCAGCCTCCCGAGAAACTGGGATTACAGGTGCACGCCACCATGCCTGGCTAATTTTTGTATTTTTAGTATCGACAGGGTTTCACCATGTGGGCCAGTGTGGTCTCGATTTCCTGACCTCGTGATCTGCACACCTCGGCCTCCCAAAGTGCTGGGATTACAGGCATGAGCCACCACACCTGGCCTAGTTTTATTAATGTCTGCCCATACCAGCAACTACATACCTATGGGGACATTAATTTACATCTGCAGACATATGTGTAAATACACAAGCCTATACATACATGTGTAGCCATTTATATTTAACATTATAATAAAATAATTCTAAAATATTTTCTAAAGAATTAAACTTAATGATGAGCTAAATATAAATTAGAGTAATCTATAATTGATTTCGATCATTCTCTATAGTTTGCATAAATGGATGTCTATTTCTAAGCCTTAACATAGTGTATTCGTCATTTTAAAATAGTCAAGAAAAAATTACAAATGTTCTTGTCACAAAAAAAGATAAGGATTTGATGATTTGAGGTAATATATATGTCAATTAACTCGATTCAATTATTCCGTATTGCATTCACAAACCATAACATACCTTTGTGCCCCATAAATATATACAACCAAAATTTCTCAATTTTCAATGAAATTTTAATTATATATTTTTAAATCTGATGCCTCTCCTTGGATTAAGCCACCTCCTCAGGCTTACAGGGCTCTTCCATTTTCTCAACATGTTGTTATACCAGATGAGCACAAACACATTAATTTCATTATGCTTAGCTTTAATTTTTCAAAACAACATAAAGGTGATAATTTTACCAATAGACGTATTACAACCTACTGTGCATGAGACCCTTTCTGTGCTTCAAGGTTTCTTCTCAGGACTTTATATGTATTGCAAATTTTCATTTTTTTCTGATATGGAATGCTGATTTCTCTTTATTATAGATTATCAGTTTATTTTTCAAATTTATCTCTTAAAATTAATTTTTTCAAAGTCCCACTCAAACCAGGGTATTATTAGAACTTTGACGTGTAATAGTTGGACCAACTTTGAGAATACATTCAATTTAGTTCACGTGCTCTCAAGCATCTTTTCTTCTTTAAAAGTTGTTGTCAGTTGTAATATCACACAAAATATTAGTAATTTATGCTAATGACAGGTTAAAATGCTGTATAAATAATTAAATTACATTTGATTGGAAAAAAGGAATAGATGTTCCTCATATCTTGACTTTTTTTCTTCTCTATGAGATGCATGCTTATTAATTATTAAGTTTAAGACGTTACCCTTGTCTTTTTGATTTCTGGGATTTAATTTTAGTACATATACTTGAATGCATTGTATTAATTCATATAATAATGTTCATATTTTGGATAGGGTTTTAATATTAATTTTATTATTACTGAATTTTAAACTATTCTACACTTTTTTTGTTTTTATGAGATAAAATTTACATATAAGAAAATATGCATAGATCTGGAATGTATCACTAGAGAGTTTCTGGCAAATGTGAATACCCTTGTTGTCCCCAGCACCTAAGGTAGCTGAAGAGCAAGTCCATTCCCACATCGCGGGTCTTTCCCTGTGCCTGAGGTCAGCTCCTGCATGGGGAAATGTTTTGATTTCTCACACTACAGATCCATTTTTTTCTGTTTTGAACTTTATATAAATGGAATCAAACATTATAGACCTTTTTTTGGAAAGGAGCTTTGCTATTTTTGAGATTAATTCATGCTATTTAATGTGTAAAATTAGATCAACATATTGTCATTTATTTAATTCATGGACTGACTCTGATATGAAACCTCAAAGTTTTCATGTATATATGGAGACAGGGAGAGGAAGGAGAAAGATTTTATATCTGAGTCAGTCCATTAAGTAAATAAATGAGAATATTTTGATTTATTTTCTTGTCGATGTACTTTAAATTTGTTTCCATTTTATGAATATTATAGGCAAAGCTGTTACAAATATATTAGTGTAGGTTTTCCTATGTTGTCTCATTTTTATTGAGAAAATATGAAGTATGTATTTCTTTATTTTTTTATTTTTGATTATTATTTATTTATATTTTAAATTTTACTTTAAGTTCTGGGATACATGTGCTGAACGTGCAGGTTTGTTACATAAGTATACATGTGCCGTGGCGGTTTGCTGCACATATCAACCAGTCATCTATGTTTGAAGCGCCTCAGGCATTAGGTATTTGTCCTAATGCTCTCCCTCCCCCTTCCTCCCACCCCTGATGCATCCTAGTGTGTGACGTTCCCCTCCCTGTGTCCATGTGTTCTCATTGTTCAACTCCCACTTTTGAGTGAAAACATGCGGTGTTTGGTTTTCTGTTCCTGTGTTAGTTTGTTGAGGATGATGATTTCCAGCTTCATCCATGTCCCTGCAAAGGACATGACATCATTCTTTTTTGTGGCTGCATAGAATTCCATGGTGTATATATGCCACATTTTCTTTATCCAGTCTATCATTGATGGTTATCACATGGTTATCACATTCTTTGGTTTTCATTTAGGAGCATATGTCTTGAGTAGAAATTTGGTCCTTTCCACACACTAAGCCTCACCTTCCTCAGAGGAAGAGCAGAGATTCATCCAACTTTGTCTGAGGTGGGAGCTGCTTCTCCACACCTTGGAGCTTGCAGAGACCCCTAAGTGCAGCTTCATTGAGTCAGGTGTGTCTCCATGTGGGGGACTTCTGCTGCCAGTGATTGCTGCTCAGTTCTAATTGTGGGTTCGGAATTAGGACACTTAGGTTATCACGCCTCAAAAATTACCATCATTATAGAGAAAAATAATAATACAATGCTAATCATTGTCACTTATTACTTATTATTATTGGAGTATAAGTTTGGAGAGACAAAATTGTTACCATATATTTGCATAAATGTAATGTCAGAATCTCCTGAATGGGTCTTGAACACTTACAAACTGGATAGAAGCAGATTCTTATTTTTTTTCTATACTGGTGTATTTTGGGATGTCAACATTTTGTCCAGAATCTGTGAGTACCAATAACTGTGTGTTTCAAGACTCTTCTTGGGTTCTGAGACAAGAAATGCCATTACTACCTGAAGGATTGAGACAACTTTGAACAATGTCAGAGCAATCATCTCTAATTGCTTCTAAACTTCAGTTTTATCAATTCTTATGCTCTCTGAATTATTTCTGATTTTAGCTATTAAAGGATTCTCTCTTTTTCTCTTAGTTAATTGAGCTAAGAATTTGTCTATTTTTTTAGAAAAAATCTCTTTGATTTGTTGATTTTTCTATTGCTTGTAAAGTCCATTTTTCACTTACTTATTTCATTTACTCTAAAGCCTCATAAACACATTGGTGACATGTAGATAGAGAATTTGATCGTAAATGCCATGTTTTTGTTAGACTCAGCTGATCATGTCAGGAAGCCCCCTGAGGGTTCTAGGAACTGACTGTGGCTCCCACCACTGGACAAGGATGAGAACCTCCATGCTTTGGGGATGGGAGGACATGCAGGGCAGTGTGAGGGGAGGAGGGTTGCTGGCAGGTCCAGCATTGCTTCCCCTGGCTGCACCACTCATGTCCTTCCTCACTCAGAGATTCAGTCATTTCTTCCCAGGTGGAAAAATCAGTTAACTTTATCTTTGATATATGGATGGGAGCCCAAGATAGAGGCTTGTCAGTCATTATTTCTGTGCCTGCTGCCTTGGGAATGTCTGAATTTCTTATGCTCTGTCCTGGGTCTATACCCCAGTGGCTCCCCTACTCCATGGCACCCACCTGTGCCTGTGCATGGCCCCTGATCACAGCCTCCGTGAAACATCTGGTTTGGCTCAGGAAGAACCCCCCTTGCCTTGTTTTCCTGCTGTCCCTGGTCCACATCCTTCTCCATCCACAGGCTCTCAGTGGTGCCTCCCATCCACACTGACCCTACATGGGGTCATACCTTGTCCACCACTTCCTCTCTCTTTTCTTCTGAGCCTTGCCTTTGATTCCAACAGCCTGTTTCCATCTCACCTGGACTTGTGTACAGGATGGGGTTTACCGAGCAGGCTTGGGTTGTGGAAACCCTGAACATTACTGAAAAAGTGCTTTCTCAAGCCAGGTCCATATTCAGCTCCTGGGAGATGATATCTGTTTTTTGGGCATAGACCTCCCGGTAGTATTTTTAAACCACTTTATTAAAGTAAGGTTTATATATGTAAAAGTATAGATTATTTAACATACTTAATTCATTGAGTTTGAAGTATACATCTGCAAAGCTGTCACCACAATCAAGGTCATACCCATAGCACTCACTTCCAAAACATTCCTCTTATCTCTATTACTATTATTATTAGCTAAAATGTATTTTTGTTTGTGTTTGTCTGTGTCTCTCTGTGTGTAGCCTGGGTGCACACTATACTAGGTGTTTTCATAATGACTTATGGTGAATGCCTATTATTGCTCAAGAGGCCGGCGTCTGAGCACTGGAGGTCAGTTGTACAGGTGCCACACACATCTGTGATGGGCCCCAATAAACAGCACTGGGCACCAGCACTCAGGTGAGCTTCCCTGGTGGACAATGCTTCACACATGTTGTCATGCATCACTGCTGGGAGAACTGGGGACAAGAGACTCCCCAGGGAAAGAACATCTGAGAGCTTGTTCCTGGATTCTCAGGGCCTTCCCCTTGCTGCCTTTGTTCATTTTAATTCATATTCATTTGCAATAATAAAGCTGCACCCATGAGAATAACAGCTCGTCTTGAGTCCTTTACTTCTATTATGTGGCCTGAGGATGGTCTTGGGATGCTCAACACAATTACATCAGAGGTGGAAATTGCTAGAAAGACCCTGACTACTGACACATGGCTAGAGCATTGTTTATAGTATCAAAGGATGAGAAAGTGTGGGATAAAAGACATTCAATACCTGGATGTCTGCAGAATCACATGGCAGGAGATGGCGTGTGTGCTCCAGTAAAGAGGAGGAAGTGAAAGTAATCAATGGAATTTGGAAATGGCAGACACAGCTCCCTAGGAGTTGTTCCCTGAATAACAAAAAGTAAAAATAATGAGGAACAACCCAAATATTCAAGTCATATCTGTGATAGCTAAAATAATAGTAAAAAGATGCACATCCAGCCTTGCACTGTGCCCTATGAGCTGAGGCTACTAGACTCCCATTCACCACCAAAGGGGACAGTTGTCCAGAAACAACACACAATACACAACAGCCACACAGAAGGTAGCCCAGGGGCTGGGCTGGGGCAGAGAATCCACTAGACAACTAGAACAAGGAGGACAGTGTGGAAAGTGGCATCATTCTGTGATATGATTGATATCATTAACTGATATCATCGGATTGTGAACAATATTAGCCAATGGACTATGAGAGTGACTGATGTAGCAGCTTGTCTTTGGCTTCATGTGCTGCAGAAAGGAGGAGTATGTTTGGGAGGATGCTGGACCCACAGCTCACAACAGACACATCACAGATGGCTCTAGCTGATTGCAACCTCAAATAAGATGTTCCTGATGGGTCAGCTTTCCTGGTGCACTGGATTCCAGATTGTGTAAAATTTCTCTACCCTGAGAATGAGACTGCCCTTCCTCTCTTTGAAATGCAAAGTGGGCTCTCCAGATAGGGAGGCTAATGCTGCACACGGAAGCCCTGCTGCTGTGTGTTTATGTTGATGCTGACAGTCACTGCTTAGCATGCACCTTACCCAGGTCATAGCCTGTGCTGTGTGTTTATGTTGATGCTGACAGTCATTGCATAGCATGCAAATTACCTAGGTCATAGCCTGTGTTGTGTGTTTATGTTGATGGTAATGGTCATTGCTTAGCATGCACCTTACCCAGGTCATAGCCTGTGCTGTGATAAAGAGAAGTCATTTTGCTTCTGCACCCCAGGTATACAATTCCTGTGGGTAATCTGGCAAATATTTTAGAAACTGTGTAGTTTCTGTTGCCTTGGCTTTTCATTTGGATCTTTTAGATGTTAAGGAAATGAGAGTGGTTCACAGGAAAATGGGGCAAATACAGGGGACAGTAAAAAGCCCCCTCCGAGCAATGTGGATATCATAAAATAAAAAAAATAAGAATAAAAGAACTAAACAGATTGTGCTGGGGTGGAATTAAAACAGCACTACCAGGAGTTGGGTGCAGCAATGGGGATCCCTTCAGGTCCATCAGCAATACAGAGACCTAAACAAATATTTCCTATTTAGGTTGAATTGGCAGAGTGTAAAATCTAGAAGATGAAATGGCCAGGAAACATTTGTCCTTGATTTTGCATGGGTGAAGGTCTGGCAGGTTAATCAAATTGAGGGTTGTTAAAGGCCTGGGGTGGTCCTGCCCTTTCTGGGTGCCCAGGCCATAGTCACATTCATGGGAAATTGCCATGGAATAAAGAGTAGTTTTTTGTGGTAGTTCTTGTTATCAGGCATAAGTGCATTTGAATTTTCTGTTCACGGCCTTTCCTGGCTCTATTTCTCATTTTTTTAACAGACATGATTTTATCTAGATTTGTCAACTTTCACAGGGTCACAGAGAAGGGTGGAAGGAGGGATGCCCTGGTTTGGGTCTTGCAGGACCACAGACAAGAGTGGGGAGGGGCAAGAAGAGGTTGTAAGGAATTATTGAGACCTATTCTGCCCCTCCCAGGAGGCTCAGTTCAGCCTTTTCTCTGCAACTGAGGTTCTGGGTTATAAACCCTGTAGACTCTTCCCTTCAGGTCAGGGCGGCAACTATGCAAATGCAAGTGGGGGCCTCTCCACTTAAACCCAGGGCTCCCCTCCACAGTGAGTCTCCTTCACCACCCAGCTGGGATCTCAGGGCTTCCTTTTCTGTCCTCCTCCAGGATGGGGTCAACCGCCATCCTCGCCCTCCTCCTGGCTGTTCTCCAAGGTCAGTCCTGCCGAGGGCTTGAGGTCACAGAGGAGAACGGGTGGAAAGCAACTCCTGATTCAAATTTTGTGTCTTCCATACAGGAGTCTGTGCCGAAGTGCAGCTGGTGCAGTCCGGAGCAGAGGTGAAAAAGCCCGGGGAGTCTCTGAGGATCTCCTGTAAGGGTTCTGGATACAGCTTTACCAGCTACTGGATCAGCTGGGTGCGCCAGATGCCCGGGAAAGGCCTGGAGTGGATGGGGAGGATTGATCCTAGTGACTCTTATACCAACTACAGCCCGTCCTTCCAAGGCCACGTCACCATCTCAGCTGACAAGTCCATCAGCACTGCCTACCTGCAGTGGAGCAGCCTGAAGGCCTCGGACACCGCCATGTATTACTGTGCGAGACACACAGTGAGAGAAACCAGCACTGAGCCCGTCTAAAACCCTCCACAGCACAGGTGCAGAGGAAGCTGCCAGAGACACACTCCCCAGGGGCCTCTCTATTCATCCAGGGAGGAAACACTGGCTGTGTCCTGAGGAGTGAGAACCAGAGAACAACGTGGGAGGGTTCCCAGTCCCTAAGGCAACTAGATGGGGCACCTGCTCCTGGGAGGTGGATTCTCTGAGGGGGCTCTTGTTCTACAAGGTTGTTCATGGTGTATATTACATGGTTAAAATAAAAAAGCTGTCTAATATGCACCTCTTAAGCATGACAGTCTTTTAATTAGTGAAAAGTCTACACAGTTAATCATTGCTGGCATGCTTTCCTCCCTCCTATCTTCTCTTGCTCCCTACATCTATTATTTTCTACTTAATTTTTCAAAATCATTTGATCCCTTTGTGAACTATTACTAGGTTCTGTTGTTTTTGTTGTTGTTTTCCTTTCAATAATATGTACTGAATAATTCATCTTTGTGCCAATTCATAAGTTCTTGGGTATAATAAATACTTCTCTCATAAAAATTAGATAAATTAAAATAAATAAATTTTAAAAAACATACAACCTATCAAAACTGAACCATTAAGAAATAAAAAATCTGGGCTGGTTGTGGTGGGTCATGCCTGTAATCCCAGCAGTTTTGGAGGCTGAAGCAGGTAGATCAGGAGTTCTATGTGAATCTGTGGTCAGGAGTTCAAGATCAGCCTGGCCGACATGGTGACACCAAGTCTCTACTAAAAATATAAAAATTAGCTGGGTGTGGTTGTGTTCACCTGTAGTCCCAGCCACTCGGGATGCTGAGGCAGGAGAATGGCTTGAACCTGAGAGGCAGAGGTTGCAGTAAGCTGAAATTGAGCCACTGCACTCCAGACTGGGAAACAGAGTGAGACTCCATCTCAACAACAACAACAAAAAAATCTGAACAGACCAATGAGTAAAGAGATTGAGTCAGTGATTTTTCAAACATCTCAAATCAAAGAAAAGTCAAAAATTTCATGGCTCCACTACTGAATTTTATCAAAAATTAAAACAAAATAACTAGAATCACTACTCAAATTTCCAACAAAATAAAGAGGAAGAAATACATTCAAACTTATTTTGGAAGGCCCTATTTCCAAAGCAAGGGAAAGACACTACAAGTAAATGAAACTACAGGCTAATATCCCTGATTATCATAGTTTCAAAAACTCTCAAGAGTGATGACAAACAAAATTCAACAGCACATTGACAGTATAATTCACTATGGTCAGGTGTGGTTTATCTCTAGGATGCAATGAAGTTTCAACCTGCAGAAATAAATGTGATATATCAAATGAAAATATTGAAGGACTAAAACCATATGCACCATATGTCCATGTCAATAGATGCAGAAAGAGCCTCTGACAAAATCCACCACACTCTCATTATAAAAAATCTGAACATATTATGCATAAAAGATATACAGCTCAACATAATAAACACCACATATCAGAAGTGCACATCTAACATTATCCTCAATGATGAAAATTTTATTTTCCTCTAAGACTAGAAACTAGACAAGATGCTCACTATCACCAATATTATTAAACACAGCACTGGGTGGTCTAGACAAAATAGGCCAGAAGAAAAAAATAGAAGTCATCCATATAGTAATGAATAAATTTTAAATATATGTTTTACATATTATATGCTCTTCTTTATGCAAAGCCCTAAAGACTCCACCAAAAAAGGCTGGATGTAATGAAGAGATTCAATAAAGTTGCAGAATACAAAATCAAACTTACATTTCAAGATGGCAGGTTAGAGGCATTGCTAGTATACCTCTTCCTCTTGGAAGGACAAACTGATATGGAGAGATGAACATTGTGGATTTATTTTCAAGAAGCAATGCAGGAACTGAACAAAAACACTGAAATAATCTACAAACTTTCCGAAAAAAGCAGGAAGCTGCAGCCTACACTGTGAGTCAGGTGAAGGGCTGCGAGTCCCCAGAGTTTGAGGGAAGAGTTTGCCTCTGGGATACACATCCACACCTGGGATCCTGAAAGTCCAGGCCAAAGGAGAAGGCCCCAACCTCACCCAGTGCAAGGACCCACTGTGCAGGGTTGTGGAATATAAAAGTAGGAACAGCAGGAAGACCCTTGCATAAACTCTCAGATCTCAGTGCGGTCTGAGAGCTGCCATTTCTTAAGGTTCTTCACAGAGGACCCTGGGAAGAACTGCCAAAAATTTCAGGCAGGGGTCACAGGTTGAAAGAAGCTCTCAACAGGGGTGTGTGATATAACCTAGAGGGGACGAACTCCCTTGGCCAGAGTCTGACAAGTGAAGAGTGAAAAGTGGGCTGCAAGTTCAGGAGCCATGGGTGCAGGAGCTGGTGCCTGGCTTTGCAGCAGACAGGAAGGAGCATGGCATGAAACCCATGGCTGCAGTCTCTATGGGGACAGCTTATAACTCCTGGCATTTGCAGATATTGATCACAGGCTGACTGGAACTCATCTCACTGCTGCCAATGGAACACCACAGGAGTGGCTCTGCCTCACCAAGTGTGTGGGAACTGTATGGGGCTTACCGTCACCTGGCTCTCACCACTCCCTGCACAAACTTCTATGCAGCAGAAGCAGATGTGCTGACCTCTGGAACATCAACCCAGTGGCCTGAGAACCACCCCTGTCCCCCACACCCACAGGGGCTGCTGCTTGCCCTGCACACAGAGACTCAGAGCAGAAACCCACCTGACCTAGCCCTCACCTTGCTTTGTGCAGCCACCTGCCCTGGCAATTTAACACAAAGGACAGCATCTTTTGGGAGCTACATAGCCACACCCACTGCCTGAGAATCCATAGTAGCCCCCATTCCTGGGCAACATAAGGCTTGCAAAAATCCCACTGCTAATAATGCAGCTGGTGCTCTTTCACAAACACCACCTCTTAGCTGGAGGCCAACCAACCATGCATTACAGTATCTCCTGGTAGAGTAACACTGCATCCCAGAAGGAGAAAATGACTGTGCGATCTCAGCTGTCACCATGGTCTGCACCACTCTGGATGAACGGGGGTCCCGAGTCTGTCCATGTGACCAGTTCATCACTACTGTAACCAGCATTCAAGAAAGCCAGCATAAGAAGGCCATCAATATCCAAGGAATTTCACAGAGTCTCCTTCACTCCCCTGCCACTCCCATCAGACCCGGTTCTGCTGCTCACTGTTGAAAAATGTGAGGACAGTTCACATCACCGGATCACTTACAGATATTTGCCAACACCAGCTTATAGACAGCCTTTCTGGAATACATCATGGTGACTGCATTCCTCAGAAGGCGCACTCTCCACGTTCTGGCTTGCAAGAGACACAGAGTCACAATTCCCCTCTATTCGGCACATCAACATTTGTACAGATGAAAAGACATGCCTGTCTTATCTGAATAGCTGGAATACTGTCTGAAAAGTGGATAGATTTCCTACTGATCTGGCAAGAGAGCTGAGGTTGCTCCAACCCTTCCCCGTGATAAGACCTCAGTGTGACTCACTAAAAGCTCCTCCAGCCACCCCTGTCAAGGCTGGGACTTAATTTACCCACCTGTTTTAGCCACAACTGCTTTCTACCCAGGGACAAGTCCCCCATTGGTCTGAAGCCTGAACCAACAAACAAGTAAACAAATCACTGGGGAAAAGCAAATAAACACGGGCATGCCACAGATGAATGAGATAAGATTTAAGAGACCTCAACCATTATAACCCCATAGAAGACAATGAACTTGCTCACACACTGAGTTGATTTCTACTGCAACCACCACATAGGAAAGCGATCACGCAAAGACTCTGTATAACCAGGGAGCTCCTACAGAGTCTTCATTCCCCTAAGGACCAAAAATCAAATCAGGCTGTAATTAATTATAAGCATAAAAAATCTCATTCTTAAGGGAAAAATACATTTAAAAACAAACAAACAGTCAAATCAAACTAGAAAATCTACCAAAACAAGAAGAAATGAGAAAAATAACTTGGGAAATATGAGAAAACAGGGTGGTATAACAGCGCAAAAAGGTCACACTACCTCTCCAGCAATAAACCTTAACCAAAATGAAGTCTTTAAAATACCAGAAAGGAAAATCAGAATGTTGATTAATAAGCTACTCAAGAAGATATCAAAAAAGGTGAAAATCATCATAAATAAATTTATATAAGCAGTTCAGAATATAAATATAAATTTTTATAGAGAGATAGATATCCTAAAGAGAAACCAATCAGAACTTCTGAAAATAAAAAAAAAAATGCAGAGAATTAGTAAGGGAACTACAAAATGCCATGAAAAGTTTTAAAAATAGACTAGAAAAAAAGTAAAATATTAGGAGAAAAAGAAAAAGGAAACAGTAGAAGAAAAAAAGAAGAAAAAAGTAGAAAGACTAGACTATTTTTGAAATAACCCAATCAGATAAAAATAAATATAAAAAGAGCCAAAAGAAGTGAGCAAAGTCTCCAGGAAATATGGGATTATGTAAAACAAATAAACCTAAGAATAATTGATGTTGCTGAAGAAGAAAAAAATAATAATAAGTTTGGAAAACTTCTTTGATGGAATAATTGAGAACTACTCCCCTGGGCTGACTAAAGACCTAGATGTCCAAATCCAAGAAGTTCAAGGAACTCCTGGAAAACTCATTGCAAAAATACCTTCACCAACCATACAGTCATTAGGCTACCTAAAGTCTACATGAAGGAAATAATCTAAGAGCAGTAAAACAAGACAAAACAAAACAAAGAAATCCATCAGACTAATGGCAGACTTCTCAGCAGAAACTTCACAAGCCAGACAGATTAAGGTTCTATCTTCAAACTCCTTAAACAGAACAACTTTCAACCAAGAATTTTTTTTTATCCTGTCAAACAGTTTTATAAATAAAAAAAGAAATAGTCATTTTCAGAAAAAAAAATGCTGAGCAAATTCGTCACTAGCAAACCAGCACTACAAGAAATGCTAAAAGGAGTCCTAAACCTTGAAACAAAAGCCCAATACGCACAAAAAATGGAACCTCTTAAAAATTAAAAACTCACAGGGCCCATTAAACAATGACACAATATAAAAGAAAACAAAAACTAGGTAACAATTAACATGACAAAGAAAATAGTAACTCATATCTAAATATTCACATTGAATGTAAATGGCCTAAATGCTCCACAAAAAAAATATGCAACTGCGTACTAGATTTAAAAAGTCACAATGGAAATACCTGATGTCTTTAAGAGACTTACCTAACACGCAAAGATTTATGTAAACTCAAGGTAAAATGGTGGCAAAAGGATTTCAACAAAAATAGAAACCAAGACTGAGCAGGAATAACTATTCTGATATCAGACAAAATGGACTTCAAAGCAACAACAATAAAAAAAAAGACATAGATGATCACTATACAATGATAAAAGGATCAATTCAACAAAAAATTACAATTATACATTTATATGCACCAAACACCGGCGGAACTAGATTCATGAAATAAGTACTACTAGACCTCAAAAACTGAGTTAGATAGCAAATCAATCATAGTGGGAGACTTCTATACAATAATGACAGCAATAGAGAGATCTTCGGGACAGAAAGTCAAGAGATAAACAATGTCCTTAAATGACTCACTGGAAGAAATGGATGCAGCAGATATTTACAGAACACTCTATCCAAGATCTGCAGAATATACATTCTTCTAATCAGCACACGCAACATTCTCCAAGGTAGAGCATGTAATAGGCCACAAAACAAGTCTTAATAAAATTTAAAACAATGAAATCATATCAAGTATCTTCTTAGACCATAGCAGAATAAAACTAAAAATCAACTTTCTAAAGAACTTTCAAAACTGAACAAATACATAGAAATGAAGAAATCTGCTTCTGAATAATATCTAGGTTAACAATGACATCAAGAAGAAAATTTAAAAATTATCTTAATTAAATGATAATAATGAGACAAGTTATTGAAACTTCAAAAATAAAGCAAAAACAGTGATAAGAGGAAAGTTTATAGTCCCAACTGCCTACATCAAAAAGTCTGAAACAGCATGTCACAACTCAAGAAAGTGGAGAAACAAGAGCAAACCAAACCTGGAGGCAGAAGAAGAAAAGAAAGAACAAAGATGAGAGCAGAACTAAATGAAATTCAAACAAAAAAATACAAAAAAATTCAATGAAATAAAAGCTGGTTATTTGAAAAAATAAACAAATTCATGGATCATCAGCTAGATTAACCAAGAAAAGAAGAGCAAAGATACAAATAAGCTCAATTAGAAGTGAAACGGACATTACAATCTACATAACTAATATAAAAAATAATTTAGAACCACCAAGTACATGTTCATGTACACAATGTAGAAGACTTAGAGGAAATGGTCAAATTTCTAGAAATCTACAAGTCTCATAGATTAAATCAATAAGAAATAGTTACTTTGAATATATAAATAACAAAGAGTGAGATTGTATCAGTAATTCGAGAATTGCCAACAATAAAAACAACAACAAATAGGGCCAGGTGAATTCACAGTTGAATGTTATCAAAAATTTACAGAAGAATTGCTACCAATTTTGCTGAAACAATTTTTTTAATTTAGAAAAAAAGAATCCTCCCTAAATTATTCCATGAAGCTAGTATAACCAAGATACCAAAACCAGGAAAACACACATACACACACACACACACACTCTCTCTCTCTCTACAGATGAATTTCCCTGATAAATATAGATGCAAAAATACACAAAAAATAATAGCTATCTGAGTTCAACAGCACATCAAAAATACAATTCCTCATGATCAAGCGGGTTTCATCTCAGAAATGCACAATTATTTGAACATACACAAGTCAATAAATGTAGTACATCACATAAACAGAATTGCAAACAAAAACCTTATGATTGTCTCAATAGATGTAGAAAAAGCATTGAACAAAATTCAGCATTTTTCATGATAAAAACCTCTAAATAAACGAGGCATAGAAGAAACCTGACTCAAACTAATAAAAGTTACATATGAAAAACCCACAGCCAACGTCATACTGAATGCAAAAAAGTTAAAAGCATTTCCCCTGAGAACACAAACAATACAAGGATGCCCACGTTCACCAATTTTATTCAACATAGTTCTGGAAGTTCTAGCCAGAGCAATTAGTCAGGAGAAAAAAAAGTATCCAAATTAAAAAAGAGAAAGTCAAACTATCACTGTTTACAGATCAAGTGATTATATCCTTAGAAAATCCTAGACTCCTCCTAAATAGTGTTAGTTTTAGTAAATGAATTCAGCTAATTCTCAGGTTACAAAATAAATGTACACAAATTAGTAGCACCACTGTACATTAACAACAACAAAGCTGAGAATTCAACCAAGAACTCCATCCAGTTTACAGAAGCTGTAAAAACATAGAATATTTAGCAATATACTTAACTAAAAGGGTAAAAGATCTCTACAAGGAGAACTACAAAACACTGCTGAAAGAAATCATAGATGACACAAACAAATGGAAATGCATCCCCTGATCATGGATTGGAAGAATTAGTATTGTGAAAATGACCATACTGCCCAAAGCAATCTACAGATTCAAAGCAATTCTTAGGAAAATACCCACATTACTTTCTACAGAATTAAAAAACAATAATGCTAAAATTTATATAAAACCAGAAAAAAAGCCCAAATAGCCAAAGAAATCCTAATAAGATAAAAAATTGGAGCCATCACATTACTGAACTTCAAATTATACCACAAGGCTGCAGTTACCAAAACAACATGGTACTGATATAAATGTAGGCTTATAGACCACTGGAACAAAATAGAGAACCCAGAAATAAAGCCACATATGTAAAGCCAACTGTTGTTTTGCAAAACATACCAAAATATGAATTGGAAAATATACACTGCATTTAATAAATGGTACAGGGAAAACTAGCAAGCCACATGGAAAAGAATAAAACTGGATTTCTATCTGTCACCATATAAAAGACCAACTCAAGATGAATCAAATTCTTAAATATAAGACATGAAACTCTAAAAGTTCTAGAAAACAATATTAGAAATCACTTTTACACATCAGGGTAGGTAAAGAACTTATAAATAAGACCCCAAAAGCAAACGCAACAAAAACAAAAATAAATTTATGGAACCTATTTAAACGAAAGTGTTTCTGCACAGCACAAATAATAGTCAACAGAGTAAAAAGACAACTCACAGAACGGGAGAAATTATGTGCAAACTTCACATCTGACAGAAGATTAGTATCCAGAATCTACAAAATATTAAAACAAGTCGCCAAGAAAAAAACAAATAATCCCATTCAAAAGAGGACAAGGGACATAAATAGATAGTTCTCAGAAGAAGATATACAAATGGCCAACAAACATATAAAAAACTGTGTAGCATCACTAATGATCAGGAAAATACAAATTAAAACCACAATCTAATAACACCTAATCCTGCAAGAATGGCCACTATAAAAAGTCAAAAAACAAAAGGGAATGCTTATACACCGCTGGTGAAAATGTAATTTAGTATAACCACTGTGGAAAACACTGTTGAGATTTCCTGAAAAGCAAAAAAGTAGATCTACTGTTTTGTTTTGTTTTTTCTTTTTTAAGATGGAGTCTCGCTCAGTCACACGGGCTGGAGTGCAGTGGCGCAATCTCGGCTCACTGCCACCTCCGCCTCCCAGGTTCAAGAGATTCACCCGCCTCAGCCTCCCAAGTAATTGGGATTACAGGCACCCACCATCATGCCTGGCTATTTTTTTTTTTTTTTTTTTGTATTTTTGTAGCGATGGGGTTTCACCATGTTGGCCAAGCTGGTCTATAACTCCTGACCTCAGGTGATCCTTCCCCCTCGGCCCCCTAAAGTGCGGAAATCACAGGTGTGAACCACTGTGCCCGGCCAGATCTACTGTTTGATCCAGCAATCTCAGTACTCTTTATTTCAAAGGAAATAAAGTCATTATATGAAAAAGATGTGTACATGTATGTTTATAGCAGCAGAATTTAACATTGAAAAGATGTTGAACCAATTTAAGTGCCTATTGACTAATGAGTTCATAAAGAAAATGTGACATCGCCTGTAATCCCAGCACTTTGGGAGGCTGAGGAGGGCGGATCACAAGGTCAGGAGATCGAGACAATCCTGGCCAACATGGTGAAACTCCATCTCTGCTGAAAATACAAAAAGTTAGCAGGGCATGGTGGCGCACGCCCGTAGTCCCGGCTACTAAGGAGGCTGAGCCAGGATAATTGCTTGAACCTGGGAGGCAGAGGCTGCAGTGAGCCGAGATCAGGCCACTGCACTCCAGCCTGGGTGACAGAGGAAGACACTGTCTCAAAAAAAAGAAAAAGAAAAGAAAATGTGACATACTTACACCATGGAATACTAATAAACCATTAAAGGGAATGACATAATGTCTTTTGCAACAACTTTGATGAAGCTTGAGGCAACTATTATAAGTGAAGTTACAGCAGAGTGGAAAAGTAAAAACTCTATGTTCTCACTTATAAGTGGGAGCTGGGCTATGAACTTGCACAGACATACAGCGTGATATAAGGGACTTTAGAGACTTAGAAGGGAAATAATAGGAGGGACACTAGAGAGAAAATAAATGCACTTTAGGTACAGTGTACACTATTCAGGTGACGAGTGTACTAAAATCTCAGAATTTATTGCTATGTAATTCATCCATCTAACAAAAAAAATCTTTACCCCTAAAGCTATTGAAATTAAACAAAAGTCAACCTACAAAAATAAGTATCTTCCGTATACACTAAAAAATGATTATTCAAAATTAAAATCAAGAAAATAAATCTAAATACAACAGCTTAAAATTCATAAAATAAATTTTACCAAAATAAATTTAACAAGGATACAAAACATCTGCACATTAAAAATTATAATATATTGATTAAAATGGAAGAAAACACAAATAAATGGAAGGCTATCTTGTGTTCTTGTGTTACTGGAACATACATTGTTAATATGTCCACCCTAACCTAAGCATTTACAGATTCAATGCAATCCCATTCAAAATTTCAAAGACATTCATTCACATAAATTGAAAAAAAAATTCTCTAATTTGTATTTCTGGGGTGACTGACCCTGACTATCAAGTTGAAATCAGACTACTACTCCACAATGGAGGTAAGAAACAGTATGTCTGGAATACAGGAGATTTCTTAGGGCATCTCTTAGTATTACTTTACCATGGGATTAAGGTCAATGGGAAACTACAACAACCTAATTCAGGCAGGAACACAAATGGCCCAGGTACTTCAGAAATAAAAGTTTGGGTCACTCAACCAGGTAAAAAAAACCTGACTAGCCAAGGTACTTATTGAAGGCAAAAAAAAAAAAAAAAATACAGAATGCGTGCTAGAAGAAGGTAGTTATCAATACCAGGAACAAGCATGCTACCAGAAGTGAGGACTCTAATTGTTATGAGTATTTCCTCCTTATCTTGTTAAGAATATATTTCTGCATGTATATAACTGTGCTAAGAAAATATCTTCACCGTGGCGGATGTGGTGGCTCATACCTGTAATCCCAGCACTTTGGAAGGCCAAGGTGGGTGGATCACCTGAAGTCTGGAGTTCGAGACCAGCTTGACCAGTATGATGAAACCCTGTCTCTACCAAAAATACAAAAATTAGCTGGGCGTGCTGGCAGGTGCCTTTAGTCCCAGCTTCTTGGGAGGCTGAAACAGGAGAATAGCTTGAACCCTTAACCCAAGAGGCAGAGGTTGCAGTGAACCGAGATCATGCCACTGCACTCCAGCCTGGATGACAGACTGAGACTCCGTCTCAAAAACAAACAAACGAACAAAAATATATTCATTGTTTTCATTGAATTTGTTTTCTTTTTATCATGTATCATAAGATTTATTGATTTCATATCAGCATTTAAATGTTGTTAAACGGATGTAGTGGCATTTAGGTTAAGGATTAGTGCACTTTCAGTTGTATGAAGGATAGCTGTATTATGTTAGGCATAATTATGACCTTATTATTGTCTTTATTTGGAGATCAAGCATGATTGCAGCTAGATGTGTAGGGGTGCTAAGTTGACAAGAGGTGGGCTTTTGATGGTTAATACTAGGTGTCAACTTGATTGGATTAAGGGATGCCTAGATGGCTGGGAAAATATTGTTTCTTGGTGTATCTCTTGGGGTTTTGCCAGAGGAGGTTGATATTTGAGTCAGTGGACTGGAAGAGAAAACCCACCCTCAATGTGGATGGGCACCATCCAATCAGCTGCCAGCACAGCTAGAATAAAGCAGGTGGAAGAAGATGAGATAGCATTGGTTGCTGTGCTTTATGTTTTTGTTTTGTTTTCCTTGCTGGCTGCCTTTTTGTTTCCTCCTGCCCTTGGACATGAGACTTCAGGCTCTTTGGTGGTTGGATGCCAGGGCTTGAAGGAGGGGCTTCCTGAGGGCTCCTGGGCCCTTTGTCAGAGACTCAAGGGTGCACTGTTGGCTTTTCTAGTTTTGAGACTTTTGGATTTAGACTGAGCCACTACCAGTTTGTCTCTTTCCGTGCTTTTAGAAAGCCTATCATGGAACTTTCATCTTGCAATTTTGTGAGAAAATTCTTTCTAATAAAATATTTATATATATACATATGTCATATTAGTTCTATTTTTCTGGAGAACCCTGAGTAATACAACTTTGATACACAAAACAACATTGTTGTACTCACAAAAATGTATGCTAACTAAAATAAGCCAACAAGTAAAAGTGCATAAAGTATAAATCTATTTCTACAAACCACAAAAAATGAACATGAATCTAAAGTAACAAAAAAGATCAGTAGTTGCTTAGGGACAGAGTGGAAAATTATATTTTTTCAAATGCTAAAAATAACACTCTCATCTACTATGAACATTGCTCTCTCCTCAGGTATTTCACCCCAGAACTGACTCTACAACAGGAGACATGCAAACAGGTTCCTGTTCATGTACTAACACTTCCTAGCACTTCTTTTTCATGTACTTCTTTGACTTATTTGTTGATGAAAGTTGATACCATAAAAATATCTAAACAGGGTTCACATTAGAGAAAAAGAAGAGAGTGACAGGAAGATTAAGCCAGAGCATCCAGTTCCAGTGATTCTTTGATCCTGCCCTCCCTGAAATCTAGAAGCAGAGGGATGAGCCATGCTGAGCAGAGCACACTTGTCCAGGGAGAAAGAGGAGAAAGAGGTGTAAATGTGTCCTTCCCATGCTCCCTGTCCATAAAGGGAACGTCAACTGATGTCTGTGCCCTTCCTTAGTGTCTACAACATAGAGTGTGTGCTAATCTGTGCTTCACTTTTTATCACTCTCAGAGGTAGGGCTTCTGTGGATCAAATACAGCTGTGGCTGCTCCTCAGCCTGTTCCCTCTGTATTCGTAATAGTCCTACATGAAGTTCATTGGTGGAATCTCAGATACTTTTTTACAAAGCCTCTGAATTTACCTTCATTGACTCCATCATTAGCTCAGCCCAGTAGTCTTCAGGCCAGGGGCTGGTGTTGGGGGGCAACAGTGAGTGATTTGAGTGGAATTTGTTAGTGGTACCCTCCATCAATACAAAGAAGAATCATAATCCTCAGGGACACCCTTGTCAGCACAGTCTCCCTCAAAATGACCAACCTGAGAGCCGAGAACAAGGTCACGTGTTACTGTGAGAGACACAGTCAGCAGACACCAGTGTGGTGAGTCCAGACGCAAACTTCCCTGCAGGGAAACAGGAGGGGACTGCAAAGTAGGCATGCTCAGACCCACCAGTGGGCGATGGGGACACACAGGAGTGCTCAGAATCCAGCAGGGGGCTCTCAGAACAACCAGGAGGCACTTAGAATGCTGGGGGAAGCTCAGGACACCAGGGGCCACACAGAACCACCGGGGGGCACTCACGACACAAGGGGGTTCTCAGGAACCACCAGGAGATGCTCGGAACCACCAGGGGGCGCTCATTAACCACTATGGGACACTCAGGACTAACCAGGAGACGTTCAGGAACCACCAGAGGGCGCTCAGAACCGTCAGAGGACAGTCAGAACCACCAGGGGGCGCTCAGGACACCAGGGGTTGCTCAGGACCCCAGGGGTTGCTCAGGACCCCAGAGGGTGCTCAGCAACAACCAAGTGGTGCTCAGATCCACCAGGGGGCGCTCAGGAAGTGAGGGGGTGCCCAGGAACCACCAAGGGTCGCTTAGGAACCACATGGGGCACTCAGAACCACCAGGGGGCGCTCAGGACACCCTGGGGAGCTCAGAACCACCAGGGGGCAATGAGAACACCAGAGGGCCTTCAGGAAACCAGGGTTCTCTTAGCAGGCAGCTCCTCATCAGGTCCCTGGGGAGGGTGAGTTTCTTTATTTAGGTCTTGTGATTCCTGACCTGGTGAAGCAAACGTCTTCCCAGGGTCTTTTACTATTTCTTCTTTAGAATCCATGGTTTCTCTCACCTACAAAACCTTAACTTAGAACAGGAGTTCAATTAAACTATTAATTCTTAATATTGTTGTAATAATACTAGTAATAATATCTCAGTACAATTTTAAAATGAAGAAATTGTGTATGCTTACTTCAAATTATTTCCACAAACAGCTTTTCGTTTCTGTGCTGTGTCAGTCACACTATCATAAAGGGTTTCTAACAATAACTCAGCATATGCATGGTGCTGAGTTTCTTTCTCTTTCATCCTCTGATTGTGACCCCTCAGGCTGTTTCCCCACCTTCCCTTTTTCTGTCCAAACCTTTCATATTCCTCAATTTCCATTCAAGGAACCAGCAAGTCCGTTTACATTGCCTCATCCGTGTCTGGTGAATCAGTTCACTTTCCTTCATGATCACCGAAGCCAATCAAGTATGGGCAGGTAAATGTTCTTAGAATATGTTCATTCAGACTCACTGCCCACCTCACCCCTTTCTAGGGTCCTGCAGACATCACCCACACCCCATCTCCTCCCTTCCCTAATTAACAGAGTGGGCTCTGCAGCTCCTGCTGCCCTCTGTGTGCTCAGCCCTGGGGCTCACTAGGGCTTTGATGATGAAGTCCACATCTCTAAAGTATTTGCGCACTCTCAGACCACCCTCTAGCAAGCTGCTGTTGTGAATGAATCCTGAGAATCCTGGGCAGATTTCAGTTCCACATTGCTGGATGTTCTCTAGCATTCAGGAGTATTAGCAAATAACTACCAGAGTGAAATTGGATGCAAAAAAATTTAAAGGAATACTTTTAAATAGAAATATTTTAATCTGACTTTTATGAAAATACAATGATAATACAATCAATAATGTAATAAAATTTTAATAGTAATGTTTATTACTTATTCAATTTGTGAATGACTGATATTCAAAAAGGATGCTGCTAACACAAATGAGAAATAAACCAACACAAAGTTCATAAATAAATACCATTGTACATTAAAGTAATATAATTTTCAAGAATGGCATTTATGTTAACTTTTACCAGAACATGCATTGAAATACATTTGTTTATTGACATTGGAATAGACAGAAATATATATATAGAAGAACATTATTTTAGACTACAATCTCAATTACTATAAACACAATAATTTCAATTCAATCCAATAATTAAAATATTATGCAAAAAGTGTGCCTTCTTTTTGTGTTTGAATATGCATTTATTTTTGGTTTTGCACATATGTGTATCATTGTTGAGCATGTGTGGTTTTTTTGGTGTGTGTGTGTGTGACTATGAAGTAGGAAATACATTATTAACTTATAGGGTTATAACAATCTAAGTTTTGCCATGTTAAAAGATAATAAAGAACACACAAGTAAAAAATCATAGTGTATTTCAAATGCCTCAGACTTCCACAGAAGTCATATCAATAATGAACATACTAGTTCAAGGTTTTGAAAAAGACACATGTAATAAGATATGTCAAATTGAATTAATAGAATATTGCTATGCAGTTGAGAAAAACATCATACAATCAGTCTCACTACTGGCCAAATAAATGCTTATGATAATAATACCTGTAGTCCATCCTATTGTAGAGAATAAAATAACTATATAAATGCCACTTCCATTACTAGAATTTAGTATTAGATACTTCTAATATTTTCCTGATACAAATAAACATTTGTCAATGTCTTAGACATTTCAAAATTATTTTAAAAAATAATTTGCATAATGTTTGTGATAGTATCATTTTCAACAACCTATTCCATAAGTTCTTATGGTTTTTATTTTTATCATAGTGCTTTTGCAGTTTACACACTTTTGATTTGTAATAAGTATAGATGACCAGAACAATTTTAGAAGAAATACATAGTGTGTTCCCTTCCATCTCCAAGTTTCTTCTAAGGTTAACTTTTACATAAACATGGCACATTCTACTAACACATTTATACCTATGGATTTATATTTATTAGACTCCAGACATTATTTGAGCTTCAACAATTTCCCAATATTTTTCTTGTTTGTTTTCCTTTTTTTTTTAAATATGAGGTCTGACTCCACTCTTGCTTTTGTTTGTTTCTTTGTTCCAAGGCTCAACCTGGGTCACCATATTGAATTCAATCACTCTTTACCTCTAATCTTTTTGGGTTAATTGGAGTCTGCATTCCTACTGTTTTCCAGTTGAACATTTTATACATGAAAATTAGCCAAGTAGGTTTTTACTGCCATTTAGGTAACTTAAATCTTTTCATATTTTTTCACTGTCTGTTCTTTCAATCACAATTGGTACTGAATTTTACATTTACTATAAATGTTAGTTTATTTTCTGAAACATTTGTTAAATCTTTTTTGATGTCTTCTAGAAAAGTAAACCCTTTATTCTGTGTAATATTTTTCTTCAGTCTTAACAGTATATTTTCTAATGACCACTTATTCTGAAATTAAAATAGCTTCTCAATAATTCTTTTCATTCATACTTTCATGGAACATGTCATCACATCTTCAACTTTCTATTTGTAAAAATACAGAGTAACTTTCTTGTAAAAACCTAAAAGTTGAATCTTTTTTTTAAGAAGCTATGACAAATTATCCTTTTAAACTTTTATCTCTTTTTCCGGTTAATTTTTTTTTTTTTGAGATGGAATCTCGCTATCATTGCCCAGGCTGGAGTGCAATGGTGAGATCTCAGCTTACTGCAACCTCTGCCTCCTGGGCTCAAGCGATTCTCCTGCCTCAGCCTCCCAAGTAGTTGGGATTACAGGCATGCACCACCATGCACAGCAAATTTTGTATTTTTAATAGAAACAGGGTTTCTCCATGTTGGTCAGTCTGGTCTCGAACTCCTGACCTCAGGTGATCCGCCTGCCTCGGCCTCCCAAAGTGCTGGGATTACAGGCGTGAGCCACTGTGCCCAGCCTGTTAATTCTTGCTTTATTTTGGCATTTTATTGTAAAGTTTATCCTATTAACTTACTTATGACTTAATTTATTTTTATTAATGTTTTGTTGGCTACCACAAGGTTTGCAATAATAATTTTATATCATCAGATTCTAACTCAGATAATGATATTTTTGTACCAGTTGTTCCCTTCTACAGCTTCAATATTCTCCACTGTTACAATCAATCACCTTCTAGATCTGCTGCCATGCCCTGCAGATTAAGGATTTTATTCCATGACAGAGTGGAGGTGCAACTTGATGGAACTTTGATGAGAACCTCGGTTTTTATCCCATGTCCTTTAGGGCTCCATCAGTACCTCTGGAATAATGGTTTCAGTGGCTTGCCCCTGCAGGGTAGATAATTCCTTATTTCTATAGTGCTAAGGAGGGATTGTGTCTGAATGCATTTTAGAAGTATGTGGCCTCCCTCTGTCTTAGAAAGACACTTTGGGAAATAAAGATTTTTCTCACTGTCCCCATTCTAGGGTAAAGGGATTCACTAGGATAGGAATGCTGATCAAAGAAAACCTTCAGGCAAATTAAATTTAAAAGAGTTTAATTGAGTAATGGATGATTCATGAATCAGGCAGCCCCCAGAATAGATTCGAAGAGGCTTGAATGTAGCCACATGGTGGAAGAAGATTTATAGATGAAAAAAAAATGATGTACAGAAATTAGAAGTGAGGTACAGGAATGACTGGATTGGTTACAGGTTGGTGTTTGTCTTATTTAAACACAGTCTGAACACTCAAGGGTGTATGAGTGGTTAAGGTATGGCTACTGGAATTGACCAAGGCTCAGCTATTGTTACAGGTGCATACTCCTAAATTAGGGTTTCAATCTTGTCCACACATTCAGGTAGGTTACGGTTTGTCCACAAGGACTCAATCATAGAAGTACGGAGTCCTTCTCAGGCCATATTTAATTCACTTTTTCAGTGCCCTTCAGTATGTGGTTCCTGAGAATTTCACACGACAACACGTTTTCCACACTGGAATTTAAGCAATCCAACACGTATTTGTCTTTATCTTGTAATAGGCTATATTTCATATGGCAGCCTCTGCCTCAGTTTAGTTAACACCATGGCTTTGTTTCTCTCTTGGAGAAACAAGAACTTGTTTCTCCCAAGATTTCCGTGTTCGTGAAAGGAAAATATACCTTTGGGACCCCCAAATCACTAAGCCAAATGTGAAAGTGAAGCTGAAAACTGGGGCAAACCCACCTCCCATTCTTTCCCTAAAATGATAGCTACTAAGGTTTTTAAAAGCTGCATACCTCCTTCCCGATTTGACCACAAGGAAAATCCTTATGAACCAAGGACAGACAGAATAATTTCTCTGCTCACGTAAGTCAAATGCATATCTGATTGCTACCTTTGCTCTATTGTTTCGCTGCGTGAAAAATAGGCCTACGTGACTATTCCTGTAAATTGTGCATTCAGTTAATGGCTAATCAGAAACTCAAAAGAATGCAACCATTTGTCTCATATCTACCTATGATCTTGAAGCTCTCTCCCCACTTCGAGTTGTCCTGCCTTTCTGAACCAAACCAATGTACATCTTACATATATTAATTAATGTCCCATGTCTCTCTAAATTGTATAAAACCAAGCTGTGCCCCACAACCTTGGGCACATGTCGTCAGGACTCCCTGAGGTGGTGTCACAGGCATGTCCTTAATCTTGGAAAATGAACTTCCTAAATCTATTGAGATTAGTCTCAGATACTCTTTGGTTTACAGGTTTATTTTTTATCTTATAACTTGTATTATCTGAAATATTAAAGAAAATTTGCCAAACTACACATTCTCTTGTTTAATCTGTTATTGTTTTTATAAAGGGAAATATATTTATATAATTTATGTATAATTTATAATTTATGTACATTATGAAGCTGAGTAGCAGAATTATTAATAAGATCTAGAGTAATAAAAAATTCCAGGATCAATTATCAGCTTAATAGAAAAAGAAATTATGCTACATTTGTTTGCTGAAATGCTACCCATTTATAAAATATAAACACACACAACAAAAAGGTTTAACTCTCAGCATTTCTATTGAGAAAAATAAGCCAAATAGTTAAGATATATACTATATTACTTCATTCTTATAAATTCTAGAAAATAAAAGCTAGTTGAAAGAAATATGAAAACATCAGTAGTTTTATAAAGAAATGGTAGAAGAAAGGAAGGAGAAAAAACAAAAAAAATAAGAGAGCAAGAGGAATCCTGAGGGAAGTTGACTTGTCACCTTCTTGAAAATAGAGATTTTTTTTCAATGTTTACTATTGTACAGGTTAAATATGTGAATTTTGTTATCTGTCAATTAAAACGTATGAAATTTATTACAAGTAAACAATTGACATTTTAGACAAAATAGGAAATACAGCAAGGAACAAATAAATATGTTAAATGTCAGATATACCTAAATATTTATCTACCTGAATCTTGTCTCCACATTTGTAAGTAAACACAGCAAAATCAGACAGGTTCTCGTGACAGGAAGTGGATTCTGCAAACCACACTTGGCCCGTTTATCTCTGTCCTGTAGTTGGTTCAGAGCAACTGAGGCCAGTTGTGAGGAGCATAGGCCCAGGTACTAGGACTCACTCATGCCAGATATAAGCCCTTAGACACATACATAGCCCCTCCATGTGTGGGTTCACTTTTACGTCTGTACATGAAGAAACCACTGATTCCTAAATAACATAATTTATACACATAGGTAAACATAATTAAAAATGTGATAGTTATTAAATGTTTATCATGGAACAATTTCACAATAAGTCAGCATTTTCCCAAATACAATCATTGTCATCGAAATCCCCAAGGACACTCTCATCTGCCCTGGGCCCTGCCCTCTCCTCAGGCGTCCCACCCCAGAGCTTGCTATATAGTAGGAGACATGCAAATAGGTCCCTCCTTCTCCTGATGAAAACCAGCCCAGCCCTGACTCCGCAGCTCTGGGAGAGGAGCCCCAGGCCCGGGATTCCCAGGTGTTTCCATTCAGTGATCAGCACTGAAGACAGAAGACTCATCATGGAGTTCTGGCTGAGCTGGGTTCTCCTTGTTGCCATTTTAAAAGGTAATTCATGGAGAACTAGAGATAGTGTGAGTGGACGTGAGTGAGAGAAACAGTGGATATGTGTGGCAGTTTCTGACCTTGGTGTCTCTTTGTTTGCAGATGTCCAGTGTGAGGTGCAGCTGGTGGAGTCTGGGGGAGGCTTGGTCCAGCCTGGGGGGTCCCTGAGACTCTCCTGTTCAGCCTCTGGATTCACCTTCAGTAGCTATGCTATGCACTGGGTCCGCCAGGCTCCAGGGAAGGGACTGGAATATGTTTCAGCTATTAGTAGTAATGGGGGTAGCACATACTACGCAGACTCCGTGAAGGGCAGATTCACCATCTCCAGAGACAATTCCAAGAACACGCTGTATCTTCAAATGAGCAGTCTGAGAGCTGAGGACACGGCTGTGTATTACTGTGTGAAAGACACAGTGAGGGGAAGTCAGTGTGAGCCCAGACACAAACCTCCCTGCAGGAACGCTGGAGAAAAACAGCTGCAGTGGGCGCTCAGGACCCACTGATCAGCGTCAACCTCAGAGGCAGGTGCACAAGGAGGCTGATTTCCTGTCACGATGTGGGACTTCATCTCTTTACAGTTTCTCTAGTGAACCTCTCTAAGTTCAGAACTCTGTGCTTACTAATGTCATCTGTACATATTTTTTAAAATGATTATTTTAATATGAAAACCTATTCTCCTGTGTACAAAATGCGGATTGATCCTTACAGAGGAGATGAAAACTCCTCAACCATGGTCACCATGATCAGAGTTCTGAGGAAACTAGGGGCTTCCTGGTGAGTCTTCTCCAATCAAATTCAGGACAGGAACCTCAGAAAGATTCCTGACTAGAACTGAGGTATTGCTCCTCACAAGAGAGCTCTAGCTCCGGGGGGTCTGTTCCTGCAGACCCCTGATTCGGTGGTGTATGAATAAAATGTACACTGACACACAGATACTCTGTTTTTCCAGTGCAGCTGAGGGTCCGAGGCCACTTACAGACTCCAAGAAGAATCCTGTAAAGAATGGCAGCAGTGGCCCTGAGCAGCTCGCACTCCAGGCGTGTATTTAGTATAGAATTAACAACAGAAGCTCTGAGTCAACACACTTGTGGATAATTAACATGGTTAAGAGAGTAGTTCTACGAATGAGTAAAGCTCAGGGACTGTGGTCTGAAGTAAATACCATTAGGGGGCAATATTCTTGGTCGACCTCCCGCTGAGAGGGTCTTCTGGCTTAAAGGTTAGTTAATGGGGTAGGGTAACCAGACTTAACTGGGGAAGCCTCTGTTGTCCCTAGTATTTACCCTACAACCTAATGCTCTAAGGTAAGAACCGGCCATCTTCAGCCTGTTCAGTTATTGCAAGCTATGTAAACTTCCGGCCTTCCAAAAAAGTTTGTGACTATTTCCTATAACTTTCGTTAATATTTCCCTTTAATATTTCTGCCACCATCCTGAATGAATCCCAGCAAGAACAGTCTTTGGGGATTCTGATTACAGAAAAAAGAGAGGCTGGGCCAGGGTCAGTGTCATGTAGAACCTCACAGCTTTCTTGTGGGACCCTTCTCCTGACACCGAAGTATGCAAATCAGCATCAGCACTGATCTGGTGCTTCTTTTGTTCCTGATTCATTTACTTTCTTTTTTAGTTGTTGTTCTCATTTTTCCATTTGCTTTTCCTGCTTTCTGAGAAACAAAGATGTTTTTGCTGTGGTCAAAATTCCAGGCCTCAAGCCCTTTTCCTGGAGCTCAGGTGGGTCTCAGGCTGTGGCTGCTGCAGTCACGTGGGAGAGGCTGGTGGGACTTTCTTCACTCCTCGTCACTCAGGACCCTCCACTGTGTTGCATGGAGACTCATGTCGAAATACAAGTTGCCAGTGAGAACACAGGGGACAAGCTTGTTTGGTTAACGTGGGATGTGGATGTGTTTCTAATCCTGTTCTGAAAAACCTTCACACAGTAACGTTCTTCACTAGTGGAGGAGGAAGTGGGTGTGAACGTTGTCAGAATAAAAATGGAGCCACGTGTGTTATAATCTTTACAGGTGAAGCTGGAGGAGGTCATGAATAGAGGGTTCTCATGCACACATCCCTGATAACAAGAACTACCCTAAAAATACTCTGCACAACCACAACCTTGAACAAAGGCTACCACAACAATAAGAGAATTAATACTGTGGGGATATCTGCCCTGCAACTCCCTGTTCAGCCTTAAACTGATTCTACCCTTGTTATTGATTCTTCTACCCCAGGATAATTGTCTCAAAATAGCTCATGTAATCTTCTCATTTATCCTTTAGAATACTTGTCTTCCTTTACCAACCTAAATGTGACCATGGATAATCCCATTGCAATGCTCATTTTCAAATAAATACGATTTGATTTTGGAGAATCTCTTTCTGTCTGATATTTAGGTTTGACAAGATGCAGACCACTTTCCTGTGAGATGTAGGGAATGACAATTTTTGGGGGTGGCTGGAAACATCCAATACTCTCAGGGCCGGCCATCAGTAAATGCAGGCTGGATGTCTTAGAAAGAGCTCAAGGTCCTTAATCACCATGGAGTTTTACCTTCTCCAGATCTGTTCTGATGGAATCAAGGCCAAGCTGGTTATCAAAGATAATCTACCTATCATAGAGTCAACTGATTACAGTTTTAATAAAGTCTATTAAAAATCCACACTACCACCTGGATTAGTGTTTGGTCAAATAACTACAAAGTATTGGCCAGCCAAGTACACCATAAGACAGACCATTACCCATGTAGAAAAACATTTAACATGAGTTCTAGGTTCTTATATTGTTAAAGGTGTAAAACCGATTATTTTTAAATTACGCTATTTTTATTTTATCGAGTTGTAGAAGTTTCATTTACGTTTTGGATGTTAACACTTCTTTAGATACATGGTATATTATCCAATTCTGTGAGTTGGAATTATTTCGTTGCTTTGCAGAATCCTTTTTTAAATCTAGTCCCACTTGTCCAATTCTGTTTTTTTTTTTATGTCCTTTGAATGTAAAAGCCAGAAAAAGATTGCTAATTTTTTGAGGGTTGGGAGTTTTACAATTGCAGGTATTTCATTTAAATATTGAATTCATTTAGAGTTAATTTTTTTTGTTTATTCTAACCTAAAATTCTTAATTCTTTGCATGTGAAAATCCAATTTTCATAACCTGCTCTTTGGAAGTCACTATAATTTAGCAATTGTATATCGATTGTTCTCATGCTGAAAATCAGCTGGCCATCAGTATGTGGGTTTATATCTCAGCCCTGTATGCATTTATGCCAATACCATTCTGATTTATTACTCTGTGTTTCTAATAAATGTTGAGGCCTGGAAGTGAAATACCTCAAGCTTTCTTCTTGCCTTGTTTCAGATATTAGACCAAAATATTCTAACCTTTTACTATTGAGTATAACAATAGCTGAGACTTTTCTTAATGGCTTTTATTATGTACAAGTTGTTTGCTTGTCTTCATACTTTGTTCAGAGTTTTTATAATGAAACTCTGAATTTTTTTTCAAATGTTTTTGTGTCTGATGAAATGTTACTGAGATATTTTTTCTTTAGTTTTTTAATGTGGTGTACCAAATTGATTGATTTGAGAATGTTGAATCATCTGTGCATCTCAGGAAGAAATTTGAGTTGGTCATGGTGTATGGTCTTCTATAAAATCTTTAGAATTTATTTTACTGTTGTTGGACGGTTAATTTATGTCTATTAATGATATTGATCTATGGTTTTATTTAATTGTGGTTCCTTTGTCTATTACTGGTAATACTGTAACGGTAGCCTCATAGAAAGAGTTTGGAGGGTTTGTTGCAGACTGCCTTTAAAATAGATTTTATCAGTGGAGAAACGGTGATAGTTTTTTTCTTCAGTTTTCTGTTGGGAATAGTTTTATGTATTTTAAAAGATATTTTGAATGACTTAACCTGCTTAAAGGGCTTACATAATATTCCTTTCTTCCATGCTTTTTAAAGAACTGCTTACCTTTCCTAATTATTTTTAGGGTGATTTTTTTCATAAAGATTGTGCAATACATTTTGAGGTGAAACTTAGTGGATTTTTTCTAATGAATTAGAAATAATAAATCACTTAATTGACTATTGTATTAAGGTTGATTTGTTGAATATTTGCTAAAGGCCAGTTCTTTAAGCTGTGCCATGTACTAAATCCCTAACCGACTATTTTATTCAGGTTGATTTGTTGAATATTTGCTGCAGACCAGTTATTTACGCTATGGCATGTAATACATCCCAAATGGCAGTAAGTCATTGTTTATTTAGCTTTTGTGCTTATATTTTTCAGAGGAAAAAACACTACTGTAAATTGTAAATAGCCAATACATAACAGTATTGTATGCAAATCTGTGACTGTTGGCAGTGTCATCTCTGAGAAACAGATAAAGTTTATTTACTATATATAAAAAAAAGAGTTTGGAAGGTGGACTCCTCACCAATTTTTGAAAGAGTTACGGAAGGGTTGCCATTACTTCTTTAAATGTTAAGACTCATTTTATGATTTAACATATAACCTATCACGGAGAATGTTCAATGGGTGCTTGAGAAGGATGTGTATTACATGGCTCTTGGTTGGAAGGTTCTGTAAATGTCTTTCAGGAAAATTTGTTCAACAGTGTTGTTCAAGTTCAGAGGCTTGTTAACAATTCTCTTTCTGAATTTGCTATACATTATTGTTAAGTGAGGTATTAAGGTTTTCCCATATTTTTATATTGTTTTCTATTTCTCTATATATGCATATATATATTAAAGTTTGCTTAATGCATTTATATTTGTATTTGTACACATGTGTAAAAAATAAAATAGTAATTGCCTAGTGAGTTTCATGGCACAGTCACATTATGAATAATCATATTTTCCCAAACGCTGCCATTCCACTAACTCCTCCAGATACATGGTATATTATCCAATTCTGTGAGCTGGAATTATTTCGTTGCTTTGCAGAATCTTTTTTTGTTAATCTAGTTCCACTTGTTCAATTCTGCTCCTCCAGGAGTCTCATATCTCCTCTGGGCACTGCCTTCTTCTCAGGCATCCCACACTGGAGCTTACTATAGACGAGGAGGCATGAAAACAGGACACTCCCTCTCCTGGTGAAAACAATCCCAGACCCAACCCTGCAGCTCTGGGAGAAGAGCCACAGCCCTGGGATTCCCAGGGGTTTCCATTTTGGTGATCAGGATTGAACACAGAGGACTCACTATGGGGTGTGAGTTAAGCTGATTTTTTCTTGTTTGTATTTAAAAAGGTGACTCATAGACAACTAGAGTGAGTGGATATGAGTCAGAGAAACAGTGGATATGTTCGGCAGTTTCTGACCAGGATGTCCATGCATTTTCAGGTGTTCAGTGTGAGGTGCAGCTGATTGAGTCCATAGAGGACCTGAGACAATCTGGGAAGTTCCTGAGACTCTCCTGTTTAGCCTCTGGATTCACCTTCAGTAGCTACTGAATGAGCTGGGTCAACAAGACTCCAGGGAAGGGGCTGGAGTGAGTAATAGATATAAAATATGATGGAAGTCAGATATAACATGCAGACTCTGTGAAGCGCAGATTCACCATCTCCAAAGACAATGCTAAGAACTCGCTGTATCTGCAAATGAACTGTCTGAGAACCTGAGGACATGGCCATGCATGGCTGTACATAAGGTTCCAAGTGAGGAAACATAGGTGTGAGTCCAGACACAAAATTTCCTGTGTCTGGAAATTTTGAAAGAAGAAAGAAGAAAGGAGTCTGGGCCGAAGGGGACACTCAGCACTCACAAAACGGGTGGAGGCCTAGGGCAGGTACAGAAAAGCAGTCAAGGGCTGCTGTCCTTCAGGATCTGTGCCTTCCTCTGCATATAGCAGGTGCCCTCGAATCCTCTGCACTTTTATGTTTCTGTGCCTACCATGAGGTCCCTGGATTACAAAACTTTAATTTGAAAGAGGAAACATTCTTATATGTCCCAAAAACCGATGTAAGTATTGGAGGTGTAAAAATGCACAGGCAGTTGGATGAGGCTGTAGACACTGCCAACCCACAATGCCAGTCTCACAACTAGCACTGGAGAATAGTGGGAGTTCAATGGAGCTTCCTACCTATCTTGTGGTCCAAGCTAACTCCAGCGAGGCCATTGGTGCCATCAGGGACCTCCCATATGTCCCAGCAGCAGCCATGCCTCAGTATCTCTATTGTGCACAGCCATAGTCTGGGAGGAGCTCCCAGGATGGGTGTCTTTGGCACACACAGGTGATGGGTGTTAGAGTGTAGTGCAGCAGCTGGCTGCCTGGTCTATTGGGCTCCCTGATGTTGGAGGGATTAGAGGTGGATTCTCAGGGCCAGCACACTGGATTTTTGTATGAAAACCATGATTTTACTTCATTTTCTCAGATGACATAGATAATTAATAACACAATCTGCAAACAATTGTAATTTTCAGCTTTAGCCCAAATTCATTGTTTCTGAATTCTGTGCAGGATCCAGACATGGTACTGCCCTTCTCATGAGAAATTGTTCGACCTAAACTGAAACCAGTTGTTTCTCGTATACTTTGGTTCTCCCCATGTGCAGAGATCTTGATTAGAGCAAGTTTGGTACTTTCCACGCACTCACCCTCACCTCCCCAGATAAAGAGCAGAAGTTCTCCTTAGACTGAGTCTGAGGGAGGAGCTGTTCCTGTACCACTCAGGGCCTGCGGAGACCCCCAGGTGCAGCTTCACTGAGTCAGGTGTTTCACTCCCTGTGATTGCTGCTCAGGTCTAATTGTGGCTCGGAATTAGGACAGTCTTCAGGTTATCACAGGTCAATCATATTCTAAAAATCATCGTTATCACACACCATGGTAACAATTCAAGGTTCATTTTTCTAACGGCAGTTTCTCTTTTTTATTTGGTTACAAGTTTGAGGAAAGGAACATCTGATAATACTTTTTAACCTAACCTCGAAATCTACTGAATTGTTCTAGGAGACTCACAAATTGGACAAAGTGAGCTCTTTATTCTCATAAAAATGTGTGGTTTTGGGAATTTCACTGTGTTGCCCAGAACCTGTTAACATCAACAACTATGTTTCTCAGCACACTTCTGGCTTGAGACGTCCTTGCAGACCCTCTCCCTCACTTGCACTGTCTCTGGATTCCCCATCATAACCAGTGCTTCCTGCTAAATTATATCTGCTTGCCCCTAGATGGACAGGAGTGGATCAGGTGCATGGGTTGTGAAGGGAGGACAAATTACAACCACTTCTCAAGAGTCCATATCCAGATCCAAGAAACAGTTCTTACAGCTGAGCTCTGTGCCCAGTGAACACACAACTACGCATTTTTAAGCAAAAGACACAATGAGGGGACTTCATTATGAGCCTAGACACAAATCTCCCTGCAGGGGTGCATAGGACCAGCAGGGGGCACTCGGGGCAGCATGGGGACTTAGGATAATTGTCGGGGATCAGGATGAGCAGGATCAAGGCTCAGCATTGGGACAGGTGCAAGAGGGCAGAAAAGGGGCTGTAGATGTGGGTTGTTTTCGTCATCATATTTCACCAACAGACACCCTCCACTACATCTCTTCTAATGTATCTGAGTGTTTATATGATTATAAAATGGCATTTATGTAAATACTAATATATACCCATATGAAGGTGCATTGAGTGGTCCTCGCCATCTCATGTGGCCCTTGTCCATCAAGCAATAAGTCCCTGTATTCACTTGAGTACCTCAAACATTACAGTCCAAACATGTAAGGTTTCCCTTTTTCTTGGTCTCTCCTCCTCCCTTCTCTCTCTGTCACACAAACACACATGAACTGACACACACACAGAGCTTCCCAACTTTAATTATCTGATGTATTGAAGCAAACTGATTAATATGCAGCTTTTCTGCTTTGCCTCCCATTTATGTTGTGGTGAAAATAAGAACCATGTGTTTCTCAGCTGGGCACTTCTCTAAGTTAAGTAGCAGCTTTGTTTATTACAACCAGAGAGCAAAAGTAATCCAGGTGTTAGTCAGCAGCTTAAGAGGTCAACAAGTTGTGGAAAATTCATTTACTGGAATAATACCCACTGTTACAATCAAGTACTGTTGGATACACTCAACACCATGCTTAAAATAACAAGTACCTGAATAAGTAAAATAAGTCAAACAAATAAAAGTGCATACATACAATTCCACTTCTATAATTTCTCTGAAGTAAAAATGAACTTAAATAAAAAGGTCTGTAGTTGACTGTGGATGTGGTACAAGAAGAGAAGGTGTGGAAAAGAGAAACTACAGAAGAGCAAAAGGAAATTTCTAGGGTAACTGATTTTTTTCTGTGTTAGTAAAAGTGAGGATTATGTCAATATTTGTAAAATTGTCCACTTTACGTAAAGATTATTATTTGCTAATTTCACCTCATTAAAACATTGCAAATTTTAAAATGTATAATTTGTTAGAAAAGGTGCTAGAGAGAGATTAATAAAATACGTAAAAGTCAGAGACTCCTGAATACACACATGAATGAACCCTGGGTCTCGCTCTACTTTTAGGGAGACACTAGAATACAAAAACATAATGACAGGATTACAGTTCATGAAAGGAGCTTCTCAAACCCCAGGAGGCATGTCCAACTGCGTCCTGGAGTTAACTCAGGGAGCAGGCATGTCCTTTGGAAGGAGCCATGACACCAAGCTCCCAGCATCCATTGTAGCTGACACCATGCAAATGCCAAGAGATCTCAACTAAAATTTTCTGTGGATGTTGAGTCTGATTATGCCACACACTCACACCAAGTGAGTATGGTAAGGATAGTTACCTGCATCCTTAAGGTGTCTGCTGAGAGCAGGGCAGGTCTCTCATTAAGGTCCAAAGTGGCTTGATAAAGCAGGGAAGGAGACTGGCTCAGGGTTGTTATCATGATTTTGTGGTGTGGGCATCCTACTGGCAGGAAGGGTTTTGTGGGGTTTCAAGGTCAATTTGGCATCAAATAAGGGAGCTCCTGTGATTTCTAACTAGATTTATCCTGTGTGCTTTAAAAGAAAGAGAGATGATGGAGGAAAGAGCCTTATGCTATTAGCAATCAGGCATAAAAATAGAACCTGATGACTTACTCTAAATAGCAAGTATAAAAATAATGAGGAAGAAAAGAGACAAGATTCCAATATGGGTGGACAACAACCAGGTCTGCAGAAAATGAGAAGACTGTTTATAAGCAAAGAATAATGAGTAGAAGGAGGATATGAGAAGGATTCTGGTCCAATATCTTGTGTGGAAGCTTTTCATGATTCGAGATCATCAGCTTATTCTGAAGGTCTTAGGTCACCTGTCTTCTTCAAAATATCAGAAGTTCCAGAGGATATGTGAGGATGCACAGTTTAACTTCCTCTATTTGAGTAGCTTTACAATTGTGTAAAATTCTTAATTCTTTTTTTTAAGATGAGTTCTCACTCTGTAGCACAGGTTGGACTGCAGTGGTGTGATCATAGCTCTCTGATTTTAAATTCCTGGCTCATAGAATCCTTCCACCTCAGCCTCCTGAGTAGCAAGTAGCTAGGTCTAGAGGGCCCTTCATCTACACCTGGCTGATTCCTTTTTATTCATTTTTTCATAGAAACAGGGTCTCTCTATGTTGCCCAACCTGCTTTTGAACACCTGGTCTCATGCAATTCTCCAGGCTTGGCCCATCAAAGTGTTGGGATTACAAGTGTAAGCCACCTCATCCAGTAGTCTGCACTGATTTTTTTGTTATAAAGTATGAATCCAATAATTGATTCCCTGGATTTTTTCTGCAGTGCTGTGGTTAAAAGTACCTTATAAGATTCCTTCCAATGTGGCTGAAGAGCAGTGTTTTTCCCTAATGTTTCTTCCAATAGAAATGATTTTCTGGTTGAAGTTCACAAGAAACTGTTAAAAAGATACAGTAAAAAGGCAGCCGTAAACTGTTGGTGATTCGAGTGTATATAATACAGGAATCACTTTCTATATTTTGTAACACATGCATGCAGCAGGAAAAAGGTGAGTGATGAGAGTCAAATCTCTGAATGTATGGGCCTCCCAGATACAATTCATAGGCTAATAACTGACGTGCCCCAAGGAGTGAAATGTGATGCCACACATGCTAGCAGGAGAACACGTGGCCAAGGAAGTTTTTTATAATTTCTATTTAAAAATGTCTATTTCCATTTTTTATTTTTTTTATATTTTCCTACTTTATTCAAAGGAAAGATCTAAAATTGACACCCTAACATCACAATTAAAAGAACTAAAAAAGCAAGTGCAAACACATTCAAAAGCTAGCAGAAGGCAAGAAATAACTAAGATCAGAGCAGAACTGAAGGAGATAGAGACACAAAAAATCCTTCAAAAAATCAATGAGTCCAGGAGCTGTTTTTTTGAAAAGATCAACAAACTTGATAGACCACTAGCAAGACTAACGAAGAAAAGAGAGAAGAATCAAATAGACATAATAAAAAATGATAAAGGGGATATCACCACCGATCCCACAGAAATACAAACTACCATCAGAGAATACTATAAACACCTCTATGCAAATAAACTACAAAATCTAGAAGAAATGGATAAATTCCTGGACACATACACCCTCCCAAGACTAAACCAGGAAGAATTTGAATCTCTGCATAGACCAATAATAGGCTTTGAAATTGAGGCAATAATTAGTAACTAACCAACCAAAAAAAGTCCAGGACAAGACGGATTCACAGCCGAATTCTACCAGAGGTACAAGGAGGAGCTGGTACCATTCCTTCTGAAACTATTCCAATCAATAGAAAAAGAGGGAATCCTCCCTAACTCATTTTATGAGGCCAGCATCATCGTGATACCGAAGCCTGGCAGAGACAAAACAAAAAAAGAGAATTTTAGACCAATATCCCTGATGAACATCAATGCAAAAATCCTCAATAAAATACTGGCAAACTGAATCCAGCAGCACATCAAAAAGCTTATCCACCATGATCAAGTGGGCTTCATCCCTGGAATGCAAGGCTGGTTCAACATACGCAAACCAATAAACGTAATCCAGCATATAAACAGAACCAACGACAAAAACCACATGATTATCTCAATAGATGTAGAAAAGGCCTTTGACAAAATTCAACAACACTTCATGCTAAAAACTCTCAATAAATTAGGTATTGATGGGATGTACCTAAAGATAATAAGAGCTATTTATGACAAACCCACAGCCAATATAATACTGAATGGGCAAAAACTGGAAGAATTCTCTTTGAAAACTGGCACAAGACAGGGATGCCCTCTCTCACCACTCCTATTCAACATAGCATTGGAAGTTCTGTCCAGGGCAATCAGGCAAGAGAAAGAAATAAAGGGTATTCAATTAGGAAAAGAGGAAGTCAAATTGTCCCTGTTTGCAGATGACATGATTGTATATATAGAAAACCCCATAGTCTCAGCCCAAAATCTCCTTAAGCTGATAAGCAACTTCAGCTGAATAACTTTGTATGACTAATAATATAAAATGTTCCACATATTTTTAGCCATGTTTTACTTATTTGTGAAATGTGTGTTTATTAATTTTTCATTTTAAGATGTCACTTTTATCTTTCTTGTTTCTGGGATTTTATTCTAGTAGATATAGCTGAAGGTATTTTAATAATTATTGTAATAATCTCACATTTTATATTTGAATTTTCATATCCATTTCATTAAGATTTTGATTTTGATATAAAATATTTTCTTACAATTGTCTTTTCTATTTTTATGAGATAAAATTAATGTATACAAAATTGCATACATCTTCAATGTACAGTTTCAGGTGTCTGACATATGTGCACACATTTGTCTCCAGCACCTAAGTTAGGATGAGGAGCAGGTCAATCTCCACAACAAGTGTCCTCTTTGGTGCTTCCAGTCAGCTCTCACATAAGGATTTTTATTTAATTTCAAGTTTTCATTCAGATACAGAGGGCATATGTGTGGACTTGTCACATGGGATTATTGAGTGATGCTGAGGTTTGGAATCCAGATTCCATCACCCCCTCCCTCCACTCTCCAGCAGTCCACAGTGTCTATCATTCGCACATTTATGTCCATGAATGCTCAATGCTGAGGTCCCACTTAGATTATGTGGTATTCGGTTTTCTACTCCTGCATTGATTTATTTAGGTTTCAGGCCCCCAGCTCCAATCATTTTGCTGGAAAGGACATGACTATATTATTTTTCATGGCTGTGTAGTGTTATATATTGTAGATGTAACACATTTTGTATATTCAGTCTACCATTGGTGTGTATCTGGGTTGTCTTTGCCACTATGGATAGCACAGCAATGAACATAGATGTGCATGTGTCTTTTTGGTAGAATTGTTTGCTTACTTTTTAGTGTACACCCAGTAGTGGGATTGCTGGGTAAAATGATATCTCTGTTTTAAGTTCTTTGAGAAATCTCCAGTCTGGTTCTCAAAGTGGTAAGACTAATTCATATTCCAATCAACAGTGTATAAGTGTTCTGTTTTCTCCACAGCCCCACCAGCATCCATCGTTTTTCGACTTTTTAGTGATAGCCATTCTGAGTGGTGTGTGGCTTCTCACCTACAGTCATCTCATCTTTGATAAGACTGACAAAAACAAGCAATGAGGAAGGGACTCCCTGTTCAATAAATGGTGCTGGGGCAACTGGCTATCCGTATGATGAAGATTGAAGCTGGACGTCTACTTTCAACACACATAAAATTAACTCAAAATTGACCACAATTTTAAATGTAAGACCACAAACCATAAAAATCTTTTAAGACAACCTAGGAAATACTCTTCTTGACACCAGCTTTGACAAAGAATTTTTGGCTAAGTATCCAAAAGCAATTTCAAGAAAAACAAAAATAGGCAAGTGGGACCTAATTAATTAAGGAGTTACTGCACAGCAAAACAAACACACAAGCAACCAAAACTTCAGCAGATAAGCAGACAACCTGCAAAATGTGAGAAGATATTCACAAACATTGCATCCAACATAGCACTAATATCCAGAATCTATAGGGAACTTAAACAAATCAGAGGCAAAACACAAATAACCCCTTTAAAAATGGGCTGATATGGTTTGGCTGTGTCCCCACCAAAATCTCAATTTGCATTTTATATCCCAGAATTCCTACATGTTGTAGGAAGGATCTAGGGGGAAGTAATTGAATCATGGGGGCCAGTCTTTCTCATGCAATTCTCGTGATAGTGAATAACTCTCATGAGATCTGATGGGTTTATCAGATGTTCCCGCTTTTGCTTCTTCCTCATTTCCTCTTGCCACCACCATGTAAAGAGTGCCTTTCACCTCCCACCATGATTCTGAGGTCCTCCCAGCCATGCAGAACTGTAATTCCAATGAAACCTGTTTTTGTTCCCAGATTTCAGTATGTCCTTACTAGCAGTTTGAAAACAGACTGATACCTGGGAAAATAACACAAACAGACACTTCTCAAAAGAATATATACAAGTGGCCAGCAAATGTATTTTAAAAATATTTAGCATCACTAATCATCAGAGGAATGCAAATAGAAAAATGTTCTGGTTTCTGTCACTATAGGTCCATTTTTTCCTGTTTTGAGCATCACATAAATGGAATCAATATTATAGTTCATTTTTTGTAAGGGGCTACTTTTGGTATTTGTGAGGTTCATTCATGTATTTGCATCTATCTAGGTTTTGTCATCATATATATACATATGTATGTACTCATGCACATCTAGCTATTTCATATCTCAATCAGTCCATTACGTTAATAAACGACAGTTTATTAAGTAAGGAAATCAGTTCATTAAGTGAATAAGTGTCAGTACATATATCTATTTTCCTGTTGATGGAATTTAAATTTGTTTCCAAAATAAATATTGTAAACAAACCTGTTATAAATATCGTCGTACAAGTTCTTTTGCTTATATTCTCCCATTTTTATTGATAAAATATGTAGAAATATAAGTATGCATTATAACTTTTCAGCTTTAAGGAGCTATAACTGACAAACAAAATTGTATGTATTTAAGGTACACCACTTAAGGTATTGATATACTTGGGCACATGTTCATCGTGATCAAGGTAATTGGCATGCCTATCATCTCAGAGAATATCATTTTATGCCTTTAATTTATTGTGAGTCTGTGATAAAAACACCTAAGATCTACTCTTCTGGAAACAGATAAGTTTATAATATAATATTCATTAGTATAGTTGCATTGCTGTATGTTTCATCTCCAGAACTCCTTCAACCTGTGTATCAGTCCATTCTCAAACTACTTTAGAGAACTACCTGAGACTGGGAAATACATGAAGAGAAGTGAATTAGATGACTCACAGTTCTGCAGGCTTAGCAGGAAGCCTTATAGGGAGGCATCAGGAAAATTACGATAATTGTGGAAAGTGAAGGGGAAGCAAGGACCGTCTTCACATGCTGGCAGGGGAAAGAGAGAAAGAGCAAGGGGAGATGCGCCGCACTTTTAAACCTCGAGATCTTGTGAGAACTCTAACACAAGAAGAGCAAAGGGGAAAGCCGCCTCCATGATTCAGTCACTCTTCATCAGACCCCTCCTACAACACTTGAGGATGAAAATTTGACATGAGATTTGGATGGAAACGCTGAGCCAAACAGTATCATTATACCCGGCCACTCACAAATCTCATATCCCTCTCACATTGCAAAATATAATTATCCCTTCTCAACAGTCTCCCAGTTTTCACTCAATTCAGCATTAACACAAACTTCTACAGTCCAAAGTCTCCTCTGAGACAAGGTAAGTTTCTTGGATGTATAACCCTGTAAAATAAAAAACAAGTTAGTTACTTCCAAGATACTATGAGATGAATGCACTGGGTAAATGTTCCCATTCTAAATGGGAGAAATTGGCCACTACAAATGGGCTACAGGCCCCATGCAAGTCCAAACACTAGCAGGGCAGTCATTAAATCTTAAAGCTCCAAAAAAATTTCCTTTTACTCCATGTCTCACATCCAGGACACGCTGATGTAAGAGGTGATCTCCCAAGGCCTTGGGAAGCTCCACCCTTGTGGCTCTGCATGTTAGACTCCCCATAGCTGCTTTCATAGGCTGGCATTGAGTTGCTATGTCTTTTCCAGGCACACCATACAAGCTGCTGGTGGTTCTACCATTCTGGGGTCTGAAGGACAGTGGTCCTCTTCTCACAGATCCACTAGACAGTGCCCAAGTGGGGACTCTGTGTGGGGGATCCAACACCATATTTTCCTTCTACACTGGCCTAGTAGAGGTACTCCATTAGAGCTCAGCCCCTGCATGAGACTTCTGCCTGGATATCCAGGCATTATCATACATCATCTGAAATCTAGGAGGAGGTTCCCAAACCTCAACTCTTGCCTCATGTGCACCAGCAGGCTCAACACCACGTGGAAGCAACCAAAGCTTAGGGCTTGCACCCTCTGGAGCAATGGCCTGAGCTGGACCTTGACCCCTTTTAGCCATGGCTGGCACAGGACAGACAGGGATGCAAGGCGCCATGTCCCAAGGCTGCACAGAGCAGTGGCATCCTGGGCTTGGACAATGAAACCATTTTTCTCCCCTGGGCTTCTGGACCTGTGATGGGAGGGGCTGCCATAAAGATCTCTGAAATGCCCTGGGGACATTTTTTCCCACTGGGGTCCTTGTTACTTATGCAAATTTCTGCAGCCAGCTTGAATTTCTCCCCAGAAAATGAGTTTTTCTTGTCTACCACTTGGACAGGCTGCAATATTTTATCAAACTTTTATGCTCTGCTTCCCTTTTAAACATAAGTTCCAATTTCAGACCATCTCTTTATGAATGCACATGGCTTCTGTTTTCAGAAACAGCCAGGTCAACTCTTCAATGCTTTGGTGCTTAGAAATTTCTTCTGCCAGATATACCTTAAATTATGTCTCTGTAGCTCAACATTTCACCGATCTCTAGGGCAGGGGGAAAATGCCACTAGTCTTTTTGCTAAATCATAGCAAGTGTGACCGTCACTCCAGTTCACAATAAGTTCTTCACCTTCATCTGACACCACCTCAGACTGGACTTCATTGCCCATATCACTATCAGCATTTTGATAAAACCCATTCAACGAGCCTCTAGGCAGTTTCAAACTTTTCCACATCTTCCTGTCTTCTTGTGAGCACTCCAAGCTTTTCCAACCTCTGCCCATTACCCAGTTACAAAGTCACTTCCACATTTTCAAGTATCTTAATAGCAGTATCCCACTCCTGGTGCAAGTTTTCTGTATTAGTCCATTTTCACATTGCTATAAAGACTACCTCAGACTGGGTAATTTATGAAGAGAAGAGTTTTAGTTAACTCTCAGTTCTGCAGGCTAAATGGGAAGCATTATTGGGAGGCATCAGGACGAACAATGATGGTGGAAGGTGAACGGGAAGCAAGAACCTTCTTCACATGGTGGCAGGAGAGAGAGAGCAAGTGAGCGGGGAGGTGCCACACTTTTAAACCATCGGATCTCTTGAGAACTTTATCACGAGAACAGCGAAGAGGAAGACAATCCCATGACCTGATCACTTTATCTTAGGCCCTTCCTTCAACATGCAGGGTCTACAATCTGGCATGAGATTTGAGTCGGAACACGGAGCCAAACCACATTAACCTTCATAACGGGAAGTTTTTACCCTTTGACCAACAATACCCAATTTTTTCCTCCTCCCAGCCCCTGCGACCTACTATTCTACTCTGCTTCCAAGAGCTTGAATATAAAATATTCAATATATAATTCTATATATAAATGAGATCATGCAGCTTTTGTCTTTCTGTGTCTGGCTTATTCCACTTAGCATAATGTTCTCTATTTGTTGCAAATATAAGAATTTCTTTGTTTTTAAAGGCTGAATAATACTCAGTTTTATGTAGGTATAAGCCACATTTTATCTGTTCATTCGTAGATGGACATTGACTCGTTTTCCTTATCTAGACTATTATGAATAATCTCACAATGGACATAGATTTGTCACACTCAGTTTATTTTCTCTAGATGTATGCTCAGAAGTGGGGATGCTCTATGTCCAGTTCACTGAGTAATCTTCATGTTGTTTTTCATACTGGCTGTAATAATTCACATTTTGTTCCAAACCATACATGGATACCTTTGTACCACATATTCAGGTCTTTGTGTAACTCTTGAATCCATTTTTAGCTGATTTCTGTGTATTGTGTGAGGTGAGTTCTATCTATTTCTTCTGCATATGGATACCCGTTTTTCACACCACTCGTTGAAGAGACTGTCCTTTCTCTACTGTGTGTCTTGGGAACTTGACAAAGATCAGTTTATTGGGAAGAAATGGGTTGGTTGCCAGGTTGTGTTTAATGTTTCATTGGATTATATGTCTGTTTAAATGCCAGCATTATAACATTTTGATTTATATAGATTCGATTTTGAAATTATAGATTATGATATATTCAGCTTTGTTATTTATGCCCAAAATTAATTTGGCTATTTGAAGTCTTTTATATTTTTATATAAATTGGAGCTTTTTAAAAACATTTTGTAAAATCATGCCATGGAGATTATTTATTTATTTTATTGGCATATAGTAGATATACCTATTTTATGGGAACATGTAATATATTGATACATTTATAAATGTGTAAAGATTAGTGTAAGATTTACATATCTGTCACATTAAAAATGTACCCTTTCCTTGTGCTGAGCACATTTGAATGACTCCTTTCACTATTTTAATGTTGTGCATTAGATTATTATTAACTATAGTGACCTTACTGATCTATCAAACATTTAGGTCTTATTTCTCCTCTATAAATGTATATTTGTATACAGTAATCAACCTCTCCTTATCTCCTTCTCTCTTCTATCCATCCAGGATTCTGGTAAGCAACAGTCTATTCTATCTTCAGGCGATCCAGTATTTTAGTTTTGACGTAAAATAAGAAGATGCAATATTTGTCTCTCTTTTCTTGGCTTATTTATCTTAACATAATGACTTCCAGTTCCATTCATATTATAGCAAATGACAGAATATTGGGTTTCATGGCTGAATAATATCCTATCGCATACATAGATTACATTTACTCTATCCATTTGTCCACCTACAGACACTGAGGTGCTTTCACATCTGGGCTATTGTGAAAGAGCTGCAAAGAACATGGGAGTGCACATGCCTTCATGAGGTGGTGGTGGTTTTATCTTCTTTAGAACATACCCAGAAGAGGATTTGCCAAGTCATAAGGTATTTCTGTTTTTAATTTATTTTGGAATCTTCATACTACTTTGCACATAGTGGAAACACAAATGGAGTAAACATTAAAAAAGCAGTTTCGGTTTTGATGTATAATCCAGAAACAAATAATGTTTGACCATGATTCTCATTGGGAGTCTCTAATGGATCTGGTGGAAATGCAGGAAGTTTTCTAACCTTGTTCAGGAAATTATGAGTTTGCACCTTTTTCTTTCTGAGGCTTGAAATTGGCATGATTCATGATGCATACTGTTGGGAGGTTTCAGAATGATATGGCAAAAAACATAATGAAAAGGCAAGACAGAGAGAGAGGGAGAGAGAGAGAGTCAGGCCTAGAAAGAGAAAAAATAATTTTCTCAACAGGAGAAAGTGCTGGATATCTGTATCAGTGTTGGGTTTTGCTCATAGACACATCTGTACCGAGTGAGGAACCATGAAGTCAAGGGAGGGGTCTAGAACTTGTTCAAGTGAAGCATCAGCATATTTCTCACAGGCACCAATTTCCACCACATCACAAGGGTGATGCATTTTTGAATGCCATTAAATATGAGTTCACAGTCAGTAATCATGTTTCCATGAAATTCAGTTAAAATACCAAGGGTGTGTCCAGATCACTCATGCACAAATACACAAAATTTGCTTTTTCACGTGTGGCTATCTAGAGACAAAGTGCACTGAGGAGACTTCAGCAGGTTACAGAGATTTGCTTAAGTTTGGAAAACCATAGGAGAGTGCCTTTAAGTGAAGGTTGGTATATAAATTAAATAGGTCAAAATCCCCTCTATGGAGTAGCGTTCCAATTGTGTGGAATTTTTAACTCCTTATTCACGTTATAAAACATAATCCCTGGGACTGACTCCGTGGAGTTTTACTGCTGTGTTGACAAAAATATCTAACAAGCTTCCTTCCAGTGTTTCAAGGGAAGTTTTTCTCTAAATTTTTTCCAATGTATAAATTTTCCTGGCTAAAGATAGTAAAAGGCTGTTAAAAACACAACTGGAATGGCAGCTTTAATCTTTTGCTGATAGGAGTGAGCATAATACATGAATCTCTTTGAGTGCTCTGCTTCATCCAAATACAATAGGTCAAAGGCTAGTACTGGAGGTAAAATTTCCAAGTGTGTATTTTTCCAGCTACCAAGTCATAGGAAAATAACAGATACATCCTTGAGACAGAGGACCATAATGCCACAATGCTGGTAGGAGTACATGTAGACAAGGGAGTTCAAGGGTTTCTTAAAACTGATAATTTTAATGTAAGAATACCATTCTTTTAAACTTATGTGGAAGACTGTGGGAGGTTATAACAATGCCATATTTTAGTATCAGCCCTGCCTCACAGAATCATTTTATAATAGTTCCTTTCATGAGTGTGCTTCACTCGGTTCATGCAAAAACCTGGCAGGTCACAGGCTAAAAACAGAAAATATAGAAGCTTTTAATCAACTGAAAGAGCTGTAGCCTTTGTCAAGGAATTATTGGAAGACACAGAGAACACAGATAGATGATAAATAAAATACATTCATATCCCATTAAGTGTGGAAATTGAGGAAAGTTTACATAAATGTGTCCAAGTGGCAAACTGTTTATTTAATCTGGTAACCAATTTTTCTATAAATTGTAGAGTTGAAATGCAACAAATACATATTTGAAATGATCTGGCACAAATTAAGCAAATATGGTAACTATGTATTTTCACTCATTTTTATTTAAGATCAGCGGCTCAGCATTGATATTTTTGATAATATCTGTGACTCAGCAGCTTTACCTTTTGAGGATATGATCTGGTATGGCAGTTTTCTTAGCTTCAATGTTACCTCTTTTTGCATTGACTTCTACCTTTATATCTGCCAGGAATCTGGGGAAAAGGAGTGCCTGTAAACGTTCCCTAACTTGCCCATTTTGGTGGGTTTTCCAGAATGTGTGAGATGCTTTTTTTTTTTTTTCAAAGCATCCCGAACCCATGCACTGCCCTGAAACATGTTTATTTCCTAGTTTAACAAATTGGCACTTCTAATAAATGCAATCTCTTCTGCCATCTGTGCTGATTTTACATCAGATAGAGGACTGTGTTCTAAAGGAAATCTTATATTAGTAAGAGCAATTTTGTCATTAACCTAGAGTTTTATTATTGAGGTGTGATTCATAACATATAATATTAGGTAGAGGTTCTCAGTGGCAGTGTCTAAATCTCTTGGGTGTACAGTGTCTTCCCCGTTAACATGAAGCATTTACGAGCACAGTCATAGTTTCCAGCCATGCTTCTCCCTGTCTCACAATCACCACAAACTAACTATGACCACAACTGGAACTTGGTGAGTTATTCTTTAATAAGTTTTAAGTTTGTCTTTAATCTTTAAGCCTCTAGATTATTATGTGAGACATAATCTTTATGCCTCTAGATTATTGTGTAAAGCTATTTCAGAAGAAAGTTAAAAAGAACATTTTAACTGACTAAACAACACAGGAAATCATTAATAAAATGCAAAGTGTAGATGTGAGAGGCTCCAGGCCTGGATAATGCAAGAGTTCATGTATGCAGGCAGTTTCTTTCCCCAATTATACAATGATACACCCAGCATGTCAGCTTCATGCCCCATTTGACTCCTATTATGCAAGCGCATGGAAATGACATGCTCAAGGGTCACACACAGATATGAAAACAGGTGGGAGCAGGAGAGGAGACGACTCTGCACTTCTCCTCTGAAGGACCAGGAAAGCCTGGACAGACCATCTCCCCGGCCTCCATGACTGCGCGACGTGCCCACATGGACACTCATCTCTGACAAGATAAGAGGACTCCATTGATGAGGCTGAACATTTTATGATTTAAATTACTAGAGACTTACATTGAGGTTTCAATAACTAATTTTTATAACCCAAATTTACTTACCCCCATGTTGTTACCTCTTTCTTCAGTGAAAAATTGCTTTTGCTGTAATTGAGTTTTAGGAAGATTCCCAATGTTCACAACTGAGCTTCCAAGAGAGTGTCGAGAACAAAAACTGAATGAGGGCAGAGAAACCCATCTTTACTGTGTTCACCACTAAACTCAAGTGGACTCGGCACTGCCTTTGATCACTGTTGCTTCTCCGCAGAGTTCAGGTTTCTATTTCTCACAATTCTAACACAGACTCTCCCTCTCCTCAAAGGTTTGGCCTCCACTGGCTGTAAGGTCACACTGTTCTGAATTTCTTGTCTGAACCATTTTATGAGGGTGGTGATGAGCCATTTAATGGAAATTTTATATCATCTCAGCATGAATCCTATGGGCGGTCACGAATTATTATTCTGATTATGGTAATTGATTTTTCTCAGCATATTCATTACTAGTGATATTCAAAAACCCTTTTTATTTAAATCTTTGATGCTTCATTTTTTGTTGCTATGACACTTTTTCTTCTACTGAGTCTTCCCACTAGCATTATAACATGACCTAATATCCAGGCTCAGTTGTTATATAACAACCACATATGTCAAAAGCTATGCATTCTTTTCACAGCAGACATAATTTTCTCTTTTCTGGAGATGAACACACACTGCTGAGCTACCCCCACTCACAAGAACATATGGAAAATCATGACATTTTTATTTACTTGACTAATAAATTATGTCATTCTCTCTTCAAATTCTTTATCCCCCAGAATGCCATGACAAACTCTTCTGCATCTGTTCAAACCATAAACTCAGAAACCACATGGTGAGTAAAAGCTCACTTGGTTCTGGATATTGGGTCAAGCTCTTCCCCTCCAATGTCCCACAGCATTGGGACCTCAGCCCACCTGTCCAGGTTCTATCAAGAGAGTTTAGCTCCTTCACAGTGAAGGAAACAATTGAGTTAAGAGGGAACCTGCAGAAGATAGACAATATTGAAAACCATTCATATGACAAGGGATTACTATCAAGCATATAAAATAAACTCAACCCAACTGCAAATAATAATGTGGCTAATAATGGAGGAATAACATTAATACATATTTCTCAAAAGAAGAAAAGAAAAAGGGCAGATAGATGATAGATAGATAAATAGATATATTGGTATGTATACATACATATATCGCTAGAAAACACTAATATTCAGGAAAATGCACATTCACAATGAGATGTCTTTTCATCCTTCATCTTTGCTTGAGAGTCAGAAAATCTAAATAAATAAATAAATAAATAAAACAGGAGCTGGCCAGGATTCATAGAAAGGGAAACTCTTATAGACCATTGGTGGAAATGGAAATTAGTGAAGCCATCATGGGAAAAAATAGAACTACCATATAATTCACAATCCAACTGCTGAGTATGTATCTATTTAAATCATTAAAGTAAAAAACTAATATTGAAGAGATACATGTACACCCATGTTTATTGCAGCACTATCCACCATAGCTAACATATGAAATCAACATATGTGTCCATCAACAGATGAATGGATAAATAAAATGTGTTATATTTACACAATGGAATATTGTTCAGTCTTAAAAATGAAATTCTGCTGTTAGAAGCAACATGGATGGAACTGGACACCATCATGTTGAGTGAAACAAGACAGACACAGAAAAATAAATACAGCATTTTCTCAGTGTTATGTGGAAATTTTAAAAAGTTGATCTTCTAGAAGTAAATAATAGAGTAGTGGTTATGAGACGCCGGGAATGGGAGGAGACTGAGAGACAATAAGAGGTTTGTTAACAAACGTATAATTTACAGGCAGATAGGAGGGATGTGCTCCAGTGATCTACAGTGCAGTAGGGTGACTGCTGTTAACAATATAGTGCACATTTTATGTTTACAAGTAGCCAGAAGACAGAAATTTGTATGTTACCAACAAAAAGAAATGTTAGTGTCTAAGCTGATGAATTTGTTCATTGTTCTGATTTAATCATACCACATGGCACACATGCATAGAAATATCACACTGTACCCCATACAGTTATTATGTGCTAACTTTAAAAAATCCTTTAATTAAAACAGATTTTATTTGCATACATTACAAATGCTTCAACACAGAGCCAGGAATAAATACCATTTTTCTTTGAAATGTGAATTTCCTAACAACGTAGTTACATTCATTTGAACCAAACCGTGTATTTGATCATGGTAAGAATAGACAGGCTTATGCATAGAATGATATATTTTAATTTTAGACTTCTACTTAATACCATAAATTCAAATAATTTTAAAACAACTAAGTAAAAACTATAAAGTTGAGGAAATGTGTACGTGGTGTGTGATGTGTGACTTTTTCCTTGCGCACCACTCTGTCCATGGTGGATGTGTGGTGTGGGTGTCTGTGTCTATTTCTGTTTACTCTGCTTGAGGTTCTCTGTGATTCTAGGATCTGTAGTTCAGTGTCTTTCACAAAACTGGGAACGTTCTTAGCCATTATTTCTTTCAAATACTGTCTCTGTATCTACAATTTCTCCTTTCAGATTTAAAATGTACATATACAATACTTTTTAATATTAATGTTTACTTTCTTCACTCTCTTTTCCTTGCACTTTACTCTGTAAAATTTCTAGTGGTATTTTAAGTGAGTGGTTTCATTTAAAAGGTGAGCCAGCTCTACTGAAGGGTGTGCCCAAAGCTTACTCAATGTTTATACTGCATTGCTTTTGATTTCTTATGCATTTCCATTTGATTTTTTCTTAGTATTTTCAACTCTCAGTTCCCTATCTAGTCCTTCATTATGTATACAGTTTCCTTAATAGATTTTTACATATGAATTATAGTTACTTTATATATCTTGTTTAATTAGATAGTTCTAAGATCCATATCATATAGAAGTCTCATTCTGATCATTTGTTTATTATGACTTTGGTATTTCTCATTAATATATGTAATCTTTGTTGATAGCCAGATATTTTAGGTTGGACAGTTGATATTGGCTTATTACTTCATTTTATGCATTTTCTGCCTGTATTTGACCATACTTTATTTTTGCCAGGCCTTTAATGTGGAAATGTTTGAATCTTCTCAGAGCTACATTTGACGTTTACTTTTGCAGTAGACGTCATAGTTGAAGTCTGTTCTTCTGTGTCCACCAGAGACTTCAGATCCTCCAGTGATACCTTGTTTTTCTTTCCTGCTTGGCTTTGTCTCTTCACCCTGTTCCTTCCTCCAGAGAATCTCTTTCAGCTCCTTCAGGTGGGTTAAGATATTATATTGAACTGACAATTGTGAAATTGGTGGAAGGCAATAGAATAAAGGGAGATTTTCTGACCTTTCATGGGTCTATATTTCTACGAAGGCATTGTGACCCTGAGTCTGGGTGTGACATTGCCGGTGTTTCTGAACTTCTGCCAGATGAGATGTTGGTCTGTGTGTTCTTGCTGTTTTCCCTGCTGTGGAGTCCTCTTGTTTTCCCCAGTTGTTCCCTCCCACAGCTCCAATGTTCTCTTTTGGTGTTATCAGCTTCCAGAGTTGATGACCTGACCTAGAGATTAAGGCTCTGATTAAATAAGAAGGAGGGGAGATACTTCTCAATGGAACTTAGGTGAAGACCTCTTTTTCCATCTCAGTTCCTAAGGGATGGCCCCAGTGCCCCTAAGATCCTGGCTTTGGTGGCTTGCTCCTGCAGAGTAATTTCTTAGTTCTGCAATGGGGATTAAGGAGGTGGGTCTGAATGCATTTCAGAGTGTGGGCTCTTTTTCTCTCCCAGACAGACACATTGGGACAAAAGATTTTTGTGACTGTCCCCATTTTTGGGAAAAAGGTTTCAAGGTATAGGAAAGCTCTTCAGTATGTGGTCCCTGAGAAATTCACGCTACAACACATTTACCACACTTGACTTCACCAATTCAGTATCTATGTATTTTTTTCTCTTATAATAGCCTACATTTTTATATGCCAGACTCTGCCTCAGTTCAACTCGTACCCATGCCTTTTTACTCTCTGCAAGAACTTGTCTCTCCCTAAATTTCGGATTTGATGATTATCTTAAAACCTCCAGTATTTAAAGTATATTTTAAAATTGGCAAAATTCCATCTCCTGTGTTTATCTGTTATGTTGATGCTGTAAAACAGTAAGTAAAATATACTCCTCATCTATGTACATTTTGAAGCTGAGTTGCAGGTTTTTTGGTAAGACCCAGAGTCACAGAGAATTCAAATATTGTTAAGCTGCTTAATAGAAAAACAAATTATGGTAAATGTGTTCACTGGAATACTACCCATGATTTATAATAAATAAATGCCTGACACACAGAACAGCAGCAAAACCACACATGCTCTTATTACAGAAAGTGGCTTCTGAAAACCACACCGGGCATGTACAGCTTTGTCCTGGAGTTGGTTTAGGGGGATGTCAGAGCCAGTGACGAGAAGCACAGGGCCAGATGGCAGCGTTCACTCATCCCAGACATGAGCTCCTGGGTGCATACAGAGCCCCCCCATGTGTGGGTTTACTTCCACTTCTGTAAAAGGAGAAAATACTGACTCCTACAGAGCATAATTTACACATTTTTTAAAAAATGTAATAGGGTGATCAGGGCAAAGTGTTTATCACAGCACAATTTCATAAGACAGCATATTTTCCAAATACCATCATTGTCAGCAAACTTCTGCAGAGCACCGTCTTCTTATATGGGTACAGCCTATTCCTCCAGCATCCCACTAGAGCTTCTTATATAGTAGGAGACATGCAAATAGGGCCCTCCCTCTACTGATGAAAACCAACCCAACCCTGACCCTGCAGGTCTCAGAGAGGAGCCTTAGCCCTGGACTCCAAGGCCTTTCCACTTGGTGATCAGCACTGAGCACAGAGGACTCACCATGGAGTTGGGGCTGAGCTGGGTTTTCCTTGTTGCTATTTTAGAAGGTGATTCATGGAAAACTAGGAAGATTGAGTGTGTGTGGATATGAGTGTGAGAAACAGTGGATTTGTGTGGCAGTTTCTGACCTTGGTGTCTCTTTGTTTGCAGGTGTCCAGTGTGAGGTGCAGCTGGTGGAGTCTGGGGGAGGCTTGGTCCAGCCTGGGGGGTCCCTGAGACTCTCCTGTGCAGCCTCTGGATTCACCTTTAGTAGCTATTGGATGAGCTGGGTCCGCCAGGCTCCAGGGAAGGGGCTGGAGTGGGTGGCCAACATAAAGCAAGATGGAAGTGAGAAATACTATGTGGACTCTGTGAAGGGCCGATTCACCATCTCCAGAGACAACGCCAAGAACTCACTGTATCTGCAAATGAACAGCCTGAGAGCCGAGGACACGGCCGTGTATTACTGTGCGAGAGACACAGTGAGGGGAAGTCAGTGTGAGCCCAGACACAAACCTCCCTGCAGGGGTCCCTTGGGACCACCAGGGGGCGACAGGGCATTGAGCACGGGGCTGTCTCCAGGGCAGGTGCAGGTGCTGCTGAGGGCTGGCTTCCTGTCGCGGTCTGGGGCTGCCTCGTTGTCAAATTTCCCCAGGAACTTCTCCAGATTTACAATTCTGTACTGACATTTCATGTCTCTAAATGCAATACTTTTTTTGTCCTTTTTGTTTCTTTGTTTTTTTGCAACAGGAGTACATATCCTCAGCTCCACAGAAGCCAGGGTGTCACTTTGGGGGCAGAAATAATCCTTTCGTGGTCAACAGGATGAGAGTCCTGAGGAATCCCAGGGAAACCTGGAGAGTGTTTTCCAATTAGACTCAGGGCAGAGACCTCCATGGGAATTTCTGATTAGAACGGGCTTTGAGCTCTGATGGGAGCCAAGAGACAGGCTCACCCAGGGTCGGGGTCCTTAAAGCCTGATGGTTTTCACAGCTATCCCCCCTCGTCTTGTAAACTCAGACTGATTCAGTTGACCCTTTTTCTGCTAATCCATTTTGCTTCTCTGTAGGTTTGATTCTCACAGTTCGCTTTCTTCTTCTCTTCCCTGAGAACAAACGATGTGTTTTCTGTTTTCAGGGAAAATCCCAGGGCTCAGGTCTGCAGGACCTGGGTAGGCTGAGGAGACTTTCTCACTCACCATTGTCTGGACACTCCTGTTGTCTTCTGTGCATGGAGGCATTTGGGAAATGAAGTGGACATTAGTCATTAAGGGAATAATACTAGTTTTCTCCAATTGGATATTGATGTAGAGCTGAACTTGTGCTTCTCACACTGTCACAGAGTTTGGACCCTCACCTATAACTTTGAGGAGAGTTGATGATGGATAGTCCATTGTGGGTGAGCTCTGGGTAACAGTAATTGTAGGGTCTGGCTAGGCAGCCTAAGGTCAATACTTCTGGACCTCAGGAAAGACAGGCTGGAATTCCTGGGAAGACCTGCATCTGCCATCCACCGTGGAGTCCCATCATCTTCTGTTATGCTGTGATTGAATCAGCCCCACCTAGTTTATCTAGAACACTCTTCATGACTTAGGAAAACATAATGGCAAGCTCTCCTAACACCTGTATCATGCCATGGGAGCAACACCTAAGCTAGTGTGTGATTGAGTAGATGAGACTGTGGTCTAGTCAAGACGACAGGTAAAATTGATTGTTGTCATTATGATATTTTATATTTGGCAATATAATCATGCTCATATTATAAATACTTTTGCTACATTTTTTGAGTGTGTCAGAGGCTTTGGAACTGGAACAACTCCATCTTGAATAGGGGCTAGGAAAAATAAGACCGAGACCTGCTGGGCTGGATTCCTAGTAAGTTGATGCAGTAAGTTAGTCACAGGATGAGATAGGAGGTCTGCACAAGATCCAGGTCATAAAGGCCTTGCAGATAAATCTTACAGTAAAGAAGCTGGGCAAAGCCCTCCAAAACCGAGACAGTGGCTAAAATGACCTCAGTTTGTCCTCACTGTTCATTATACTCTAATTATAATGCATTAACATGCTAAAAAACACTCCCTCCAGCCCCAAGACAGTTTACAGTTGTCAAGGCAACATCATGAAGTTTCCTTGTGTGGTTTAAAAAGGAGGGGAGGAACACTCAACTTCAGGAATTGCCTGGAGGACTCATGAATAATCCATCCATTGTTTAACATATAATCAAGAAATAACCATAAAATGGACAACCAGCAGCCCATACTGCTGCTCCACCTCTGGTGTAGCCAGTCTCATTATTTTACTTGCATAAGAAACTTGTTTTCATTTTAATCTGTGGATTTTCCCCAAATTGGGACCCCTTTCTCCTAATATTTGTGCTATTATTCGTGTTCTGAGCAGAAAACCCCAAGATGGAATGAAGTTTCCCTACATTTTTATAAGAAGTACATTCACCCCTTTGAGCGAAAATGCACAGGGAGTGGAATGAGGCTGGGAAGCTAATGGCGTATGATGGAAGCTTGTCCCTGACTGGAGGAGAGAGGGAGGGAGGATTGGGAGGAAGGTTCCTATATTTTTGTGCTATGCAAGGAAGCTGCAAAAGATAACTGAGTCTCGTGTAAGTCAGTGCTACCTCTCAGGGGATCCCTGTGACTCCAAGAAAGGGCTCTTCTTAGGAATCACTGTGGAGTCAGTCCTTTCATTAGAGTAGACCACAGGACATGGGCCTCAGCACACGCCATGCCACAGATGTCAGAAAGCAGCTGCTGGGAACCTGACCCACCTGCATTTTGCTGCCTGTATGTGGAGGGAGGGAGGTGCATTCTCAGGGTCAGCACACTGTTTGTGAATTTTTATAGAGAACCCCTGCTTTTGCTGTATTTTTATTGGAAAATATATGAACAAGTGTGCACCTGCAAACAACTGTAATTTTCACATTTCCTTCAGTTGCATTATTTCTTAATCCTGAATGACGTCCTGACACAGAGTTGAGTTTTTCACAGGCATTGTTCGAAGGATCGAGATGATGCATTTTCCACATTCACTGGTTTTTCTCCATGTGCAGAGACCTTGAGTAGAGCACATCTGGCCCTTACCCACACTATCTCTTGTGTCCCCTGGGAAAGAGCAGAGATTTGCCTGACTGCAGAATCTGGGGTAGGAGTCTGCACACCTCTGAGCCTGCAGAGAAGCTCAGCGAAGTTTTGTGGAGTCAGAGAGCTTTCCCATGTGGGGAACCTCTAGCTTCCTCACTCTCGGAGATTACTGGTCAGCTGTAATTGAGTGGTTAAGAATTAGAGCACCTGGGAGCCTGTCTCATCACAGCTCCATTATGTAACTTACCACCATTAGACTGCGGGTAATAACTCAATCTTGATTTTTCTGACCCGATTTTCTCATCTTATTCATTACTAATTTTGTTTATGGAAAATGTTATGTTTAGTTTATGATTAAAACCTCAGAACTTTCTGAACTTATCAGGAATAATACAAAATGTGTCCAGTTTGGGGGAAATGTAAATGAATGTCCATGCAGTTTGGGTGTGTGTGTGTGCGTGTGTGTGTGCATGTGTGTTTGTTTGTGTGTGTGTGGATATGTCAGTCACTTACACCACAATGAACATGATTGCTGAATTACATAGTCAAACTAAAATTAGATTTGCTGAAAATTGCCTGCAGCGATGTCTGTGAAGCTGACCCTGTCACTTTGCTGTGAAGAAACTCAGTGTACAGGCGAGGTTGCACGGGAGAGCTAAAAGCTTCAGCACACAGGACAGGCTGAGCTCCTGAACTGGAGCCAGGCACAGGACTGAGCACCTGAGAAACAGAACCCCCAGCCCTCCTTTATCTGGGCTGGATGGGCACCAGAGGACCCGCAGGAGATGCTCAGAACTCACACAAGACAGAGCCTCAGTGAGGAGCAGAGGCAGCGAGGAACCAGCCAGGGAGCCTGTGACCGCCACCTCGGGTTGTCTTATTTTGCTTAACAGCATCCAAACCTCAGGAGACCATTTATTACGTTATTTAGACCTCACGCCCTTTCTGTCCCGAAGTAAAACAAACATAAATATGACTCTGCAGTTAGCTCTTTGAACCTGGGTTATTTTTCTGAGAATGTCATCTTCGTCATCAACATCATGGTCATCATGTCAAAATCAACAGGCAAATCCAGTCACCGTGAAGACAGTTTCATGGCATGATTCATACACAATCATTCCATTCTACAGAGAATCTCTTTCAGATTCTTAAGGTGGATTAAAGTGTTATATTTAATTGCCAATTGTGAAATTGGTGGAAGACATTATACTAAAGGAATTGTCTCTGACCTCTCATGGGGTCATATTTCCAGAAAATCATTGTGATCCTGAGTGTGAGCTGACTTTCCAAGTGTTCCCAACCCTCCTCCAGATGAGATGCTGGTCTGTGTGTTCTTGCTCCTTCCCCTGGGGCAGATTCCTCTTGTTTTCCCCAGTTGTTCCCTCCCACAGCTCTCATAATCTCTGTTGGTGTCCCCAACTTCCAGATCTGCTGCCATGACCTGCAGATTAAAGCTCTGATTCCGTAAGAAAGTGAGGGGAGCTGCTTCTCAATAGAGCTTTGATGGGAACCTCTGTTCATACCTCAATTCTTAAGGGGCTGCACCAGTGCCCTAGGATGCTGATTTTCATGGCTTGCTCCTGCAGGGTAATATCTTAGTTTTGTAGTGGGGATCAGAGAACTGGGTCTGGATGCATTTCAGAAGTGTGAGCTCATTCTCTCCCAGACAGATACTATGGGAAAGGAAGATGTTTTGCAGGGGTAAATGATTCAAGAGATTAGGGCAACTCTCCAGTATGAGGTCCCTTAGAATTTCTCACTATAACATGCCTAACACACTCGACTTCAAGCAATCCAGTGTATATTTGTTCTTCATCTTGTAATAGCCTACATTTTATATGACAGCCTCTGCCTCAGGGAATTTCATACTCTGGCTTCATTACTCTCTACAGGAACTTGCCTCTCCCTAGATTTCAAATATTTTGTTTGTTTTCAACCCTCAATTATCTGAAGCATTAAGTAAAATTTGCAAACTTCCATCTTTTCTGTTTATCTGTTATTGTTGATACTATTGTTGTAAGAATGAATATATGGGCCCGGTGCGGTGGCTCATGCCTGTAATCCCAGCACTTTGTGAGGCCGAGGTGGGTGGATCACGAGGTCAGGAGATCGAGACCATCTTGGCTAACACGGTGAAACCCCATCTCTACTAAAAATACAAAAAATTAGCCAGGTGTGGTGGTGCGCACCAGTAGTCCCAGCTACTTGGGAGGCTGAGGCAGGCGAATGGCGTGAACCCGGGAGGTGGAGCTTGCAGTGAGCTGAGATCGCGCCACTGCACTCCAGCCTGGGTGACAGAGTGAGACTCTGTCTCTAAAAATAAATAAATAAATAAATAAATAAATATGTGTGTATATATATATATTTCTCATCTATGTACATTTTTAAGCTTAGCAGCATATTTTTTAGTGAGATCCAGAATAATAAAAGAATCCAAACATTTTTCAGCTGCCTAATAGAGAAACAAATTCTGGTAAATTTTTTCACTGGAATACTACTCAACATTTATAATAAATATATTTCTGGTACACAGAACAACAAGGAAAAGTATCTAAGTATTTATGCTGAGTAAAATAAGCCAGACAAATAAGAATATGTACTATATTACTCCATTTATGTAATTTATTTCAAATGAAAAAAATCTAAAGTAATATACAAAAGATGAGTAGTTACCTGGGAAAAGGGTAGAATAAAGGAAGGGGAAATGTGGAAACATACAGAAGAACAAGAGAAAATGTTGAGGGGAACTCACTTGTCCACCTCAGTAATGATGACGCTTACATCATGTTTTCAATTCTACACTTTAAATACGTGAAGTGTATTATCTGCCAATTAACACTCACAAAATTTATTGCAAGCAAACAAATGAAAAATTAGACCAAAAGCGGTGGTATAAAGATACAAAATATCCATTAAAAGTCAGAAATATCTGAGAATTTACCTCCTGAACCCTAGTTCTCTCCTTATTTTTAGGTGAATGCTAGAGTGCCACAAAAATCACTCAAGTTCTCAATACAGGAAGTGGGTTCCACAAAGCACACTAGGCATGTCCAATTCTTACCTGGAGTTGGTTCAGGGAGTAACTGGGGCCACTGATGTGGAGCACAGGCCAAGCTACCAGGGCTCATTCATCTCAGACATGAGACACACACAGCCCCTCCTCCATGTGTGGGTTTATTTCACATCTGTAAATGGAGAAACCATTGACTTCTACAGAACATAATTTGCACAAATATGTAAAAATATAATAGTGCAAAATGTTTATCACAACACATTTTCATAATAAGACAGTGTATTTCCCAAATACCATAATTGTCACCCAACTCCTGCGGGGCCCTGTCATTTTATCTGGGGTCTGCCGTCTCCTCAGGGTTCCCACCCCAGAGCTCTCTGTGTAGCAGGAGACACGCAAATAGGGCCCTCCCCATGCTGATGAAAACCAGCTAAACCCTGACCCTGCAGCTCTGGCAGAGGAGCCTCAGCCCCGGGATTCCCAGGTGTTTCTGCTTGGTCAACACTGAACATACAGGATTCACCATGGAGTTGGGGCTGAGGTGGGTTTTCCTTGCTGCTATTTTAAAAGGTGATTTATGGAGAACTAGAGCTATTGAGTGTGAATGGACATAAGTGAGCGAAACAGTGGATATGTGTGGCAGTTTCTTACCAGGATGTCTCTGTGTTTGCAGGTGTCCAGTGTGAGATGCAGCTGGTAGAGTCTGGAGCAAACTTGACAAAGCCTGGGTGTCCCAGAGACTCTCCTGTGCAGCCTCTGGATTCACCTTCAGTAGCCATAGCACGCACTGGGTCCCCCAGGCTCCAGGGAAGGGTCTGCAGTGGGTCCCAGTTATTAGTGGTAGTGGTAGTACCATGTACTACGCAGACTCTGTGAAGGGCCGATTCACCATTTCCAGAGACAATACGAAAAACTCACTGTATCTGCAAATGAACAGACTGAGGGCAGAGGATGCAGCTGCATATGACTCTGTGAGAGATACGGTAAGGAGAAGTCAGTGTGAGCCCAGACACAAACCTCCCTTCAGGGTACCTGGGACAACCAGGGAAAGCCTGGGACACTGTGCACTGTGCTGACCCCAGGGGCAAGTGCAGGTGCTACAAGGGCTGGGTTTCCTGTCTTGATCTGGGGCTGCGTTGTTACCAAATTACCCGAGGGAACTTCTCTAGATTTGCAATTCTGTACTAACATTTGATGTCTGTGACTGCTAAACTTCCCTCACATATTTGTTTTTTGTTTGTTTGTTTTGTTTTGTTTTTTGTAACAGGAAGACCCATCCTCACCCCTACAGAAGCCCGAGTGTCACCTTGGGGGCAGAAATGACCCTGCCTTGGTCACATTGATCAGTGTCCTGAGGAAGCCCAGTGGAACCTGGGGAGTGTTTTCCAGTCAGGCTCAGGGCAGAGACCTCCGTGGAAATCTCTGATTAGAATAGGTTTGGGATTCAGACTTGGGCCAAGAGGGAGTCTCACCCATGGGAGGGTCCTTAAATCCTGACAGTTTTTACAGCTGTTCTCCCTCCTCTGGCAAAACTGTGCACATCTGACTCAGAACTGATCCAGCTGGCCCTTACTTGCTAATCAATTTTTCTTCTCTCTACACTTCATTCTCATAGTTCCCTTTTCTTCCCTTCCCAGAAAACAGAGAGTGTGTTTTCTGTGGTCTAAATCTCAGGGCTCAGGCCTGTTACCTGGAACTCAGGTGTGGCCCAGGCTGTGGCTCCTGTGAGACCTGGGGAGGCTGAGGGGACTTTCCCACTCACCATTGCCTGGACCCGCCTGCTGTCTTCTGTGCATGGAGGCATTTGGGAAATGAAGTGGACATTAGTCACTGAGGGGATAATGGTAGCTTTCTCAAATGAGATACTGATGTAGAGCTGATCTTCTGTTTCTCACACTGTCACAGAATTTCCTCCTTCATCTGTGACTTTGGGGAAAGCTAAGGATGGACACTCTATTGTGCTGTGAGCTCTGGGTGACAGCAATTGGAGGGTCTGGCTAGGCAAATCCTACAGGGTTTCAGGTCAATGGAGTTGGAATTTCTGGGAAGACCTACACTGTCATCCTCCATGGAGTCCCATCGTCATCTCTTATGCTCTGATGGAATCAGCCCCACCTAGGTTATCTAGGACAATCTTCCTGACTTAGGAAAAAAATGATGGCAGGCTTTACTAACACTTATATTATAGGATCAGTACAACACCTAGGTTAGTGTGTAACTGAATAAATGACTCTATGAGTCAAGGGGACACATAAAATTGATTGTTGCCATGACATTTATTTATTTATTTATTTATTTATTTATTGGAAACCAGAGTTTTATTGTTACTGAAATGAGTCTCGCCAAGCATTCAAGAATGGGATTTTTTAAGGATAGCTTGGTGGGTTGGGGGCAGCCAGTGAGTCATGAGTACTGATTGATCAGGTCAGAGATAAAATCATAGGGAGCTGAAGGTGTCTTGTGCTGAGTCAGTTCCTAGGAGGGGGCCACAAGATCGGATGAGCCAGTTTATTGATCTGGGTGATGCCAGCTGATCCATCAAGTGCAGAGTCTGTAAAATATCTAAAGCATTGATCTTAGGCTTTATAATAGTCATTTTATCCCCAGGAGCAAACTAGGAAGGGTTAGAATTTGTAGCCACCAGCTGCATGACTCTTAAAACATAATTTCTAATATTTTGGCTAATTCGTTAGTCCCCCAAAGGCAGTCTAGTCCCCAGGACGAAGGAGATTTGTTTTGGGAAAGGGCAGTTATTGTCTCTGTTTTAAACTATAAACTAAACTAAGTTCCTCCCAATGTTAGGTAAGCCTACACCCAGGAATGCACAAGGACAACCTGGAGGTTTGAGGCAAGATGGAGCAGGTTAGGTCACAGCTCTTTCACTGTTTCAGTTGCAGCTTTGCAGTGGTGGCTTCAATTCCTCCCTTTGAGTTTTGACCTTATCGACTTGTTTTGTTTCTCTTTAAGTGATGGTTTTATAACCATCTATGAAACTCTAACAGGTGCTCTTACATGCAGATTTCTGATTAAAAACTCTGAAGATGGTTACAATAGTATAGAGATAAAACTATCAAATAGAAGACTATCTTTTTTGACTTTTCACTTAAAATGTTGCCCAAGAAAACTTTTCTTTTGAGCTATTTATAGCTTTCAACAATTGAGTATAGTCCTGTACATAAAATTTGGAGAATATTTGTTTCTCTCTGTCCACTTTCTCCAGAATTTGGAAACTCTTTGTGAATATCCTTAACTTATGGCAATATGATTTTTCATAAGTGCAGTAAGATTTTTTTTTTTTTGCAACAGGACACAATTGGAGAAACTGGTTATTTTACCAAGGCTTTGACTGTAATGGCGTGCTTCACCTTAAGCAATCGAACTTGACTTATACAGCCAATAAGAGCCCCTTGGGAAAACTGGCCTGTACCTTGTCCACACAGTCTTTGTACAAGGTTCCTGACCAGTGGTAAGTAAAGAATGTCACTTTCTAACAGGCCCAAGAACCCCATGTTTTCCTGGGACCCCAGAGGAAAAATAATTTACCAGACTTACAGGTATTTGATGGTAAAAACTCATGGCTGGGCTTGGCTTTAAAAAAGTCTTATCTGAGATTCCTTATGGAACAGAGTTCCACCAAAGCCAATTTTAAAAGCCTGTGTAAACAATAATTATTTGTATTGTGCTTTATGCAAATAATAAGGCCATGAATAAGACTAAAGTTTATTTTGCAAATAAATCAGTCCTATCTTGATTTGTTTTAAATAAAAATGGGGACAAGAGAGAAAAAAATTATGCTTTAAAAATATAGTACACCTGTTGTTTGCTGTTCTTGTTTTTTTTTCTTCAGCAGTTTGGACGAAATTCTAAATTATTTGTAGGCTACAAAGCCATAAACTAATGCGTTCAAATCTTTACTTTTAAAACTGCGAATTGCACTCCTTACCCTAGTTCTCATTATGTACTTTATAGTATGTTGTTCCCTCAAATGTGGTGCTAGAATTATAGATGACAGCACTGACAGCTTTGCCATGCAAGCCTTGGAACCCCAGGCAGGCCTGCGTGAGTACACTCAGACAGTTGCAATGAGGTTCCAGTCCTCTTATCTTGAGGTCAGCACCTACCCCTACTACGCCCCAGGTCATCAATAAAAAGTTGTAACAGTCTTGGCCCTTCTTACATCTTCATTATCCAACACCATGATTTTTGTTTTTTGCCAAAACAATTGCCAAATATAGTCATAATCATAGGATAAATAATTTTGCTGAAATATATGTGTTATTATTGGTCTTTTGAGATGGAAAGTCCAAGACTGGATTATGCTTTCATGCATTTTTCATAAGAAGTACTTCCACTCTTTTGACAGGAAATGCACAGGGGGTGACATGTGGCTGCAGAAGCTGATGGCATATGGTAGAAATCTGTCCCTGAGTAAAGGAGAGATGGACGGAGGATTGGGTGAAACATTCTTAGGTTTCTGTGCTGTGCAAGGAAGGTGTAAAACATATTTGAGTCTACTACAAGTCAACATTACCCAAGGGGGAACCCCTGTGACTCCAGCAATGACTCTGCCTCAGAATCACTAAAGAGTCCTTCTTTTCATTAGAGTGGACCACAGGATCTGGGCCATAGCATAGACGTCAGAAAGCAGCAGCTTGACACCTGATCCATGTGCATTTTCCTGCCTTTAAAGGGAGGGAGAGAGGTGTATTCTCAGGGTCAACACACTCTTTGTTGATTTTTACACAGAACACTGGCATTTACTTTATTTCATTGAAAGATATATGAACAGATGTGTGTCTGCAAATGATTGTAATTTTCACATTTATTCCAATTGCATAATTTTTAAATTCTGCTTGATGTCCTGGCACACAGTTGTGTTTTCTATAGGTATTTTTCAATAAATCAAGAAAATACATTTTCCACTTTCACTGGCTTTTCTCCATGTGCAGAGGCCTTGAGTAGATCATGTCTGACTATTAGTCTGTTTTCATGCTGCTGATAAAGACATACCAGAGACTTGGAAGTTTACAATAGAAAGAGTTTTATTGGACTTACACTTCCACATGACTGGAAAGGCCTCACAATCATGGTGGAAGGTGAAAGGCACATCTGACATGGTGGCAGACAAGAGAAGAGAGCTTGTGCAGGGATCTCCCTTTTTACAATCATCAGATCTCGTGAAACTCATGCAGTATTACATGAACAGTGCTGGAGAAACCCGCAGCCATAATTCAATGACCTACCACTGGGTCCCTACCATGACACTGGGAATTATGGGAGTTAAATTCAAGATGTGATTTGAGTGGGGACACAGCCAAACCATATTATTTTGCCCCATGGCCCCTCCCAAATCTCATGTCCTCACATTGCAAAACCAGTCATGCCTTTCCTACAGTCCCCCAGAGTCAACTTGTTTCAGCATTAACTCAAAAATCCACAGTCTAACATCTCATCTGAGACAAGGCAAGTCCCTTCCACCTATAAACCTGTAAAGTCAAAAGCAAGTTACTTCCTAGAAACAATGGGGGTACTGGCATTGGATAAACACACCCATCCAAATGACAGAAATTGCCCAAAACAAAGGGGCCCTCTGCAAGTCCAAAATCCAGCAGAGCAGTCAAATATTAAAGCTCCAAAATGATCCCCTATGACTCCATTTCCCAAATCCAGGTCATGCTGATGCAACAGATGGTTTCCCTTGGTCTTGGGCAGCTCCACCCCTGTGGCTTTGCAGGGTACAGCCTCCCTCCTGGCTGCTTTCACAGGCTGGTGTTGAGTGAATGTGCCTTTTCCAGGCACATGGTGCAAGCTGTCAGTGGATCTACCACACTGGGATCTGGAGGATGGCGGCCCTCTTCTCACAGCTGCACTATGCAATACCCCAATAGGGACTCTGTGTTGGAGCTCTGACCCCATATTTCCCTTTCTCACTGGCCTAGCAGTGGTTCTCCATGAGGGTCCCACTGCTGCAGCAAACTTCTGCCTGGACACCCAGGTGTTTTCATACATCTTCTGATACCCAGGCAGAGGTTCTCAAGGACCAGTTCTTGACTTCTGTGTACTCACTGGCTCTACACCATGTGGAAGCTGCCAAGGCTTGGGGTTTGCACCATCTGAAGCCATGGCCTGAGCCCTACATTGGCGTCTTTCAGCCATAGCTGGAGTGGCTGGACACAGGGCACCAACTCCTTAGGCTGCACACAGCACGGGCACCCTGGGCCTGGACCACAAAACCACTTTTGCCTCTTAGGCCTCCAGGCCTGTGATGGGAGGGGCTGCCGTGAAGACTTCTGACATTCACAGGAGACATTTTCCCCATTGTCTTGAGGATTAACATTTGGCTCCTCATTACTTATGCAAATTTCTGCAGCTGGCTTGAATTTCACCTCAGAAAATAAGATTTTCTTTTCTACTGCCTTGCCAGGTTGTAAATTTTCTGAACTTTTATGCTGTTTCCCCTTTAAAACTGAATGCCTTTAATAGCACTCAAGTGGCTTTTTGAATTCTTTGCTGCTTAGAAATTTCTTCTGCCAGACACCCTAAATCATCTCTCTCAAGTTCAAAATTCCACAATTTGCTCCAGTTCCCAATGAGTTCCTCATCTCCATCTGAGACCACCTCAAGCTAGACCTTATTGTTCATATAACTATCAGCATTTTTGTCAAAGCAATTCAACAAGTCTCTAGGAAGTTACAAACTATCCCATATTTTCCGGTCTTTTTCTGAGCCCTGCAAACTCTTCCAATCTCTGCCCGTTACCCAGTTAAAAAGTCACTTCCATATTTTTGGTTATCTTTTCAGCAATGTCTCACTCTACTGGTACCAATTTACTGTATTAGTCTGTTATCACGCTGGTCCCAAGACTGGACAATTCATAAAAGAAAGGTTTATTGGACTTACAGTTCCACATGGCTTGGGAGGCCTCACAATTATGGTGGAAGGTGGAAATCACGTCTCACATGGTGGCAGACTAGAGAAGAGTGCACATGAAGGAAAACTCCCCTTTTTAATCCATCAGATCTCATGAAACTCATTCACTATCACACGAATAGCTCAGGAGAGACCCATGCCCATAATTCAGTCACCTCCCATCAGGTTCCTTCCATGACATGTGGGAATTGTGGAAGTTACAATTCAAGATGAAATTTGGGTGGGGACACAAACAAACCATATCACTGACCTTCTCCGCATCATCTCTCATGACCCCAGAGAAAGAGCAGAGATTTGTCTGGGGTAGGAGCTGCTCCTGTGGAACTTAGAGGCTGCAGACGACCCCAGTGCAGTTTTATGGAGTAAGAGAGTTTTCCCATGTCTGGGAACTTCTAGCATACCCACTGCCAGAGATTGCTGGTTGGCTGTTATTGAGGGGTTCAGAATTAGATCACCTGGTAGCCTATCTCACTGCAGCCCCATTGTGTAACTTACCACCAATGGCCTTCACGTGAGGACTCAATGTTAACTGTTCTGACCTCATTTTCTTACCTCCTTTATTTGTAAGTTTGGTTACAGATTTTTTTTTTACTTTAATTTCAGGGATATGTGTGCTGAATGCGCAGGTTTTAGTTTCTTATTCAAGCCTTATAATTGCTCAACTGATCAGGAATAATACAACATGTATGCAGTTTTGGGGAAATATAAATGAACATCCATGCAAAATTTTTTGTTTGGATATGTCCGTCAGTTACACCCCTATGAACATAATAGCCGGTCCTCACCAGAAATTGCTGGTCCTCACCGATCTCAAAAGCATCTAGATCTTCAACTTCCTAGCCTTGAGAATTCAGAAAACAATGTTTATGATATTTCTGAGCCACCCATTTAATGGAGTTCTGTTATAGCAGCTGAAACAGACTAAACCATTTACCAAGTCTCAGTAAGGGCAGTGAGGGTCCACCATGCTTGAGAGACAAGCATTACTCTCTCATTTGCAGCTCAGGATGACAGAAGCATGATCACGAGCTGATCTGAAAAGAAGATGTGGCTTTCTCTCCCTCAGATCTCAGTTGAAGCCATGGTGTCACATCTCTATGGTGGAGACTAAATTCCAGTCTGTGATGTAATGGATGCCTGCCTCCTCCCACCCTCACTTACGAGACAGAGTTTCCATGCCATGCGTTATTGACCAAGAACCAAGAAGGACTCCAATTATTCTCACCCCTGCTCACTTGTATGGCAGAGGTTCTGGGGATATTCCTGGGAGAGGCATAATGAGACTATTTAAGTCCACGATTCCCAAACAGTTTTATGCTCTTAAAGCAGGAGTATCACTTTGAGATATATGAATAATTTCATGTGCACTAAGGTGGAGGCTGTTATATTTTTATAGGTAAAGATGCATGGCATAAAGACAGAGATACAGCACTCTGGAAATTGTGTGACTATATTTGCAGTTGACTGTGAATAATTTTTACCATGAAGTTATCCTAAAACACATAATATATTTTTACTGTAAGTAATTAATGAAAAGCTGACAGCTCCACAAGAGCAATATCCACTTGGTTTAGCAGAGAGAATGAGAAATAGCATAATTTAAGAATAATCAGTTAGACACTGTGCCATGTGCCTGTATTTTCAACTAGTGAGGATGCTAATGTGGGAAGATCACCCAAGCCCAGGATTTCAAGGCCAGCCTGCAAGATATTGCTAGACCCATTTTCTTAAAAAAAAAAAAATAACATTCTGGGTCATGACAAACCTCAAAAACTGACCCTCTAAATAGGAACAAATTTAATTGCATTAAAATGTGGATGAATTTTTGACACAAAACAGTGACAGCATGCCAGCAATGAGTACAGAATAACATCCAGTTGTTATGTTAAGAGATACAGACTCCGAAAAAGAGACATCAGGTAGAGGCTGTCAAAGGCCTCACTGCCTAATGACTGCTTTTCCATTGATACTGTGTGTATATCCCGGAATGCACCTGTGAATGAGGACATCATGTCTTTCATAGTGTGAGAGAAAGAGACATTACTACCCATCTGACAAAGGATTGATCAGAATATACCAGGATCTCAGACAACTCTATAGGAAAAATATCTAGTAATCCGAATAAAAAGCAGGCGATATTTATTTCTTAAAATAAGACTTTCAAATTGCAAACAGGCATATAAAATGTGCTGTGTAACACTGATCATCAGAACAATGCAAAACAAAACTACAGTGAAATATCATCTCATCTGATTTTAAAATGATTTCATCCAAAAGCCAGACAGAAACAAATGCTGGGAAGGATATGGAGAAATGAGAACACTCATAACCTGTTGGTGGGCACTTAAGTTAATAAAACCACTATGGAGAACAGTTTAGAGTTTCCTCAAAACCTAATAGTAGTGTTGTCATATAATCCAGCAATCCTGCTGCTGGCATGTACTCCCTCCCACAAAAAAAAAATGTTGTTTGCACTACCATGTTTGTTATAGCACTGTTCGTAATAGCCAAAATTTGAAAGCATCCTAACTGCCCATTAACAGATGATGGATAAATAAAATGTGGTACATATAGCATATGGATTAATATTATGCCATAAAGAGAATGAGATTTTTTCATTTGCAACAACGTGGATGAAACTGGAGTTCATTATATTAATTGAAATAATCCCAGAACCGAAAGACAAACTTCACATATTCTCATATATTTGTGGAAGTTAAAAATTAAGACAACTGAACTCGTGGAGATAGAGAGTGAAAGGATGGTCACCAGAGGCTGGGAAGGTCTATGGTAGATGGGGATTATTGGGGATGCTCAATGGATGAAAAAAGTGGTTAGAAATAACAAATAATACATAGTATTTGATAACACAACAGACTAAGTATAATCCTTAATAACATAATTATAGATTGTAAAATAACTAAAAGTGTATAAATGGAATGTTGGTAACTCAAAGAATTAATACTTGAAAGGATGTAGGAACCATTCATCATAATGTGAGTATTATGCAGTTCATGCTATATCAAAGTCAGGTACCCCATAAATATACACATATACCATTTACCCACAAAAATTCAAAATTAAAGTATTTATGTATCTCATCTTCTGTATCTATATTACATTAAACCTAAGAAGATACTGGTTTCTTCACACTACCAAGATCCACATAGACATCCGTAGCCTTCTTTCTTTGCCTGTCCATAATCTGACATTGAAAAATGAGGAAACCTTTCCTATCATATGACATTAATTTACTTAGTGCACAATTTCAAAATACACAAATTGTGTTAGAATTATTAAACTGACCCTTGTTGAAAATATGTTTATCGACTAGAATACCGTGCTTATATGCAGCTTATTTATATTTTACAATCACAACATCAAATTATTTCCAAAGATACTTGTTTCTGATATTCATGCCCCCCTTTCTGCAGTGAAATTAGTACAAACCTGTTTATCATTGTTAGATATTTTTATACAGCTTTCATTTTATTCTGTGTTTCATGACCAGCTAAATACTTTTGAAGTTGTATGCATTTAGGTTAACACTTTGTCTCAAAAAATTATGAGTTTTCACAAATTATTTATGCCATGTGTTTATCATTGAACACCATGAAAATAGTTTCATTGTGATTAAAAAGTGTGTGTTTCACCTAATCCACACACCTTTTCCCCAGATTCCTGGAAAACCACAAAGGTTTACTGGATCTATATTTTTGTCTTTGGCAAAATAGCCTGGCTATTCTCTTAGCTTCTTCTGCAAAGCATCAAGATTCACCTTCACTGACTGCAGCATTTATTGGGCCCTGATGGCTGGAGGAGAGGGGCTGGAGTGGGTGGTAGCCATGAGTGACCCAAGTGGAAGTTCTCAGTGGTGCTCTGCTCCAGCACAAAGAAGATTCACAGTTCCTGGGGACAACACTTAACATCACAATCTCCCTTAAAATTATCTACTGGAAAGCTGAGGAGTAGGCAGTGTATTACTGTGAGAGACACAGTGAGGGACATATGGGTGAGTCTAGACGCAAACTTCCCTGCAGGAAGACAAGAGGGGACTTTGTGGTAAATGGTGCTCAGAACCACTAGGGGACACTCAGAACCACTAGGAGACACTCAGGATAGCAGAAGGTGCTCAGGATGCCGCAGGGTGCTCAAAACACTAGGGGTGCTCAAGACCAGCAGGGGGCACTCAGGACACCAGGAGACACTTAGGACATCAGGGGGCGCTCAGGACACCAGGGGGCGCTCAGCACAAGCAGGGGCCACAGAATGACAAGGGTGCATTCCAGACCACCAGGAAACACTCAGGACCAACAAGAGATTCTCAGAAACCACCAGGTGTAACAGGACCACCTAAAGGCCCACAAGACAACCAGGAGACACTCATGGCCACTGAAGAACATTGAGGACACCAGGGGTTCAGGGCCAACAGGGAGTGCTCGGGGCCACCATGGGGCTTTCAGTAACCACGAGGGAATCAATCACTCAGGACACCACGGTTTTCTTAGGAGGCAGCTCCACATCAGGTGCCTGGGGAAGGTGACGTTTGCTTTTAGACCTAGCTGATTCCTGAGCTGGTCAAGCAAAAGTCTTCCCACGATCTCTCACTATTTCTTCCTTGTAACCCATGGTTTCTTTCACATACAAATCATTAACTTAGGATAGGAATTCAATTCAACTTTTAACCTTGCATATTTTTAGAATAATAATAGCAATAGTAATTCAATGTGTTTTGATAATAAGAAATTGTGTATGCCTAATTCAAACTCTGGTTCCACGCATGGGTTTTTGTTTCTTGTGCTGTGCCAGTCACACTACAGTCAATGCTTTTCTAATAATAACTCAACAATGTCACGGTGTTAAGTTTCCTTTCATTTTGTCTGCCATTTGTGGAGATGAAACACCACTTTCACGGGTCAGTTCCTCCACTTTGGTTGGGTTCTGGTCTTCTGCTCTTCACACTGTTTCTCCACCTTCCCTTCTGTCAAATCCTTTTGTCTTCCTCAGTCTCCTGGCAAAGAAGCAACAAATCTATTTATTTTGTCTCCTCCACGTCTGGTGAATCTGTTCACTTCTCTTCATGATCATTGAACCCAACCATGTTTAGAAGGATAACAGTTCACCTTACAATATGCTCATGTAGGTCAGGTGCAGTGGCTCACTCCTGTAATCCCAGCACTTTGGGAGGCCAAGACGGGTGGATCATCTGAGGTCGAGTTTGAGATCAGCGTGGCCAACATGGCAAAACCCTGTCTCTACTAAAAATAGAAAAATTAGCCAGGCATGGTGTCGGGCACCTGTAATCCCAGCTACTCGGGAGGCTGAGGCAGGAGAATCACTTGAACCCAGGGTGAGAGGCTGCAGTGAGCTGAGATAATGCCACTTAACTCCAGCCTGGGCGACAGAGAGAAACTCCATCTCAAAAAAAAAAGCATATGTTCATCTATCCGCAGACTCTCTGACATCGTCACCCTTTTCTAGGGTCCTGCAGACATCACCCCACAACATCCAGTCCTTTTCCTAAGTACCACAGAGTGGGCTCTGCAGCTCCTGCTGCTCTCTGTGTGCTCAGCGCTGAGGCTCACCAGTGCTTTGATGATGAAGTTCAAATCCCTAATGTGTTTGCAATTCTCAGACAACCCTCTAGCAAGCTGCCATTGTGAGTGCATTCTGGGGATCCTGGGCTGATTTCAGGTCCATATTGCTGGATGTTCTCTAGCATCCAGGCGTGTTGGCAAATAAACATCTAGAATTTGTATTGAAAATTTGTGGAAAATCAATGGTAGAAAACAATCCTAATTTCTAAATAAGAACATTTTATCCTGACTTTATAAAAACACAATGTTAATTTAACCAATAATGTAATAAAATGTGTTTAAAGTGATGTTTATCTTGTTATTAGATGTATTAATAATTGGTATTTTAAAGTATACTAACAGCATAAATGACAAACAAACCAACACAGCGATTATACATAAATACCATTGTACATTAATTAATTTGGCAAGAATGGCATTTATTTTCATTTCTACCAAACCTTGCCTTTAAATATGTTTGTTAATTGGCATTAGGATAGTGAAACAATCACACAGAGCAACAACATTTTGGAATATTACATTATACTATAAAATAGTACATTCGATTCAATTATATAATTAAAATAACATTAAATAAATTCATGTTTTGGTTTGATATTTGGATATGTGTTCATTTTTGTATTTTCTTTTTTTGTATCTTTTGTAGAGATGGGGTTTCACCATGTTGGACAGGCTGGTCTCGACTTCCTGACCTCAGGTGATTTATCGGGGGAACCCACCCCCAATATTTCAATGTAGGGTCTTTCTATTTTCTGTAAGTGTCGGCTGGTCTGAGAAATAAAGAGAAAGAGTACAAAGAAAGGAATGTTACAGCTGGGCCACCGGGGGTGACATCACATATTGATAGGTCCGTGATGCCCCCTGAGCCGCAACACCAGCAAGTTTTTATTAGGGATTTTAAAAGGAGAGGGGGTGTACGAACAGGGAGTAGGTCACAAAGATCACATGCTTTAAGGGGCAAAAAGCAGGGCAAAGATCACATATTCCTTCCCCAGGGTATTAATTACTAATATTCCTTGCTGGGAAAGAATTTAGTGATATCTTCCCTACTTGCACATCAGTTTATAAGCTCTCTGCAAGAAGAAAAATATGGCTCTATTCTGCCCGACCCCGCAGGCAGTCAGACCTTATGGTTATCTTCCCTTGTTTCCTAAAATCGCTGTTGTTCTGTTCTTTTTCAAGGTGCACTGATTTCATATTGTTCAAACACACATGTTTTACAATCAGATTTCATATTGTTCAAACACACATGTTTTACAATCAATTTGTACAGTTAATGCAATCATCACAGGGTCCTGAGGTGACTTACATCCTCAGCTTACAAAGATAACAGGATTATGAGATTAAAGAAATTATGAAAGTATTGATTTTGGGAACTGATAAATGTCCATATTAAAATGAAATCTTCACAATTTATGTTTAGAGATTCCAGTAAAGACAGGTGTAAGAAATTATAAAAGTATTAATTTTGGGAACTGATAAATGTCCATATTAAAATGCAATGCCTAGGGCCAACAAAGGAGTCATATTAATATGAAAAATAATAGCTGAATATTTTGGAAATGACACATGCAGTAACAAATGTCTATATGAAATTAAGAAGATATTGACACAAAATTGAGAAAAAATTAACATAATTATGCTCACTACTGGTTTATAAAATGCCTATAATAACACTTTTTAAATCATATTATAGAAAATAAAATAACTATATAAATAGCACTCTCTTTGCTTGATTTTAGTATTTGGTGCTTCAAATGTTTTTTATACAAATAAACATTGGTCATTTTTTGATGGTAATTTCAATATTTTCTTCCAGAATACATGTTCATAAATGTAATTGAAATTGTATAATTTTCAGAAACTTATTTTATCAGTTGTGACTTGTATTTTTATGATAGTCTTTTTACATTTATATACTTTTGATTCAGAATAATTATAGATAAAAAAATTATAAAGTTAATACAGTGTGTTCCCATCTCCAAGTATCTCCTAAGATGAATATCCTCTATCATCATAAGACATGGTGTTAACACATTTACATTGATAAGTGTAAATATATTCAATACCAGACCTTATTTTATTTATCATTTTTCCAATAATTTCTATTGTAAATGAAAAATAAAATTCTAAGCTTCCTCAAGCAACTAAATGAACTCAACCCTCAGCCAAGGGAATTTCAAAGTAAATTCTAAAACTTGTTCCAGCAATGATGGGAAAGTGAGAGGTCAGACATGCCTCATTACATGCTCCTCTCTTTGGAATTAAGGCACCAGTGGCCAGCATTAGTACTACAACAAAGATCTTAAGACGGGCAAAACTATATTTTTGCTGTAAACACTTTCTATAGCAAAAAGACATCAAATTACAACTTGATTCTAGTATAGCATCACATGACAAATAGCAAAACCTAATGATTTATTCTGTATGAAATCTGCTACCTGGAGGCTTCATCTACATAATAAGAACTATGATCTCCAGGACCCCTTATCTTAATCCAGACACTCAGTTGTAATGATTGTATTACCTTACATTTCAACCAATTGCCAATCAGAAAATCTTTGAATTCTCCTATGTCCTGGAACCCTGTGCATAAACTTTCCTGCCTTTCTAGACTGCATAAATGGTATAGCTCACATGTGTTGATTAATATCTGCCTGTAACTTCTGACCCACTAAAGTATATAAAATCAAGCTGTAATCAAGCCATTTTGGACATGTGTTCTCAGGAATTCCTGGGGTCGTGTCATGGGCCTTGGTAACTCATATATATCTCAGAATGAGCCATTTTAAATATTTCATAGTTTGTCCCTTTTAGTGGATATCTTCTTTTCTTTTTTTTGGGACAGAATCTCTCTTTGCTGTTGCTTTCGTATATTTGTTTGTTTCCAGATTCCATCAAGGCCATCAGTTTGAATTCAGTTGTCTTGTTCCTTTATTCTCTTCTGGTAAATGACAGTTTGTATTTCTGAAGTTTTCTAGTTGAATATTTTATAGATAAAAATTTATCAAGTAGGTTGATAGTGCCATTTGGGACTCTTATATCTTTACCTATTTAATCATTGCTTGTTTTCTCAATCACAATGAGTGTTGATTTCTCCATGTTCTATACATGTTAGTCTATTTTCTGTTCCAAATCCATTTATTAGGTCTTTTAAAATGGATTTTGGAAAAGTTGATCCTATTATTTTATGCAATATTTCACTTGAGTTGCAAAGGTATTCTTTTTATGATTATTTTGTCTGAAATTAACATAGCTATTCAAGTTTTCTTTGGTTTATATTTTCATGGTCTATATTTTTCCATCTTATTTCTTCTCTTTGTGAATATGTTAAGAAGTTTTCTTGGAGAAAGATAATTGCTGGGTCTTTTTTTTTTTTAGTCAACTATGAGGAATTATTTTTTAATGATATTACCCTTTTGTCCAATAATGGTTGTTTTGTCTTTTTACAATAATATGTATTGTTTCTATTAATTTATTATTTAATTATTATTGATGAATATCTTATTGGTTACCATAAGGATAACAATAAGACATTTCTATAATTGAATTCTAATTCAAAAATGTAGTACTTCTTTTTCTTTTTTATTTTTTTGAGACGGAGTCTCACTCTGTCGCCCAGGCTGGAGTGCAGTGGCACAATCTCAGATCACTGTAAGCTCTGCCTCCTGGGTTCTCGCCATTCTCCTGCCTCAGCCTCCCAAGTAGCTGGGACTACAGGCACCTGCCACCATGCCCGGATAATTTTTTGTATCTTTAGTAGAGACAGGCTTTCACCGTGTTAGCCAGGATGGTCTCTATCTTCTGACCTTGTGATCTGCCTGACCTGGCCTCCCAAAGTACTGGGATTACAGGCATGAGCCACCGTGCCCAGCCTACCCCTTTATATATAGAACAGAGATATTATAACTATATATGTCTAATTCCTCTTTTCTATCCCTTTTTTATTTTATCAGTTTGTAATTACATAAGCTATAAAAATGTAATATTGACATTTTTATAATTGCTTTACACATTTATGTAATAAAGAAAACACAAATGCAAAAACTAAATTTAAACCTCATTTTTTTCATTGTTGACAATCTTTATCTTTTGGATACATTCAGGTATTGGATGTATATCATATGGCTGCTCATCTAGAAACTCTGCTAAAACGTCTATGGCAAGATTAATATGCTGGGAATAGATTTTCTCAGGATTTGTTTGTCCGACAGAGTATTTATTTGTCTTTGATTTATCATCTCAAGAGACAATGTCAAGAAGATGCTGTTTCTGCAAATGGGCAATCTGCAAACCAAGGACACGTCACTACATTACTGTGCAAGAGAAGCACATGAGGAAAGGCCGGTGTGAGACACAAACCTCCAGGAACACCTGGGCTAATGAGCTGCAGGGGGTGCTCAGGACCCACTGATCAGTCAACCACAGAGGGGAGTGCAAAGGTTAGGACTGCTTTCCTGCAAGCATTGAAAAAAGAAGAAAAAAACTCCGTCTGACAGTTTCTCCAAGGAACTTCTGTAATTTTAGAATTCTGTGCCTACCAATGACATCTCCAAATATTTTTTTAAAATATTGTGTTTTGAGGACATACTCTCACATGGACAAAACACAAATTGACACAGAGATGAAAAGCCCTCAACCATAGTCACCAAAATTGGAGACATGTAGAAGCTCACTGGGACCTGTTGAGTCTTCTCCAATCACACTCAGAACAGAGACCTTAGTGGGTCTCCCTTAGAGTAGTCATTAAGGATGGTGATAACAGCCTAAAGATGGTAGACCATGGTCAGTGTCATATAGAATATGGGGACCCTCACAAGTTTTTTGTCTGACCCTTCTCCTGACACTAAATTATGCAAATTAATAACACTGATCTGGTGCTTCTTTTGATTCTAATTTATTTTATTTTTAGTTGTCGTTCTCACTTTTCCTTTGGATTTTCCTGCTCCCTGGAAAAGGTAAATGTGGTCTCCGTGACCTCAATTCAAGGGCTGAAGCCCTTTCCCTGTAGCTCAGCTGGGGCTCAGGCTGTGGCTACTGCAGCCATGTGGAAGAGGCTGAAGGGACTTTCTTCACTCTCCTTGCTCAGGACCATCCACTGTATTGTGTATAGGCTTCTCTGGAAATGCAAGTGGCCATTTGTAGTGAAAGAAATATGTTTGTCTGGTTAAAATGGGAGGTGGATGTAGAGTTAATTGGCTGCTACATAAACTGTCCTTCTCCACCAGTGCTTTTAGGATGAGATTGTGAAATTTGTAAGAATCAAAATGGAGTCACATATGTTAAAACCCTGACAAATGGATTCAGGAAGTGTAGGGAGAATTCTTACACACATATCCCTGACAACAAGAACTATCATAAAATAGTTCTTGCAAAAAGACCAACATGACCTCATAATCATGACTTCTGCAAAGACTTCTACTCAGAATCTACTTGCCCAGCCTTAGATTAATGCCATCTGAATTACACTGATCATGTTACTATCACTGCTCCTCACCACAGATGCAACACCCTCCTGAGTCCTGAAACCTGACTCCATCCCATAGAGTAGGGCACAGATGAGGGGAATGCAAATCTCCACCAGCTCCACCCTCCTCTGGGTTGAAAAAGCCGAGCACAGGTCCCAGCTCAGTGACTCCTGTGCCCCACCATGGACACACTTTGCTCCACGCTCCTGCTGCTGACCATCCCTTCATGTGAGTGCTGTGGTCAGGGACTCCTTCACGGGTGAAACATCAGTTTTCTTGTTTGTGGGCTTCATCTTCTTATGCTTTCTCCACAGGGGTCTTGTCCCAGATCACCTTGAAGGAGTCTGGTCCTACGCTGGTGAAACCCACACAGACCCTCACGCTGACCTGCACCTTCTCTGGGTTCTCACTCAGCACTAGTGGAGTGGGTGTGGGCTGGATCCGTCAGCCCCCAGGAAAGGCCCTGGAGTGGCTTGCACTCATTTATTGGGATGATGATAAGCGCTACAGCCCATCTCTGAAGAGCAGGCTCACCATCACCAAGGACACCTCCAAAAACCAGGTGGTCCTTACAATGACCAACATGGACCCTGTGGACACAGCCACATATTACTGTGCACACAGACCACAAAGACACAGCCCAGGGCACCTCCTGTACAAAAACCCAGGCTGCTTCTCATTGGTGCTCCCTCCCCACCTCTGCAGAACAGGAAAGTGCAGCTGAGATACGTTTTCCTGCCAGGGCCTGCATTTCCCATCCCCATTAGACTCAGAGCCCTGTCTTCCTCCTTCTTCTTTAATAATAAATGGCATGACTCCTGTTAATAGTTCATAGAAGCAGAAGCTGAGTCCTGTTTGTCAAACATTCAGCATGAAATGTTCATGTTACCTGGGCCAGATGCATCACTGGTATGTGGCCGCCAGTTTAATGGGCTCATACTACTCCAAGCGGCCGAATACAAAACAGCAGAACATATGCCTTTATTAAACTGCAGGAAATGACACTGGAGAAAAATGTGGGGATAAGGGAGCAGGAGGAATTGTGAAAATTCAGATAATAGCTTTTCTCGTAGAGAGAAAGGTGCGTTAATAAAATAATTTTATAAAACAATAAAACAGATGGAATGTGTCCCCATCACGGAGTGTCTCACAGTAACAGTGCAGAAATAAATTTCTAAAAATGTCGTAGGGTAGGTGTGATAGACAAGGCTTATTTCCACACAGGGAGCCCATAAATACCCATGTAATTAAAAATCCAGCTCTTAGAAAGGGAGTGCCTCAACTTGACATCAGAAACCCACGTCAGTGAGTCTGAGGAGCAATGTGGAAAAGAAATGGAAAATTCAACAATACCTTTCTTATGAAAATCCTAGCTCACGTTTCAACATGAAACATAACTGTCTACAATTTTAGGAAAACCATCCCATGGCAACAAGTCACTACACTCAAAAGGTACTGAGCTAACAGAGTTCCAGCAGTGAGCAGGTCAGTGCTGAAATCCCCGGAGAATCAAGGCTCTCAGGTACGTTGTACAAAACCCAGAACTGAGCCACACAATCTATGGTCAAGTGATCTTTGACAAAGTCAACAAAAATATGCACGGGGAAGAGGCCACGCTCTTCATGCCATGTTGCTGGGACAATTGGACTGCCATATGCAGAAGAATGAAACTGGACACCAACCTGTCGACATATACATAACCATAAGAAAATGGACTGAAGGCTTGATTATAGGACTTCAAAATATAAATGTACTCGAAGAAAACACCAGGAGAACTCCTCTGGACATTGGGCTTAGTAAATAATTTACCACAAAAACCTCAAAAGCACAAGCAATAACATCAAAAATAGATGAATGGAATTTAGTTAAACTAAAGAGCTTCCACACAGCAACAGAGTGAACAGACAAATTGCAGAATGCTAAAAAATATTTGCACACATTGCATCTGGCAGGGGACTGATAGGCAGAATTTACACGGAACTGAAACAACCCCACCACAACAACAGCTATGAAAAAACAAATAACCTCATTAAAAATTGGCAAAGGACACGAGTAGGAATTTTTTTAAAGAACACATATAACTGGACAAGTGCTAAACATCACTGATTATCAGGGATATGCAAATTAAAACTGCAAAGAGGTATCTTACACCAGTCAGAATGGCTACTATAAAAGAAGCAAAAATAGCAGACATCGGTGGCGATCAAAGGCAAAGGGAAGTCTCAGTCATTGTTGGTGAGGATGTAGATGAGCACAGCCTCTATGGAAAACAATGTGGAGATTTTTCAAAGAAATAAAAGCAGAACTACCTTTGATTCAATGACCCCACCATTGGGTAACTACCCAAAGGAAAAATAAATCATCATATCAGAATGATAACCAAACTTTTGTTTTCCTGCAGAACTATTCACAGTAGCATAGATATCAACCTAAGGAATTAACCTGTGTCTTACAACAGATAATTTTATTTAAAAAGTCACATATATATACAATTAAATACTATCCAGCCATATTAAGGAATGGAATCATGTATTTTGCAGCTACATGGATGGAACTCTGGGTCATTATTTTAAGTCTAATAAACGAGAAGTAGAACAGCACACACCACACTTTTTCACTTATAAATGGGAGCTAAGTAATATGTGCACAGGGCCATAGAGAAAGGAATGATGGACATTGCAGACTCAGAAACATGGGAGAGCAGAAGTTGGGAGAATGGTGAGAAATTACTTAAAGGGTATGATGTACATTATTTGGATCATGGATACATTAAAGCCAAGACGACTATGCAATATATATATGTAACAAAATTGCAGTCACTCCCCGTAAATGTATACGTATAAAATAAAAACAAATACAATTGAAATGTGAAATTATTAACAGTTGATCAACAATCCTGAAAATTAAAACGTGTGATCAATAAATGAAAATAATTTTAGTTGAACTTCATCAAATTTTAAAACATTTTCTATTCAACCGACTATCAAGAAACTGAAGGACAAGCTTCAGGGGAGAAAGTATTTGCAAATCATACATCTAACAATGTAATTATAATAAGAACCCTCAAAACTCAACAGTAAAAAGAAGCAATCTGTTTATAAAATAGGCAAAGGTTTGTGCAAACTTTCTATCAAAGAAGATGTACAGATGACACATCAGCATATGAATGTAATTTTCCAGTAGAGAAATTCAAATCAAGACCAAAAGGAGACACGACTTTAGGCTTTAGAATGAGGAAAAATAAAGAAGAAATACTGACAGTACCAGTGTCAGTGAGCATGCCAGGCCCCGAGAGACTAAAATATTGCTAGTGCAAAATGAAAGAGTTTCTGGGAGAACTGTTTACAGTTTCTTATAAAATTAAACATGTCCTTAATCCATGACCTAGAACTCTCATCCCTGAGTATGTCCTACAAAGGATTAAAATCATGTGTTCACACACACACGTATTCAGATGTTTAACATTGTGTGTGTGTGTGTGTGGTGTGTGTGTGTGTGTGTTAGAAACTAAAAACAACATGAACATCTTTGAAAATTTGACACAAACCATTACAGGTGAACTCCAGACTTTCTTCTGAGTGACAGAAGGCCTGCCTGAAAGATCCCCAGAGACACAGTCATGGATTTCACTGTCACCCTCACATGTCACTGGCTTGGGCTGGGCTCTCTCTGGCTCTTCCCTGACCAGGACCAGATGTTGAGCTCCACTACCTGCAGTTGGAAGTTTATATTTTCAACAATGCACTGAGGGCTAAGTTGCTCTACAGACTGAACCAAACAAACATGGGCGCCTTTGAACAAACAGTGCCTGACATTTGTACCGACCCCAGGAGAACTCTTCCCGCTCTCTTTCTTCTTGGTTCTCTCCTGCAGGCCAGCAGCCCTGCAGTTTAGCCTGGACCTCTCATGCATCTACCCATCTCCTCCCAAGTGCATTTTACCACAGCCTCCACTGTTTTTGTAATTCTCCACACTCTGTTGTAAATGAAGTCAGGTCCTTCGAGACCAGATTCGGGACTCTATTTTATGACCAAATTTCAGCCTCACCCCCACTCCTGAGACAGAGCTCCTAAATAAGATTCTGCAGGTGGAGATTAAGAGCGTTTTTCTTCCTCAATGTAGGAGATGAGTGCTCAGTGGAGGGATGGGGAGGAGCTTTCCACTTTACCAGCATGCAGATCCTGCTGGGGTGGACCCTCTGCCATAGGAGCAGGGCTGGGAACCAGGCAGCCAATGTCCTCCTCCTTGGTGCTGCACTCAGGGCAGAGCCTGCATCCATGAGTGGGGCTGTGTGGAAGAAGTGAGTCTCTGGTTCTCAGTAAGTCTTGTCTAGAACTGAGCCTCAGCAGCATGACCTGTGGGCAAGGTCGGAGGGCCAATGTCCTGGCCCCTGGGGAAGAGTGTGCTCTGCTGGGAGCTGGGCAGAAGGAATCCTGTCTACTTGGCTGCAGCCATCTGTGGTGGAATTTACATCATGCTGAGCTCGGGCATAGAAGGAAGGAAGAGAATCTTTGATCAAATATCAATATCATGTCTGACCTTACTGAGGTTTTGTAGATTATCTCGAATAAATGTTCCTTCACTTTCTGTATGTTGACAGGGCCTTTCCAGACCCGTTAATTTTTCAAAATTAATCTCACCAGTTTCATGGAGGCATGGATATATCGAGCTCCTTGTACCGTCATGTGAGATGTGGAACTGTTTCCTTCACTGGTTATAAAATAATGGGTTGACTTTTTTCCCAACACTTTACAGATACCATCAATTGTCCTATTGCTTATATGGTTATAACCAAAGCAATGCTGATATTATTCATTTCTATTCTATTGCAAGGTATGCCCCCTCTACTCGTCTCCAATTGCTGGCATGTATTTCCATTTGTCTGTATGTTTTAGTAATTTGAATATGATTCACCTAAGAGTGTTTGTGTGTGTGTGGGTATGTGTGTGTCGTGTGTGTGTGTGTTAAGGGCTTATCCTGCTATTTGGTGTTCTCTGACCTGCACTGATCCATGACTTACAATTTCTCTAATTTGGAGGAAAAAATAGAGGGAAAGTGAGTTTGAGTCCAGACACAAACCTCACTGAAGTGAGCACAGGATTCTAACCCCAGGGGTGCTCAGGACACGCTGATCACAAGAGCCAGCCTCAGGGGCAGGTGCAGATGGAGGCTGAGCTCTTCTTTCCCGTCAGCACTGTGGCTTCTTCTCCATAAAACATCTTCCCTTGAGGAATTTATCTGAATTCATGATTTTTTGCTTATCTCCAAAGTCTCTGAAATGAAAATGTTTGTTTTAATAAAAGAAAAATCTTCTCACATGTGTAAAAGACAGTTTCCTACAGTCGCTTAATCTTGTCTTTAAATGTCAATTATCAATGCTTCTGAAGTAAATCAGCTAAATCTATAAAAGACACTTTGTTTAACTCAACACTGCAGCCCAGCATGACAGCACTGAAAGGGCCAGCAAGCAGCAGGCAGGATACGGTGCATGCCAGACACTGGGGCGGAAGGAGTTAGTATCCAGTGCAAGAGAAGAAAGTGCCCGCGGTGGTCACTGTCAGGACCCAAGCTCACAGCTCCAATTGCAGGTGACCCCATGCAAAGGAAAAGATACCCTCACCAATGTTTAGTGTGGATGTCGAGTCTGATGGTGCCACATTCACACACCACGTGAATATGGAAAGATTTACCAACTCCATTATTGAGGCGTCTGCTGAGGGCTGCACAGGCCTCTCAATAAAGTCCAAACTGGCTCAATAGAGCAGGAAAGAAGCTGCCTCAGGGTTTTTATGATGGTTTGGTGTTGAAGGAATGGTGGGGCTTCCTACTAAGGGGAAGGAGCTTGTATAATTTGAACCTAATACTGGCATCCAGTGAGGACACTTCCATGATTTTCTACTAAATTTCCCATGTGTGGGGGACAAAAGTGAAGGAAAAGGATTAATCCTGTCATCAGTAATGAGGCATCAAAATAGAGTCTGATGACTTATTCTACTTAGCAACTTAAGCAAATGAGTGAAAAATGAGGTAAGTGTTCACTCTGGGTGGACAGCAAATAGGTCTGCAGAAAATAGAGTTTTTTTAAGTGTAAGCACATAACAAAAAGAAAGAGAAGAACAAATTGAACAGGGATCTTGGACCAATGTCCTGGGTGGAAGCTCTTCACTCTGTGAGATCATCAGCTTGCTCTGAGGGTCTCGGGTCAAGTCCTTCTTCAATATATCTCAGGCCTTACAGGATACATGGGAATGCTCAGCTTGGTGTCCTTCACTAGGGAAAAGAAAGAGAAATCAGACTGTCACTGTGTCTATATAGAAAGGGAAGACATAAGAGACTCCATTTTGAAAAAGACCTGTACTTTAAACAATTGCTTTGCTGAGATGTTGTTAATTTGTAGCTTTGCCCCAGCCATTTTGACCCAGCCACTTTGAGCCAACCTGGAGCTCACAAAAACATGTGTTGTATAAAATCAAGGTTTAAGGGATCTAGGGCTGTGCAGGACGTGCCTTGTTAACAAAATGTTTACAAGCAGTATACTTGATAAAGGTCATCCGCATTGTCTACTCTCAATAAACCAGGGGCACAGTGCACTGTGGAAAGCCGCAGGGACCTCTGCCCTTGAAGGCGGGGTATTGTCCAAGGTTTCTTCCCATGTGATAGTCTGAGATATGGCCTCGTGGGATGAGAAAGACCTGACCGTCCCCCAGCCTGACTCCCGTAAAGGGTCTGTGCTGAGGAGGGTTAGTAAAAGAGGAAAGCCTCTTGCAGTTGAGTTAGAGGAAGGCCACTGTCTTCTGCCTGCCCCTGGGAACTGAATGTCTTGGTATAAAACCCGATTGCACTTTTGTTCAATTTTGAGATAGGAGAAAAACCGCCTTATGGTGGGAGGCGAGACATATTTGCAGTAATGCTGCCTTGTTATTCTTTATGCCGCTGAGATGTTTGGGCGGAGAGAAACATAAATCTGGCCTACATGCATGTCCAGGCATAGTACCTTCCCTTGAACTTAATTACGACATAGATTCTTTTGCTCACATGTTTTTTGCTGACCTTCTCCCCACTATCACCCTACTCTCCTACTACATTCCTTTTTGCTGAAATAATGAAAATAATAATCAATAAAAACTGAGGGACCTCAGAGGCCGGTGCCAGTGCAGGTCCTTGGTATGCTGAGTGCCGGTTCCCTGGGCCCACTGTTGTTTCTCTATACTTTGTTTCTGTGTCTTATTTCTTTTCTCAGTCTCTCATCCCACCTGACGAGGAATACCCACAGGTGTGGAGGGGCAGGTCTCCCCTTCGTACTTGAGCAGCCTTACAACTGGGTGGGTTTATGAATTAATTCCTCGGTTGCATTACATGAAAAATCACACAATCTACAAATTTTAAAAAATAAGCCTTTACTTTTTATAAAAGATTACAGCCATTTCACAGGCTGGGAAGCACAGCCATTGGTGAAGACGAGAGACAGGCACTCCCAAGGAGGAGCGGTGGGGCAGAAACTTTATGCTGAACGTGTTGGCTAAACAGACATAATCAACGGATTACAGGAGGGGCTATGCGTGTTCATAAAGGTGGTCATGACACATGAATATGGGAGCAAACATACACGTCACATGTGACCCACTTAGCAGTGGGGACTTAGCATTTAAATGTGTTACAGTTAGGCCCTAAGTGCCAAAAGCTGGAGCAGGGGCACAAAGACCCTCAGAGCGCAGCCTCCATAAATGGCCAGAACCAGGCCTTGGTCAGTGGTCTCTGATCAGGAGAAAATTCCTGAAATCAATCTGGTGTCCCATCCAAGCTGGGGTTATGGCTGTGGAATGGGGGGTCAGTTAGTCAGAGGATGAGCTGCAGTTGGTTAAATCGTGCTTATCTCAGGATCAGTGCTTATTTTGCTGCTACAGAAGAAAATAACAGTTTATATTCTTTAAGAGTTGGGGTGAGGGATGTAACCCCTGCCTGGCATGGCCTTAGGTCTTGTTTATAACGGGGCATCTTATTGCCCCAGAGAATCTGTTCTGTCAGTCTTATGATCTCCATTTTAATGTTAGTGTTGGTCCATGTTGTCTCTGAACCACAAAAGGGAGTGGGTATAATGAGGTGTGTCTGATCTCTTGTTCTGCCCAGCTGGGAACTCAGTTTTTAGGTGTTTTTGGTGCCTCCTTGGCCAAGAGGGGGAACCACTCAATCTCATGGGGTGACTGCAATTTTACTTTTAGTTTAAAGTTTATAAATATGGACCTAAGTATTGACATTCTAAAAGTCACTCCTTTGTTTTGGCTAAAAGTACTTGGCAAGAGTCCTTGAAATGAGGTTCAAGAGCAGTATTTTCTCATGACTTTATTTGCAATAGACACATGAGAGACTGTTGAAAAGATGAAGTACCAAAGTAGCCTTAATCTGTTGGTGAATGGAGTTGGTATAATACAGAAATCACTTTCAATATTTTGTAACACATGCATGCGTGCAATAAGACAGCGGTGAGCACTGAGTGTAAAGTCTCTAAAGGTACGATCTTTCAGCCACCAAATAATAGTGTAATAACGGACATACTCTGGAGGAGCTGACTATAATACCGTAACACCACGGGGAGAAACTTTGGCCAAGGAAGTCCAAGATTTTCTTTTCCTTTTCCTTTTTTTTTTTTTTTTTGTTGTTGTTGTTTGAGACAGAGTCTCACTCTGTTGCCCAGGCTAGAGTGCGGTGGTGCGATCTCGACTCACTGTGACCTCTGTCTCCCTGATTCAAGCGATTCCTGTCTCGGCCTCCCAAAAGCTGATATTACAGGCATGTGCCACCACACCCAGCTAAGTTTTTCATATTTTTAGTAGAGACGGGGTTTTGCCATGCTGGCCAGGATGATCTCGCACTCCTGACCTCAAGTGGTCCTCCTGCCTTGGCCTCCCGAAGTGCTGGTATTACAGCGTGAGCCACCACACCCAGCCGAGATTTTCTTAAAGTTTTGAAGATTTTAATTTAAGGGTTACAATTTTTTCAACATTTCCAGAAAGCTGTAGACAGTATTATTCTGTGTTATATGAGTGATTGTAGTTCCTTCCATTTTTAGATAGTATTACAAACAATTTTAGGGCTGCTTGCTTTAAATAGATAGATGATAGATGGCTACATACATACATACATACATACGTACCTCGATAGAGATATAGTTGCAAACATAAATACATAGATAGATAGAGTTACAGATGTATTTTAGTTATTATGCTACTTTTTTCTTTGCCTTTTCTTCCTATGTTATGTTAGTCAGGTCTCCAGGACTTAGGAGTGCATTTACAATCCCTTCCCTTGTCCATTTTGACGTGTTCTAGACAATGCGAGAATCCTTTTGTGTGTGGATCACTTCCAAGTCATGTACTACCCTTGCAATAAATGTGTTTGTGTATGTCTTTGCCTTACTGACAAGCTCTGCTGAGTGCAGTTATTTCTGCCGTCTGAGCTAACTTTACACTTGGTAGAGAAATATATTCTAGATGGAGGCTTCCACTATTAATTTAAATTACTAATTCATAACCTCCAGCTTAATTATTGAGGTATAATCTATCAGAGATGGTATTAGAACAAAGGTTTCCAATGAAATCTAACATAAGGGATGTGAACAAATTTTCCTAATTTAGGTAAAATAACCCTGAGCCCATTCTTAGTATCCAGCCATGTCTCCTATCTATCACACTGAATCTCACACTAACTTTGACCTGACTTGGGACTTGTAAGCTTCAAATATGACCTTTTGATTGCAATGCCTCTAATTCAGGACGTGTGGTTATTTTAGCCAAGAGTAAAGAAAACCAAATTTAACTCACTAAAAATGACGAAGATTAAAACCTAATGAAATGGAAACTGGGATATGAGTGGCTCCAGACTTGGCTATTTTAAGAGTCTATGTGCCCAGGTGATTTCTTTTCTCCGTTTTACACACAGGCAAACCCAAAATGTCAGCTTCATCTCCCGTTGACTCTCATCATCTCGTTCTTCATCAGCTTGCTTAGAATGTTGACTTCCAGCTGCATCCATGTTGCCACAAAAGACATGATTTTATTCTTTTTCTGTGAATGCATAGTGTTCCATGGTATACATGTACCATATTTTCTTGATCAAATTCACCATGAAAGGACACATAGGTTGGATTTATGTCTTAGGTATTAAGAGTAGCATAGCAATGAACATGTAAGTGGGTGTATTTTTTGGTAGACTGATTTATTTTCTTTTGTGCATATACCCACATATGAGATGGCCGGGCCAAGTGGCAGCTCTGCTTCAAATACTTTTCAAATCTCCAGACTGCTTTCCACAGTGCTTGGACTAATTCACATTCCACCCAACACTGTACAAGTGTTTCCTGTTCTCTGCAGCCTCGCTCCAGACTGCTTTCCACAGTGCTTGGACTAATTCACATTCCACCCAACACTGTACAAGTGTTTCCTGTTCTTCGCACCCTCTCTCCAGACTGCTTTCCAAGATTCCTCTCCTCCACTTTGACACTTTGGTATATCCATGTGTGTCCTCTCTGGTTCAGCCAGGGACAGAGAACCAGGAAGACATCATGCATTTTCTAGAGGGAGCTGGCTTGGGGAATCAACGACCGGAGTAGAAAGTGCCTCTGTCCATGCATCACAGGCCTGAGGGCCCTGGGCAGGAGGTCAGGAAGAGAGGATGACCAGACAGCTGGGGAAACTGGGATGAACAAAGCCAGTTTCCTTCCTGGTGAGGAGGGACAGGTCGAAGCCTCGTGTCCCTGTAGGGATGAAGCACACTCACCTGCCCACTGCTACCTGCAAATCAGGTGACCTTCAGAGCAGCAGCTCCTGAGTCACTGATGGTGACTTCCTCCTCCTCCAAACCCTCTAGGATCTGTGCTTCTCAGAGTGGGAACCCCCGCAGGTCCCCAAGTTTTCAATGGATTCACCTAGCTAGTGTCTCTCCTCAGCCCCATCCCCAGGCTGCTGCCCTGGTGCTGTGTACACTGTCACAACAGGGGTGACAGTAACAGCTGGTGCCTGCACTTTCCAGGCCAAGAAGTTTGAAAGAAGCAAGTCACAGGGCCAGCCGGGATATGGGGTAATCACACAAATTTCCTTCTTGGGGGAAGTGCTGGGAAACATCCTTGAGTCCTCCTCAGCTCACATGCGGCTGCTGCTGTTCATCCCAGTGTGGGGACACATGAGCCCTCCCCATGCCCAGGATGGAGCTGTTTCAATCACAGCAGGATGGGAATGTGTCTTCTCTATGGGGGCTTTCGGAGCACAGCTCTCCTGTTCCTGAGATTTGAGATTTATAAAGACAAGTCCCACAGAGTGGACTTGCACAAATAAGACAGTACAGGATCCCCAGGAGAGACATCCCATATGAGAAGGGACAGGCAGGTCCCATCACTGACGCTGGTCCTCAGAAACCCTGACCAGCTACTGACCTTCCCAGGTCCCCTGTTCCTGATCAGTGCCTGTGTCTGCTCCTGAGAAGATCCCCATCAACAGTCCCCAGGGTTCTGCCCCCTTCCTTGATGTGCCTCTGGGAGTGGGGCTGGCTGGGCTGTGGGTCTGCTGTGACTTTCCCCACAGGTCAGCGGCTCAGTGCAGGCTGCACCGACTCGGTGGGGCTGGGCTGTGTCTGACTCTCCCGGGGGAGCCTGAATGCTTCTCAGAGGCATTTGCAGGATCCCAGGTCCTGGGAGAACAGGGAAGCAACAGTGTGTGCAGGGCCCCGTCTCCAGGTGTAAGGTGTTTGCTGTTGCTCTACTTGACAAGGGCATATCCCCAGGCCTAGGGGCACTGTGGGTGCACAACCAATGTGCTAGACACAGGGAGTAAGGCACAGTTCCCTCCCATTACTGTGGGGAATCTAGGCACTGTGTGTGTGTGTGTGTATGTGTGTATGTAGATTAGGAGTTGTGGAGTGGGCAGGTTTAGAAATTATCTGATGAGATGTTCATCCAAAGGAACTGACAAGAGATTAGGTGTTTTCCCAAAGTCCCTGGGAGTTCCTGGACTCACTATGAGTGTGGACTGATCCAGTGCTTCCGGAGCTCCAGGGAAGGGGCTCCCTGGTGGTTTCATAGAATCCTTGCTTGGGGTGTTTCTGCAGAGTTCACTGGCTTTCCTACGGCCAATTTACTATTGTAAGAGATGGTGTCAGCAGTACATGGTGTCACGTGTCACTAAAGGAGCATTCCGAGCCAGGACACAGCCACTTCATACTTGGGGGAAAATGCTCTGGGAGCCCAGACAGGAGCCTCTCTGCAGTGCAAGGGCTGGGCTGCAGGGGACGCTCAAAGCCCACCCAGTACAAGTTTCAGCCCCAGAGCAGGTGCACAGGAGGCTGGGGAGGGATTCCTCTCGAGATCTGTGTCATTCTTTAAAAAATCTAAAATACATATTTGACAACTGAACATTCTATAAATATCCTATTCAATTGCGAGCATTTATCAAACTTGATGTTGTAATGAGAACCACTTTTACACTGGAGATTTCTAACCCTTCTAGATATCTTAATAGTATGCAGCTGGAGGTTAAGGAAACTACTTTTCTTTTCTATAAATAAGTGAAACTTTTGGAGAAACACACTCATCCCCCAAATAATACATTCATGTATTAAAGCCTAGAAATGCTTATATTACCTCTGAGCCATTTGAGTGTGGGTTCCCAGTGAAGTCCTGTTCTAGGGAAAATTGTTAGCCAATGGGAGAAGCTCTGTCAACATAGAGCTTAGGGATATGGCAGGGCTCACATGGCCTCTAAGGGGATTACAGCTTGAACCTTGAGCATCCTCCGTGTGTCATCTCTCTGCTCTTTCTCATGCAATATCAGGTATGAAATAGGATCACTCATGAATATGCAAATAACTGAGGTAAATATAGCTATCTTTGGGCCCTGAGAGCATCACCCAACAACCACACCCCTCCTAAGAAGAAGCCCCTAGACCACAGCTCCACACCATGGACTGGACCTGGAGGATCCTCTTCTTGGTGGCAGCAGCAACAGGTAAGGGGCTCCCCAGTCACTGGGCTGAGGGAGAAACCAGCACAGTCAAGTGAGACTTCATGCACTCCCATCTCCTCTCCACAGGTGCCCACTCCCAGGTGCAGCTGGTGCAATCTGGGTCTGAGTTGAAGAAGCCTGGGGCCTCAGTGAAGGTTTCCTGCAAGGCTTCTGGATACACCTTCACTAGCTATGCTATGAATTGGGTGCGACAGGCCCCTGGACAAGGGCTTGAGTGGATGGGATGGATCAACACCAACACTGGGAACCCAACGTATGCCCAGGGCTTCACAGGACGGTTTGTCTTCTCCTTGGACACCTCTGTCAGCACGGCATATCTGCAGATCTGCAGCCTAAAGGCTGAGGACACTGCCGTGTATTACTGTGCGAGAGACACAGTGTGGAAACCCACATCCTGAGAGTGTCAAAAACCCTGTGGGAGGAGGCAGCTGTGCTGAGCTGAGGCAGTGACAGGGACAACGTGGCTGCACCCTTTGTAGGGTTATAAACATACATATATATGCACCCAACAGTGGAGTACCCAGATATATCAAGCAAACATTATTAGAGCTAAACAGAGAGATAGACCCAATACAGTAAAAGCTGGAGACTTTAACACCCCACCCTCAGCATTGGACAGATCTTCCAGACAGAAAATTAACAATGAAATCTTAGACTAAATGTACATGACAGACCAAATGGACATAATGGATATTGACAGAACACTTCATCCAATGGCTGTAGAGTGCACAGTCTTTTCCTAAACATATGGATCAGTCTCAAGGATAGACCATATAGTAGACCAGAAAATTAGTCATTTTTTAATTGAGAAGATATCAAGTACCTTCTCTGATCATAATGGAAGAAAACTAAATTAATAAGAGGAATCTTGGAAAACTATGCAAACACATGGAAATTAAACAATATGCTCCCTAATTAAACAATGTGCTCCCAAATTGAACCACATGCTCCAAAATGGGTTAATAAAGACATAAAAAATTTTAAAATTTATTGAAAGAAATGATAAAGAAGACAAAGCATATGAAAACCTATGAAATACAGTGAAAGCAGTATTAAGAGGAAAGTTTATAGCTATAAGCACTTACTTTAAAAAAGTAGACAACCATAAAATAAACATCCTAGGAATGTCTTTTAAAAAATAGAAAAGCAAGAGCAAATCAAACCCAAACACAGTAAAAAAAAAAAAAGGAAAGATCAAAACGTTAATACATAAAATTGAAATAAAGAAAACAATACAAAAGATGGATCAAATGAAAAGCTGTTTTTTAAAAAGATAAAAGACATCTACAAACCTTTAACCAGACTAAGAAAAAAAGAAAGAAGACCAAAGTAAATGAAATCAGAGAGAAAAATGGAAATATTACAACCAATGGTGCAGAAAATCAAAGAATCATTAGAGGCTAGCAGGAACAACTAAATGCCAATAAATTGAAATATCTGGAAGAAATGGATAGATTTAGAGACACATACAACTTTGATTGAACGAGGAAGAAATTGAAAACCTGAACAGATCAGTAACAAGTAGTGAGAATGAAGCCGTAATAAAAGGTCTCCCAGCAAATAAAATCTCGGGACTTGATGACTTCATTGCTCAATTATGACAAATATTTAAAGAAGAGATAATACCTAACCCCACTCAAAATATTCCAAAAACAGATAAAGAGGGGAGGAATTCTTCCAAATCTCCTGTACGAGGCCAGCATTACCCTTATACAAAAACCAGACAAAGACACACCTAAAAAAAAAGAAAACTATAGGTCAATATCACTGATGAATATGGACGCAAAACTCCTCAAGGAAATCTTAGCAAACCAAATTCAATAACATAACAAAAGAACCATTCATCATGACCAAGTGCAGTTTATCCCAGGGATGCAAGGATGGTTCAACCTATGCAAATCAATCAATGTGACACATCATGTCAACAGAATGAAGGGCAGAAGACATAAGATCAGGCCTTACCTTGTTCTCCTCACTCAAAGTCTACCATCAGTGCTTTAGTCCTCTTGGTCAGTCCTGCTGTACTTGGTCTCCCATGATTCTGTTCCCAGGTCCTGAAACACTGGGCTCCTGCACACCTGGAGTCTCTCTCCTCTTTGAACATGGAGATCCTGTATGCTCAGAGAGGGGTGATGACTCATGTGGCTCCCATGCCCCATGCAAACAATTCTTCCAAAACAGTTGTGACTTTTCCTGTTGGAAATTGAAAGGGGATGTGGGAATCTATGTGTGTGTGTGTGTGTGTGTGTGTGTGTGTGTGTGTGTGTGTTTCCTCAGGCCTGTTGAGAATGCAGCAGGGCTCTATGTATAACAGGAAAGCAATGTTTCTCCATACCATCTATTTTCTTATAAAGTGTTCATAGGTAATCAAAAGGAAATTAATCACAGTTTATAAGATGTTGTGGACTGGAGTGATGTTGTCACTCAAGGCTACTATGGGGGCTCCAGGAAAAGAAATCTAGAAAAGGATAAGACTGTGAGCAAAGAAGCAAAACCTGGGGAGCAACAGGGAGGGATGAGCAGGGGTGACTCAACCGGGAAGGGATTAAACCACATACCACAGAGAGTGAAAACGCTGTGCTCAGCAAAGAGGAGAACTTACTCAGCATTTCCCCCAATCCTCCCTCCAGAAGCGTGACTGCCAGGAAAGTTCACAATGTATCATCTCCAGCTGGGAACCCGAAAGAAGCAGGAGGACTGTAGACCACAGGTCCTGGGCACCATGTGTTTCCCCAGTTCCTACTCCTATTCTTCCCTCTCTGTCCAGCAAACCTGCTTGTTTCTGTCACCTGCCTTCCTGCCCTTGGGGTGAGAATGGATGCCTTGAACACTCAGCAGAGGGATGCTCTTTCAGAGGAGGAATGACTTCGTGTCATCTGACGCCTGAGCAGGAAAATCACCCCTGAGAAGAGGCTCCGAGACAGAGGGTCGCCATGGTTCCTGCCCCTTACATGTGCGGGGCTCCTGGCACATGCACACTTCTCCTCAAACTCTGTTTAGGAGAACAATGCTGGGTGTTGTCAGCCTCTCTCCTCCCTAGATACTGCTCTGTCATCAGCCTGAGCACAATTTCCCCATGAAAGGCGTTAATCTTTCTCTCAATTAGATCAACTTTTTACATGTCTTTGATGGATGACAGCTTTTCAGTGTGAAATTCTAGAAATAAGAAATGGGGTGATGGGGACAGTGAGCTCTGTGTGTGACTCACCAGGATGTTCCCTCTTATTCCAGGTGTACTGTCCCAGGTGCAGCTGCAGGAGTCAGGTCCAGGACCCATGAGGCCCTCAGACACTGCCCTCCACCTGTGCTGTGTCTGGATTCTTTTTTTTTACCGGTGGATATTATTTGAGCTGAATCCACCATCCCCTGGGCAACAGATTAGAATGGCTGGGGCACAGCTACCAGGAATACACATCATGATCACCAAGATCACCAAGATCATCATCAAGATCACCAAGGAATACACATCATGCACCCTCTACCCAGGTCTGCATCTCCATCAACAATGACTCAACCAAGAGCCAGTTCTCTGTGAGGCTCAGCTCCATGGCTGCCTAGGACATGGCTGAGTATTACTGTGAAAGACTCAGTGAGGAGGTGTCCTTGTGAGCCCTGACACAAAACTTGCTCTCAGGGCACTGAGGACCGCCAGCAAGACTCAGGACCGTGAGGGGGACTCAAGACCACCAGGGGAAGAGCAGGTTGCAGGAAGCACAGGGCCAGCCCCAGAGCAGGTGTGGGTGGAGATGAGAGGCTGGTTTACTGCCAGGGTGTGGGGCTGCCTCTACATCTACATGTTTCCTCCAGGGACCCTCCCTTATTTCATGATGCTGTGCCTAGCTCTACGTCTCTGAAATACCACAGTTTTGTTGTACCAGGAGGAAACCTTCTCACAGGCACTAAATGCGGAACAATCCCTCTGCCAGTGGTCACCAGGGTCACAGCCCTGTGGAAGCTGAGGGGAACCCAGTGAGTCTTCTCCAGTCACACTCAGGACAGGGACCTTAGTGGGGTTCCCTGAAGAAAGCAGTATTTAGGAATTCTAACCTCAGCCAAGAGAGAGGCTGGGCCAGGGTCAGTGTCAGGTAGAACCTCACAGGATTTACGTCTGACCCTTCTCCTGACACTAAAGTATGCAAATCTGTATCAGCACTGATCTGGGGCCCCTTTTGCTCGTAGCCCATTCTATTTCTTGTTAGTTGTGTTTGTTGTTGATTTTCCTTTCGCTGTTCCTGATCCCTGTAAAGTGGAGATGTGGTTCTTGCTGTAAAAATTCCAGGGCTCAAGCCCTTTCCCTGCAGCTCAGGTGGGGCTCAGACTGTGGCTCCTGCAGCCACGTGGGAGAGGCTGACGGGACTATCTTCTCTCCCGTTGCTCAGAACCCTCCAGTGTGTTGTGTGGAGACTCACCTGGGAATGCAAGTGACCAATAGTTGTGAAGGGGATGAGCTTGTGTGGTCAAAATGGGATGTGGATGTGGAATTTATCCTGTGTTGTGCAAACTAACACAGGTTCACCTTCCTCACCTGTAGTGTTAGAAAGAGAGTGGGAAAGTTGTCAGAATCAAAATGGAGCCACTTGTGTTAACACCCTGACAAATGAAACTAGGAATGACCATGAAGGAGGGTTCTTAAGCCCATATTCTTGATAACAAGAACTATCATAAATAGACTCTGCTTAACCACAATCTTGGGAAGAAGACACCACAATCTTATAAAGAATTACTTTTGCAAGGACATCATCCCAGACACTGCCAGTTCAACCTTACACTGATGCCACCCTTGATATTGATTCTACAACTACAGGATCGTTCTCTCAAAACAACTTTTGTAACCCATCCCATTTTCACTTCATAAACCTATGAACTGATATCCTGGATTACTGCTGCGTTTGTTGATAACGTTAAATAATAAGGCCTTTTGACAATGTTTGAAGCTGCTTTTCTCTGATGTCTCTTCTAAAATAAAGAATTTCCAAGTTAATGACAATAAAAAGATAATTAGGAAGATTTGGTGGGAAGGCATCTTTAACATCCTGTTGAATGCTTCTGCATAGCACATGAGTCCCCTAAAATACTTTGCTGTATCTGCATTTAATGAATCAGAGTCTAATATTGAAGATGTAATTGAAAATACATGGGCTTTTGATGAATCAAGTCATACGGTGATAATGTTTGTGTCCTTGAGAAAGCAGACCCTGTGTTGTAAGTTTTAGCAGATTTACCTTCGGCAAAAAAGCTCATGTGTTTCTGAATGTTATGCGACTTTTAACTTAACGATGCAACATATGATTCAGTTTTATTTAGAACTTTCCAGAAGATTTTTGGCAGTAAGGACAGTGCAGCATTTGAGTAACACTAAGGAGCTAAAAAGAGTTATTTTGTAATTGCTCCTGTGAGGTATGCACATCGCTCACTCAGTATTGAAATTCAAATGCCACAGATGGGAAAATCAGAATAAGGAAAATTTTATGAACTGGCATGGCTGTAGTTTTTGTCAAGCAAGTAATTCATGTCTGCAAGAAAATACATACAACAATAAAACACATTCAAGTCCAGGGGGAGGCTGACCTCTGCCCTCTATATTACAAGTACAAGGTGGTATCACATCCAAATTATTTTTCAGACTCCAGGGTATAAAGCGCTTTTGGACGGTGAAGCTAACAGCTCTCCCCTCAGGTGTGGCTGAGGTATGTGGAGAATGCAGAGTTGTGTTCATGAAGAAGATTACATTATTGTGTCTGGAGACAGCTCCCCAGGGTGTGTCTCAGATGTCAGACATGCGTCTATAAGTCAAGCAAAGAGAACACATTGAGTCCAAAAATCAGCATATTCTTACAGGCACCCATTGCTCCATCACATGGGTGAGAAATTTTTGAGACAAGTGAAGTGTGAGTTCACAGTAAGTGATGCAGTTATCATATTTCCATGAACTTTCATTAACAAGGCAAGGACTTCTCTAGATCACTCATACACAAATATACAAAATGTATTTTTGCATTTGCGAGTGTCTAGAGAAAAAAGAATCTGTTGAGAAAACTTCTTCAGGTTACAGAGATCTGTTTAAGTTGGAGATCTCACAGGAGTGTGTCTTTGAGTGAATACTGGCCTATTAATTAAATAGGTCAAAATTCCCTCTGTTGGAGTAGCCTTCCGATTATGTAGATTTCTTTATTGCTTCCTGAGTTGTGAAACATAAACCCAAGCATTGACTTACTGGAATTTGACTGCTGTGTTGATAAAATTTCTGATATGGTTTCTTCCAATGATTTAAGAATAGCTTTCCCCTTTCTTTACTCCAGGAAATGAATTTTCACAAGGTCTCAGGACACCATATTTCAGGTGCTTTAGTTAAAGAGACTGACTTCTTGGGGGCAGGCCTCTTTCTTCTAACAATGAGCTCACTTCTTCTGCAAAGCATTCAGTCTGTGGCTCTATTGCCATGAATCATGAAGATTTTACACTCCAATGCACTAAAAATAATGCCTCTTCAATTAAATTTCCATTGGCATTGACATGAATTGGCCACTCTTGGATGTGTGTCCTATGTTATGAGCCCAACATGTCAGCGGACTGAGAATCCTCTGTTAGCTACTTCTGTGTGTAGCACTGAGCAGACTAACAATCCTCAGAGTCATCCATGAAGGGAGTCCTGAGGTTCCTGGGGTTCTTGGAGACATTCAGGTGAGTTGAGAGGAGAAACAGGATTGTGGGCTGCCAGCCATTTCAACAACAATGGGAGTCATTACCATCTAAGTGTAAAGTCTACATCATTCAAAATATCCTCCATGACAGGCTGATAAGAAGAAATCCAACCACACAATGGCTCCATGGCAGCTCTTTAGTATATTTGGGAGTGAGGCTTTTTTAGGGAAGAAATGTCCACTCCAGTGTGTCCCTGATGCTGCTCTCAGCTAATGTAAACAGTGAACTGGAACCAAGATTCTCTGAGATCAATGTGAGGATTAATGCTGCTCCAATGTGTTTAAACAAGCATGTGGCAATTTAGACGAGCCTGGCTGTGTGGTTTGTTATATGTAAATCTGAACTAAATAAACAGAAAGGGCATGTCTGAACTAGTGTGAGGGTGAGAGAGCTCATAGACCCCAAACTCGTTTTTATTTCCTCCTGGAACCTCCAGGTCCTTTGGTACCTCCAGGTACTTTGTCCATGCATCACAGGCCTGAGGGCCCTGGGCAGGAGGTCAGGAAGAGAGGATGACCAGACAGCTGGGGAAACCGGGATGAACAAAGCCAGTTTCCTTCCTGGTGAGGAGGGGCAGGTCGAAGCCTCGTGTCCCTGTAGGGATGAAGCACACTCACCTGCCCACTGCTACCTGCCAATCAGGTGACCTGCAGAGCAGCAGCTCCTGAGTCACTGATGGTGACTTCCTCCTCCTCCAAACCCTCTAGGATCTGTGCTTCTCAGAGTAGGAACCCCAGCAGGTCCCCAAGTTTTCAATGGATTCACCTAGCTAGTGTCTCTCCTCAGCCCCATCCCCAGGCTCCTGCCCTGGTGCTGTGTACAGTGTCACAACAGGAGTGACAGTAACAGCTGGTGCCTGCACTTTCCAGGCCAAGAAGTTTGAAAGAAGCAAGTCACAGGGCCAGCCGGGATATGGGGTAATCACACAAATTTCCTTCTTGGGGGAAGTGCTGGGAAACATCCTTGAGTCCTCCTCAGCTCACATGCGGCTGCTGCTGTTCATCCCAGTGTGGGGGACACATGAGCCCTCCCCATGCCCAGGATGGAGCTGTTTCAATCACAGCAGGATGGGAATGTGTCTTCTCTATGGGGGCTTTTGGAGCACAGCTCTCCTGTTCCTGAGATTTGAGATTTATAAAGACAAGTCCCACAGAGTGGACCTGCACAAATAAGACAGTACAGGATCCTCAGGAGAGACATCCCATAAGAGAAGGGACAGGCAGGTCCCATCACAGACGCTCATCCTCAGAAACCCTGACCAGCTACTCACCTTCACAGGTCCCCAGTTCCTGATCAGTGCCTGTGTCTGCTCCTGAGAAGAGATGAAAATTCAAGACAAATACTTCTCATGATCATAGGCTTAAAAATTCTCAACGTAGGAAATCAAATCCAGTAGTTTATCAAAAAGTTAACACACTGCAATCAAGTAGGCTTCATTCTGCAAATGCAAGGCTGCTTTAACTGCTTTCCACAGTGCTTGGACTAATTCACATTCCATCCAGCACTGTACAAGTGCTTTAACCTGTGCAAAGCAATAAATGTGATGCTCTACTAAACAGAATCAAAAGCAAAAACCATGTGAGTATTCCAGCAGATGCAGGAAAAAAGCTTTCAATAGAATCTAACAACGCTTCATGATAAAAATCCTCAAAATTATAGACATTGAAGGAGCACACCTCAATCTGATGAGCCGTCTATGACAAACCCATGGCCAACATCATACTGAATGGGCAAACACTGGAAGCATTTTCCTTAAGAACAGAAACAAGACAAGGATGCCCGCTCTCACCACTTCTATTCAGCCTAGTACTGGAAGTATTCACCAGATCAGGCAAGAGAAAGAAATAAAAGGCATCCAAATAAAAGAAAAAGAAGAATGCAAACCCTCTGTTTTCACTGATAATATGATTCTATATGTAGAAAATATTGAAGGCTCTGCCAAAAGTCTCCTAGTATTGATACATTCGTTTAGGAATGTTTCAGGATATAAAATCAATGTACGAAAATCACAGTAACCTTTCTAGTCACCAACAACGTTCTGGCTGAGAGTGGAATCAAGAACATGCTCTCCCAATAGCCATCAAGACAGTGGAATACCTAGGAATAGAGTTAAGCCAATGAGATGAAATATCTCTACTAGAAAAACAGCAAAACACATGTGAAAAAAATCAGAGATAAAACAAATAAATGGAAAAATAAACATTCCATGCTTATGAATTTAAACAATAAATAATATATGAAAAAGTTTTAAAATTTGTGATTAATTCTACGTAGCAATGCCATTTTTTTCAACATTTACAGAATATTGTTGCTGGTAATAGCAGTTTAGCATTTGAGTAATGGAAACACCTTACAGAATCACTTTATAACAGTTGCTTCCTGTAGTGGGTGTGCTTCAGTTACCTGATGAAAACATCGGCATGTCACAGGTCGAAAACATAAAATATGTCTATCAACTGAGAAGGTTGTAGGCTTTTGTCAAGTAATTACTTCAAGTCATTCAGAAAAACAGCAGACAGTAAACGAAACTTGTTCAAATTCCATGGAGAGTCAAAGCTGAAGAAAATCCAACTAAAAGTGTCCAAAGGCCCCCAAGGCTCAGTTCCTCGGCAAGTCCCACCTTCACAGGTTTTCCAGAATTTTGTTTTTAACTGATTTACACTGAGTGAAGTAGATTACCAGGAGTTTTCCATTATTTTAACATAAAATCGGGGGCTAAGTGTTGTTATTTTATAAAGACATCTTTGAATCTCTCAGGAAATTTACCTCCTGAGGGTTCAGATAAGATCCTACTCTAGGTTAAGATTACATGTTTGGCGCAATGAACTGGTACAAATCTTACTTTAGCTTTCATGTTATCTATTTTTCCGCACTGACTTCCACCTTTTTATTAGTCAAGTATATGGGATGGAAGAGTGCTTCTAAGAGGTCCTTAACTTGCCCATTTCAATGGATTTTCAAGAAGACATGAGAAACCACTTCGTTTGCAAAGCATCCCAAAGCCATGTCCTGCTCCAGAAACGTGATCTCATTTCCTGGTCGTTTCTTAACTGACACGCTCTAATCAGTGCATCTGGGCCAATTTGAAATGAGGTGAAGAAATGTGTCCTAAAGTAAAGCTAACATTGTAATAGGAATTCGTGTTTAAAAACATTTAGTTTTATTATTGGGCAGGATCCATCAACATATAACAGTTGAAGTTTCTCAACAGGAGTTTAATAAATATAAGGAATGTACAGAAGTGTTTCCTAATTTAGATAAAATGTAGTGATTACCTAGGCTGTGAGTGAAATCTTGGTAATCTGCTATGTCCATGCCCATCACTCTGTGCACCTCAAACTAATTTTGACCTCAGCAGAAACGAGGTTAATTTTCAAATTAGTAATTTTTTTCCAATTTAATTTATTTAGATGATTATGAATGACTATTTTAGCAGAAAGAGAATCAAGGAAACTTGAACTAAATAACCAGAATTTAAAATGACAAACAATTCAACAAGATGCCAGGATGTGAGTGGCTCCAGGCCCAATTAGTTCAAAACTTTGTGTGCCCAGGTTCTGTATTTTCCTAAAATTGCACATCTCCAGTCCAGCTTCATGCCACAGTCGACTCCCACCGTGTAAGACATGGCGACAGCATTCCCAAAGGTCGTGTGCAATTCTGAAAATGGAATAAGCAAGGTGAGGAGATGATAGTTTATATTCTCCTCTGAGGAGGAAGAATTGCCTCAACAGACCACTTCTCCTGCATCTGTGACTAGAACTATGTCACAGGCACACATGGAGCAAAATCCCTCAAGGGGATAATACGGTAACATTAATCAGGGTGATCATTTTTTTTTTTTTTTTTTTTTTTTTGAGACGGAGTCTCGCTCTGTCGTCCAGGCTGGAGTGCAGTGGCGGGATCTCGGCTCACTGCAAGCTCCGCCTCCCGGGTTCACGCCATTCTCCTGCCTCAGCCTCCCAAGTAGCTGGGACTACAGGCTCCCGCCACTACGCCCGGCTAATTTTTTGTATTTTTAGTAGAGACGGGGTTTCGCCGTTTTAGCCGGGATGGTCTCGATCTCCTGACCTCGTGATCCGCCCGCCTCGGCCTCCCAAAGTGCTGGGATTACAGGCGTGAGCCACCGCGCCCGGCCGATCATTTTTAATACTATAAAATTCATAGATGACACTGCATTCCAGCCTGAGAGACAGAGCAAGACCCTGTCTCTAAGAAAAATAGAACAAATCAATAGATACTGATACCAACATTTTAGATAATGAAATTTTCATAACCTAATTTTAAATACGCTCACATCATTACATAAATCTTCCCGGAAATATTCCTAGTCATGTTGAGTTTCATCAACTTTTCCAGTGTTCAAATCTAGAAATCCAATAGACTCTTGAGGATAAATCAAAATGAGGGCAGTGAAACTGGTATCTGTTCAGCACCTGTTAACTCAGGAGGACTCAATACACCCTGGCACACTGCTGCTTCTCCGAATGGCTCACAAGGATTCCAGCTCTCTCTCCATCCTCCTCAAACATCTGACCGCACTTGCCCTAAGTTCACTCTCTGCTCTTAGTCTGTGCTCTGAAGTCTTCCCAGAGGTGAAAGTGAGCTGTCAGATGGAACTTCCCTCTCACCTCAGCGTGGAATTTACTACTACATTTAACTATCACTCTTTCCATAATGGTTGATTTCTTGGTCTGTTCATTACAGACCAAAGGCATCTGATTTGAATCTTTATTTCTTTGCATTTGTCTCCATGACAATTTTGGGAGGTTTTACCACCAGCACTATGACACGATGTAGTAACATGACACATTTGTGGTTAACAACACCTACAAATTCAGAAGCTCTTCGGTTCTCTTCCCAGCAAATATAGCTGCTTCCTTTCTGTGTATGAACACATCCTGGAAACCCGTACACACCCACATAGATATATACATGGCTATGACATTTTCTTCTCTGTAAGTGAAAATTAACCTCAATTTCATACGAAGTTCATCATTTCCCTGAAGGTGAAGGTAGGTCGTTTTTCATCTATTCTAACAAAAGTCTCAGACACCAGCTGGTAAGTGAGGAGCTACCCTGCTTCTGGATGTTGGATCTGTCTCTTCCCCTTTGCTTTACCACAGAAGATTGGCCACTTGTCCAGGTCCCAAGAAGAGAGTCCAGGTTTGTCCTGATAATATGACTCATCCAACTTCTGATAACTCTACTGTTACACACATTCATGGAGGTAGCCTATTAATTACATAATTCACTAAACAAATACCAAATACCCACATTGCAATACCCCATACCCAAGGGTATGTTCATGCATTCAATGAAGGAAAAGGCTTTTCAGAGACAGATAGATCAGGCTAGATTGGTCAATATATGGGTGAAAACACTGGACTTGAATGTATCTGTTTTCCCCCATGTCACATGTGAGACCTGTCAGACAGGACCAGGGTTCCTTGTGCACTCAGAGGTGAGGGCTCACAGAATTCCTCTCTGGTTTCCAGGAAAGGTAACTGCAGTAATCTTGGTAATGAGAATATCCTCCAGTGCTGACCTATTATAGAGTTTACATATGAAATTTTCACTGCAATTCACAATCTACTCTTTCACACAGAAGTGTACAGAGGTCAGGACACATCCTCAGGGTCACACATTGAGAATGATGAAGATATGTCCCACGAGTTTTTCCTAAGGTCTCAGAAAGAATTCCAGGACTCAAAAGGTCTCAGAGGGCAGCTCCCAGTGCCTTAGTTAAAATGGTGGCTCAGGCCTGTAATCCCAGCATTTTGGGAGGCTAAGGCAAGTGGATCACCTGAGGTCGGGACATTGAGACTAGCTTGGCCAACATGGTGAAACCTTATCTCTACTAAAAATATAAAAATTAGACGGGGGTGGTTGTGCGTGCCTGTACTCCCAGCTACTCGGGAGGCTGAGGCAGGAGAATCACTTGAACCCAGGAGGCGGAGGTTGCGGTGAGCCGAGATCGGGACACTGCACTCTAGCCTGGGCAAAGGAGCAAAAGTTCATCTAAAAAATTTATTTTAATTTAAAAATTTTAAAAAAATGGCCCACTCCCTAGAACAGAGAGATTCCCTCTAAACATGATGGAGGTCCCGAACTATACATTAAGTGAATCCTGGTGTGTCTGAACTCACATGATTATTACGTTAAGCTGCTGTTCCAATCTACTTCCTCACCTGGGAAAAGAGGAGCCAGGGCATGGCTAGTTGAGGCCCCAGGAAGAGAACTGAGTTCTCAAAGGGCAAAGCAAGCATCCTCATCCCAGGGCGAGCCTAAAAGACTGGGGCCTCCCTCATCCCTTTTCACCTCTTTATACAAAGGCACCACCTACATGCAAATCCTCACTTAGGCACCCACAGGAAACCACCACACATTTCCTTAAATTCAGGGTCCAGCTCACATGGGAAATACTTTCTGAGAGTCATGGACCTCCTGCACAAGAACATGAAACACCTGTGGTTCTTCCTCCTCCTGGTGGCAGCTCCCAGATGTGAGTGTCTCAAGGCTGCAGACATGGGGGTATGGGAGGTGCCTCTGATCCCAGGGCTCACTGTGGGTCTCTCTGTTCACAGGGGTCCTGTCTCAGGTGCAGCTGCAGGAGTCGGGCCCAGGACTGGTGAAGCCTTCGGGGACCCTGTCCCTCACCTGCGCTGTCTCTGGTGGCTCCATCAGCAGTAGTAACTGGTGGAGTTGGGTCCGCCAGCCCCCAGGGAAGGGGCTGGAGTGGATTGGGGAAATCTATCATAGTGGGAGCACCAACTACAACCCGTCCCTCAAGAGTCGAGTCACCATATCAGTAGACAAGTCCAAGAACCAGTTCTCCCTGAAGCTGAGCTCTGTGACCGCCGCGGACACGGCCGTGTATTACTGTGCGAGAGACACAGTGAGGGGAGGTGAGTGTGAGCCCAGACACAAACCTCCCTGCAGGGAGGCGGAGGGGACCGGCGCAGGTGCTGCTCAGAGCCAGCAGGGGGCGCGCGGGGCCCACAGAGCAAGAGGCCGGGTCTGGAGCAGGTGCAGGGAGGGCGGGGCTTCCTCATCAGCTCAGTGCTCTCCCTCCTCGCCAGGACCTCAGCTGTCCCCAGGCCTCCTCTTTCTTTATTATCTGTGGTTCTGCTTCCTCACATCCTCGCTGCAGGCAAGAAAGAAGGGAGAAATTTCTCTGTTTACCATTAAGGTTTTAACAGTCACTGGCACCTTTTTTTCAACAAATTCCCACAAGGCCCATTTTACCTTCTTGAAAAAATATTTCAAGGCTTCCCACCATCTCTTGATTGGCGTCATCGGCTGCATCGTGTCCTGCTCTTAAATTCATGTGATGAAACCCCAATCCCAGTGGCTCTGTATTTGGAGAGAGGGATTTTAAGAAGGCAAATAAGTTAACTGTGGTCATAAATGTGGGACCCTAATCCAGTAGGACTCTTGTCCTTATGGGAAGTGGAAGACATCAGAGGCCTCTCTCTCCACATGCACACAGAGGAGAGGCCATGTGGGGACGCGCTGCATGAGAAGGTGGCCCTTTGCAAGCCTGGAAGAGGGCTCTCAAAAAACTAACCCTTTCTGCACCCAGATCTTGGACGTCAAGACTCCAGAACAATAAGAAAATTAATATTTGTTATTTGAAACTACCTAGTCTGTGGTATCTTCTGATGGAAAGCCAAGCAGATTCACAGATACAATTGTGTTAGCTCCGTCTCCTGGAGGGAGAAGCAGCCCACCGAGGCTGACACATCTCTCAGATTATTTTTATAAAGAAAAATAGATCCAAGATGAAAACCCCACCACATTTCTGCTGAGTCATTCACTTAGCAGGCTTCTCTGAGATCAGCCCTGGGGGGCTGTGTTCTAGGTCATGTCTCTCACTTTCCACTATGAGAATCCATGTAGATCATGAGAACCAGCCAGATGGAGTCCTGATCCCGGCCCACCTTCTGCTGCTCCCCAAGTATCCCAAAGAAAACCACTCCAGCGTCACCCCTGTGTCTTCTACTCTCTAAAATCCCACTAAAGCTGACCTTAAACCAGGAGATATTTGGGGCCGGGCTCTTGTTCTCTTCTTCTTAGTCTTCCATAAGGTCCAGGTGCCGAGTAAAGCCTCAGTAAAGATTGAGCTTCAGTTCCCCTAACCCACATCATTCCCTTACATCCTTGTCATGCATCTGTCCTCTGTGGGCACTCAGGGCAGGTTACACAGGAATTGCCTGAAGCTGGCCTCAACTGATGTGCTGAGACCACGGGTCATGCACATGTATGATTCCAGGTCATGCAGGCTCTACTGCAGGACAGACCTGTGTCCTGTGGGGCACAGACACCTGCTGACCCCGGGTCTCCTCTAATAACTCACACACCTGGTGTTTGTGTGTGTCCAGATGGCCCCATGAGCACAGCACACTAGGGTGGCCAACCTCACAGGTGGGGCCGTCAGATGGAATGGACAGGCTGGTCACCCCCATCATCAGTGATTTCCCAGTGAATTTTAAATAAATTAAACAAAATTAACAACAAAGGGGAAGGATGTGTACCTGTCTCTGGGAGGTATACAGGGTCCCAGAACTGTGCTGGGAGTGGGTGTGAAATGCCCTTTTGTGTAGAAAGCCCTCCAGCATGAGTGAAAGCTGAAGGAATGATCACTGTGCAGGTGGAGGATGATAGGCAGCTGGCAGGGTACATTTCCTGAAGCTGTTCCTGGGTGCATGATGGTTGGATGGCCCATGGTGATGAGGGCTGGACTCACATAGGAACAAGGAAATTATCCCATGGGAATGGCAGAAAAGAAAACGGAGATGGACACCCCTGGAGACAGCTTATTAGATTTGGTGGAGGAAAAATAGAAATTTATTCCAATGACCCCAGCATTTTCAGCTAAATATGAGTTGCATTAATAGACAGAATTATGAAAGGAAGGGAGAAGGAGTTTATGGAGGGAAAAAAACAGAAGATAAATTAAAATTAAAAACTATGCAAATCTATCAATTGGCAGATAACAGAGTGGAGCTGATGCAGCTACTTCCTTGTTCTGGAAACCTGCCAGAGACACTTAGCATTCCTGTAAGGCCGGTCTAGTGGTGATGAACTTGTCCACTTTTTACTTTTTTGGGAAACTTCTCAAACCTCCTGCATTATTGAAGAAAAGCTTTAATCCATGTAACATATTTATTTGGAAGTTTCTTGGCTTTGTTTTTATTTTCAGCAACTTGAATAGAATCGTGCACATCATGATATTTCGGTGAACAACAGGCCACCTACAGGACAAAGGTCTCATTAGATTATAATACTGTATTTTCACCGCATTTTTCCATGCTTAGATATGTTCATCTGTATAAACATCTACCATGGTGATTCAGCTGCCCACAGTATTCACTACACTTACATGACATACAGATTTGTTACCTAGGAGCACTATGCTATCCCACGCAGCCTGGGTGTAGCAAGGTATTTCATGTAGGTTTGTGTAAACACACTCTATGATCCTTGCACAATGACAAATTGCCTAAGGACACATTGCTCAGATGTATTCCTACTGTTTTTCATTTTTTTTTAGATGGAGTCTCACTCTGTCACCCAGGCTGGAGTGCAGTGGCACAATCTTGGCTCACTGCAACCTCCGCCTCCCAGGCTCAAGCGATTCTCCTGCCTCAGCCTTCCGAGTAGCTGGGATTACAGGCATGAACCACCACGCCCAGCTAATTCTTTTTTTCTATTTTTTAGTAGAGATGGGATTTCACCATGTTGCCCTGGCTGGTCTTGAACTCGTGACCTACATGATCCACCCACTTTGCCCTCCCAAAGTGCTGGGATTACAAGCGTGAGCCACTGCGCCTGGCCAGTGTATCCCTACTGTTAAGCCACAAATCATCGTATCTCATCTCTCTCCCTTTTTTGTCCCTGTTAATATTTTCATGTTGTGCGTGCATTCTTCTCCTAGCTCAGTGAACATATTTATAAGGTTTACTTTGAATTTTCTGCTAGGTAATCAATGTATCTCCTTTTAATTTGTGTCAGTTTCTAGTGCTTTTTTTGTTAAATAATTTGGACCACTTTTTTCTGTTTTGTGATTATTGTTATTATTATTATTTTTTACTTTCTCTGTTGCTTTCTCCTCATTAGAAGAAAAAGCTACCGTAATCACTCTTCACAGAATATGCCCAGGGAAAATGCCATCACCTATCAACCCAGGCTGTCATTGTGGCATCTCTTAAAACTTCATAATGGTTGAAATTTTTTGTTGTTGTTGTTATTAGTGGCACTCAGACCTACAGAGGATTTTAAGTTTTGCTCCTACTCTAAATTAGGTGGCATTGAAATTCATCCTGCAGGCAGTCTCTGATAAAGTGGAGGAATTGGGCAGTTTTGTTATGCATATGGTTCATAAAAATAATATGAGTTTAAGGTTTTCTCAGCCAAGTGCTATATCCTGATATTTTATAATCACTTCTTTGAATCTCTCTTGGGTTTATCTTTTGAAAATTTAGATCAGAATATAAACCAGGTTTGAGGCTTTTTGTTTGGTGTAAACATCTCCTATAGGTCATTGCGTGAAAAGGCACAGAGTCTATCTGAGGAGGAGAACTCAGGGAAGCCTCACAACAACAGGGGAGACAAAACCGAGGTCACTAAAAAAATATGAAGCTTCTGGCTCCTGCAGCCTCCAGACATGCCCCACACCCTCTCATTGCACACAAATGAATTCCTTTCTCTTTCCTGAGTGATCTTTGCCAAGATTCCTCTCCTCCACTTTGACACTTTGGTATATCCATGTGTGTCCATTCTGGTTCAGCCAGGGACACAGAACCAGGAAGACATCATGGCTTTTCTAGAGGGAGCTGGCTTGGGGAATCAATGGTTGGAGTAGAAAGTGTCTTTGTCCATGTGTCACAGCCCTGAGGGACACGGGAAGAAGGTCAGGAAGACAGGATGACCAGACGGCTGGAGCAACCAGTATGAACAAAGCCACTTTCTTTCCTGGTGAAGAGGGGCATTTGGAAGCCTGGTGTCCCTGTAGGGGATGAACCACACTCACCTGCCCACTGTTACTTGCCAACGAGGTGACCCGCAGAGCAGCAGATCCTGAGTCACCGACAGTGGCTGCTTCCTCCTCCAAACCCTCCAAGATCTGTCCTTCCAGGAGTGTGAACCTCAGCAGATCCGCACGTTTTCAATGGGTCCACTTAGCTAGTGTCTGTCCTCAGCCCCATCCCTGGGATCCTGTCCTGGTGCTGTGTACACTGTCACAATAGTGGTGACAGTGACAGCTGGTGCCTGCACTTTCCAGGCCAAGAAGTTTGAAAGAAGCAAGTCACAGGGCCAGCCTGGATTTGGGGCAAACACACAAATTTCACTCTGTGGGGAAGTGCTGGGAAGCAGCCTTGAGTCCTCCTCAGCTCACGTGTGGCTGCTGCTTCTCATCCCAGGTGGGACACATGAGCCCTCCCCATGCCCAGGATGGAGCTGTTTCAGTCACAGCAGGATGGGAATGTGTCTTCTCTATGGGGGCTTTTGAAGCACAGCTCTCCTGTTCCTGAGATTTGAGATTTATAAAGACAAGTCCCACAGAGTGAACCTGCACAAATAAGACAGTACAGGATCCCCAGGAGAGACATCCCATATGAGAAGGGACAGGCAGGTCCCATCACTGACGCTGGTCCTCAGAAACCCTGACCAGCTACTGACCTTCCCAGGTCCCCTGTTCCTGGAACAGTTCGTGTGTCTGCTCCTGAAAAGATGCCCATCAAGAGTCCCCAGGGTTCTGCCCCCTTCCTTGATGTGCCTCTGGGAGTGGGGCTGGCTGGGCTGTGGGTCTGGCGTGACCCTCTCCACAGGTCAGCGGCTCAGTGCAGGCTGCACCGACTCGGTGGGGCTGGGCTGTGGCTGACCCTCCCAGGGGGAGCCTGGACTCTTCTTAGGGGTATCTGCAGGATCCCAGGTTCTGGGAGAACAGGGAAGCCACAGTGTGTGCAGGGCCCCATCTCCAGTAAAGTGTTTGCTGTCGCTCTGTTGACAAGGGCATATCCCCAGGCCTAGGGGCACTGTGGGCGCACGACCAATGCGCGAGACACAGGGAGTAAGGCACAGTTCCCTCCCATTACTGTGAGGACACTAGACACAGTGTGTGTGTGTGTGTGTGTGTGTGTGTGTGTCCATTACTGTGGGGACTCTAACCACCGTGTGTGTGTGTGTGTGTGTGTGTGTGTGTGTGTGTGTATTAGGAGTTTTGCAGTGGCTTCTGAGACCCATGATTTTGTAGGTTTAGAAATTATCTGATGAGATGTTCATCCACAGGAACCGACAAGAGATTAGGTGTTCTCCCAAAGCCCCTGGAAGCTCCTGGACTCACTGTGAGTGTGGACTGATCCAGTGCTTCCGGAGCGCCACAGAAGGGGCTCCCTGGTGGTTTCATAGAATCCTTGCTTGGGGTGTTTCTGCAGAGTTCACTGGCTTTTTCCTACGACCAATTTACTATTGCAAGCGATGGCGTCAGCAGCACATGGTGTCACGTGTCACTAAAGGAGCATTCTGAGCCAGGACACAGCCACTTCATACTGGGGGGAAAATGCTCTGGGAGCCCAGACAGGAGCCTCTCTGCAGTGCAAGGGCTGGGCTGCAGGGGGCGCTCAAGGCCCACCCAGCACAGGCTCCAGCCCCAGAGCAGGTGCACAGGAGGCTGCGGATGGAGTCCCCTTAAGATCTGTGTCATTCTTCTAAAAAAATCTAAAATAAGTATTTGACAAAAACTGCTGAAGAGTCCATAAATATCCTATTCAATTGCAAGAATTTATCAATTTACACTGGAGATTTCTAACCCTGCTACATATCTTAATAGTAAGCATCTGGAGGTCAATTAAGCTTTTATTTTATATAAATAAGTGCAACTTTTGGAGAAACACACTCATCCCCCAAATAACACATTCATGTATTAAAGCCTAGAAATACTTTAAATTACCTCTGAGCTATTCAAGTGTGGGTTCCCAGTGAAGTCCTGTTCTAGGGAAAATTGTTCTCCAGTGGGAGAAGCTCTGTCAACATACAGCTTAGGGATATGGCAGGGCACACATGGCCTCTAAGGGGATTATAGCTTGAACCCTTAGCATCCTCCTGTTGGGTAATCCATGTGTCATCTCTCCACTCTTTCTCATGCTGTGTTAGGTATGAAATAGCATCGCTCATGAATATGCAAATAACTGAGATGACTATAGATATCTTTGTGCCCTGAGAGCATCACCCAACAACCACATCCCTCCTCAGAAGCCCCCAGAGCACAACGCCTCACCATGGACTGGACCTGGAGGATCCTCTTTTTGGTGGCAGCAGCCACAGGTAAGGGGCTGCCAAATCCCAGTGAGGAGGAAGGGATCGAGGCCAGTCAAGGGGAATTCCATCCACTCCTGTGTCTTCTCTACAGGTGCCCACTCCCAGGTCCAGCTTGTGCAGTCTGGGGCTGAGGTGAAGAAGCCTGGGGCCTCAGTGAAGGTTTCCTGCAAGGCTTCTGGATACACCTTCACTAGCTATGCTATGCATTGGGTGCGCCAGGCCCCCGGACAAAGGCTTGAGTGGATGGGATGGATCAACGCTGGCAATGGTAACACAAAATATTCACAGAAGTTCCAGGGCAGAGTCACCATTACCAGGGACACATCCGCGAGCACAGCCTACATGGAGCTGAGCAGCCTGAGATCTGAAGACACGGCTGTGTATTACTGTGCGAGAGACACAGTGTGAAAACCCACATCCTGAGAGTGTCAGAAACCCCAGGGGGGAAGCAGCTGTGCTGGCATGGAGGAAATGACAAAGATTATTAGATTGAAGACTTTCTCAGAAAATGATATTAAGTCATTAAGGAAAAGGAACAATATAAACATGTATTTGAGAAATTTTAATTATTTGAGAGATTTTTCATACAATATTTATTCTGCAAGCAAATTTCAGGGATTGAATTAATAAAACTGATACAGAACTTCCTCTGTAGGTATCTGTGTAAACATCAATTTCTGAATCAGTGTTGTAAATATTTTGGAACACACACACAAATCACATTTTATCTCTACTTTTATCTCTATTATTAAAAATGCCAAAAAAACTCATTTTGTGCATGTAGCATTTTGAATTCCCACCATCAATGCATGATAGTTCTTGGTTTTCCACATTCATATTGCCATTTATCATTATGAGAATTGTGTGTTTTAACCATTCTAATAGGTGAGTAATGGTATCTAATTTTTAGTTAAATGCACATTTCCGTAATAAAAATTCACATTTAACAATTTTCATATAATTTTTGCCGAGATGCCTCTTCTCATATTTGGTTCATTTTTAACTGCATTGTTTTCTTTTGATTAGTTGTAAGTTTACTTGCATATTGATTATAAAATCATTTAACAAATTAAAAGAATTCATTTAACAAATATGTGACTTGGAAGTATTTTCTCCAAGTCTGCGGCTGTCTTTTACTCCCTTATCAGTATGTATTGCAGAAAAGTGTGTGTGTGTGTGTGTGTGTGTTTATACAAATTTAGATTTTAAAAATGTAAAATGTTATTCATCCACAGATCATGTCTTTGGTATTATATCTGAAATCTCATTATAAAATACAGTAATATCAATTACTTTTTCCATGTCTCTAATCTCAGGCTACAATCATCTCATGAGTGTTTAAGCTTCACCTACTTGATTGGAGGACTATCAACCTAACATATTTGGAATACTTCTGTAAAAAGATGTGTTCCTCTTCCTATTATTTCTTTATTTGATCACTTATTAATATGTGTATTGGTTTATGGATGTCTATTTCATACTCTGAAGAAGATCCATGCTACATTATTCATTTTATTTTTCAAACCACCATGGCTTTATTATGTGCTGGGAGCTCATTGAGTTTGGATCCTGCATCCTTACAGCTCACCTCATGCTTTTGTTTTTGAACACTTCCCTGTTTCCTGCTATTATAATAAATTCTAAACTCATTTTCTATATTATCTTTTTCATACATAGAATCAGCCATTTTTCTAAAGATTGCTTGCTTCTGATGTTAAAGAATAGTATTTAAAAAATTGTAATACTGGGTATGTGCATTGTTAATGTGGTATAAGTACTTGCAGGACCTCTCAACCAACTGGCCTAGTAAACTATGTATCTAACCTTCTGTAATGTGATTACATTAAAAATGAGAACACACTGGTCTCTCTACCCAATTATGCTACCACATGGATCTTTCTAGCCTTCCTTCCTTGACTGTCTATAACCTCTCACTGCAAAATGAGGAACCCCATCCAACCATATGCCATTTTATTACTTAGCTGCACAATTTCAGGACACATGCATAGCAGTATCAGAAATGTAAAGCTGTACCCTTGTAGGAAACATGTTTATCTACTAGAATAGAGTGCTTATGTTCAGTTTCTTTACACTTTAAACTTACAGAGTTTCCTCATTTTCAAAGTTCCTTAGGTCAGCAACTTCATTTTCCACTTTCTTCAGTGAAGTCATTTCAATGACACTGTATAATTTGATTTATTTGAAATTCTATAAAAGCCAAAACTGTAGTCAAGTAAACAACAACATATAGAGGATATTCGAGGAGTTTAGAGACTGGGTATAAAATAAGTTAAAAAGACACTGTTTAAGAAGATTAAAATTATTTTTAGTGATATGCAATGGTTCAGATATGACACAATTAATTTGTCTAAGCACATAGTTTTGTGATGGAAAATATAAACCTAAATATATACAATTAAAAAAAATTTAGCAGTTCATTAACCCAAGGATCAAATGCAGATTGTATAAAATTATCTCATTACTTATTTTGTGAGGGTGGAGATTTCATGAGATGTATGCAACAAAGAATGAGGTAATTTTCCTGATTTGCATATAAGATGTTGCCATTCACTAAAGACCTTTAATTTTTTAAATTTTTTTTTAAATCAATTTTCTATGTGACCCAGGTTTTTTCCTCTTGACAAGCAAATAACCGACAGGATTATTTTCTTTCCTTGGTTGAGAAATATTTCCCCAAACTTCAGCTCAGTTCAGGCATACACTGTCCCTGAATGGGCATTTACCCTCAGATGGGTACACACATCTGTCAACATGTGGACTCTTCTGTCAGACAAACGCACCTTTACTCACGTGGATTCTTCTCTCAGACAAACACACATGTCCCCACGTGGACTCTTTCCTCAGACTACCACATATGTTCTTACATTTACTCTTTCCTCAGAAAACAGACATTTCCTCATGTGGACTCTTGTCTCAGACAAGCAAACATGTCTCCATGTGAACTCTTCACTCACATAAGTACACATATGTCCACATTTACTGTTTCCTTACACAAGTACATATATCCAATGTCGAATTGTTCTGTGGCAAAATGATCTCAAGATAATGATAATCATAAACCCCCTCCCTGACAAGGCGTAGATCTGTATTTTTTTCATTGTAACCTAACTTTGCCTTATTGTCAAGAACAGTAGTTTGCAGCTCTAAATATACCAATTAGAGACAGGTGTCCATTTTCTCTGGAAACGTATTTTTATGTTCTTACTGGACATATTTGTTGATAATGTTTGCTATTATGAAGATACCCCAACAGTGTCCACATTAGAGAATAAAAAAGAGTAATGGGCAGATTAACTCTGTGCATCCAGACCCAGAAATCCTTTGACCTTGACTTCCCTGAAATGTAGACACAGAGGATGGATGAGCAATGCTGAGCAGTGCACCCATGACCACAAAAAGAAAGACGTGGAAATGTGTCCCCTCCACTTCTCATGAAAGGCAGCTCATCCCCTGTTCCCTCAGGCCCTGGCGAGGAGCCACCCCATGTCTGTGCCCTTCCTCAGTGTCCACACCGTGGGGTCTGCATTGATCTGGATTCCCTTCTCATCCCCGTCAATATTAGTGTCCTTCGTAAATCAGGTCCAGCTGTGGCTTCTCCTCACGGGGCTGTTCTCAGTCTGTTTTCTGTGTTCACGGAAGTCCTGTGTGAAGTTTACTGATGGAGTCAGAGGGGGAAAAATTTTACAGCCCAGTGGTGAGACTCTCCTGCAAAGCCTCTGGTTTCACCTTTACTGGTTACAGCATGAGCTTGGTCCAGCATGCTTCACAACAGGGATAGGTGTGGGTGCCAACAGTGAGTGATCAAGTATGAATTCTCAGGGTTACTCTCCATGAGTACAAATAAATTAACAATCTCAAGCAACACCCTTTTAAGTGCAGTCTGCCTTACAATGACCAATCTGAAAGCCAAGGACAAGGTCATGTATTACTGTGAGTGACACAGTGAGGGAAACCCTGTGTGAGCCCAGACACAAAGCTCACCGCAGGGAGACAGGAGGGGACTATGTGGTAGATGCTGCTCAGAACCACCAGGGGGCACTCAGAACCATCAGGGAGGGTGCACAGAACCACCAGGAGGGGCTCAGGACACCAGGGGGCGCTCAGAACCACCAGGGGGCACTCAGGACCATCAGGGAGGGTGCACAGAACCACCAGGAGGGGCTCAGGACACCAGGGGGCGCTCAGAACCACCAGGGGGCACTCAGGACCATCAGGGAGGGTGCACAGAACCACCAGGAGGGGCTCAGGACACCAGGGGGCGCTCAGAACCACCAGGGGGCACTCAGGACCATCAGGGAGGGTGCACAGAACCACCAGGAGGGGCTCAGGACACCAGGGGGCGCTCAGAACCACCAGGGGGCACTCAGGACCATCAGGGAGGGTGCACAGAACCACCAGGAGGGGCTCAGGACACCAGGGGGCGCTCAGAACCACCAGGGGGCACTCAGGACCATCAGGGAGGGTGCACAGAACCACCAGGAGGGGCTCAGGACACCAGGGGGTGCTCAGAACACTAGGAGGTGCTATGAATCACTAGGGGGCGCTCAGGACTCAAGGGAGCACTCAGAACCACCAGGGATAGCTCAGGACACCAGGGGGCACTCAGAACCGCCAGGGGGCACTCAGGACCATCAGGGAGGGTGCACAGAACCACCAGGAGGGGCTCAGGACACCAGGGGGCGCTCAGAACCACCAGGGGGCACTCAGGACCATCAGGGAGGGTGCACAGAACCACCAGGAGGGGCTCAGGACACCAGGGGGTGCTCAGAACACTAGGAGGTGCTATGAATCACTAGGGGGCGCTCAGGACTCAAGGGAGCACTCAGAACCACCAGGGATAGCTCAGGACACCAGGGGGCACTCAGGACCATCAGGGAGGGTGCACAGAACCACCAGGAGGGGCTCAGGACACCAGGGGGCGCTCAGAACCACCAGGGGGCACTCAGGACCATCAGGGAGGGTGCACAGAACCACCAGGAGGCACTCAGGACACCAGGGGGTGCTCAGAACCACCAGGAGGTGCTCAGGACACCAGGGGGCGCTCAGAACACTAGGAGGTGCTATGAATCACTAGGGGGCGCTCAGGACACAAGGGAGCACTCAGAACCACCAGGGATAGCTCAGGATACCAGGGGGCACTCGGAACCGCCAGGGGGCGCTCAGGACACTAGGGGGCGCTCAGAACCACCAGGGGGTGCTCAGGACACCAGGAGGCACTCAGAACCGCCAGGGGGCGCTCAGGACACTAGGGGGCGCTCAGAACCGCCAGGGGGCGCTCAGAAGAAGCAGGGGGTGCTCAGAACACCAGAGGGTGCTCAGAAGCACCAGGGGGCGCTCAGGACACCAAGGGGCACTCATGAGACTGTGGCAAGGGGGTGCTGAGAACCACAGGATGTGACCAAGACACCAGGGGGCACTCAGAACTGCCAGGGGGTGCTCAGGACACCAGAGGATTCTCAGAACCACCAGGGGATGCTCAGGAAACTAGCGGGTGCTCAGAACCACCGGAGGACACTCAGAAAACCAGGGGATGCTCAGGAACCACCAGGGGGCGCTCACGACACCAGCGGGCAGTCAGAACCACCAGGGCATGCTCAGAACCACCAGGGGGCGCTCAGGACACCAGGGGATGCTCAGGACACTAGGGGCGCTCAGGAACCACCAGGGGGCGCTCACGACACCAGTGGGCAGTCAGAACCACCAGGGCATGCTCAGGACCACCAGGGGGCGCTCAGGACACCAGGGGATGCTCAGGACACCAGGGGTCGCTCAGGAACCACCAGGGGATGCTCAGGACACTAGGGGGCGCTCAGGAACCACCAGGGGTCACCCAGGACACCAGGGGTCGCTCAGGAAACCAGAGGGTGCCCAGGAAACCAGGGGAGGTTCAGGAACCACCAGGGGGCACTGAGGACACCAAGGGGTGCTCAGAACCACCAGGGGGCGCTCAGGACACTAGTAGGCACTGAGGAACCACCAGGGGGGGCTCAGGACACCAGAGGTCGCTCAGAAAACCAGGGGGTGCTCAGAACCACCAGGGGGCACTCAGGAACCACCAGTGGGTGTTCAGGACAGCAAGAATGGCTCAGGACACCAGGGAGCACTCAGGACCTCCAAGGGGCTCTTTGGAGGCAGCTCCATATCAGGTACCTGGGGAGGATGAGGTTTCCTTTTCCACCTTGGTGATTCCTGACCTGGTCAAGCAAAAGTCTTCCCCAGGATCTCTTACGATGTCTTCCTTGTAACTCATGGTTTCTTTCACCTATAAAACATTAACTTAGAACAGGGGTTCAATTCAACTTTTAACTCTGCCTATTTTCAGAGTTATACTAGCAATGATATATCTCAGTATATTTTTTTTAATTGTGTATATTCAATCCAAAGTCTGGCTCTATGCACAATTTTTTTGTTTTCTGTGCTGTCAGACACACTATTGTAAATGCTTTTCTAACAACTCAGCATATGCATGGGGTCCAGTTTCTTTTCCTTTCATCGGCTGTTTGTGCAGATGAAACACCACTTTAAGGGCTCCTGTCCTCCACTTTGGCCCCTGGTGTTCTGCTTCTCAAACTTTCTCCATCTTCTCTTTTTCTGTCAAAATATTTTATCTTCCTCAGTCTCCATGCAGGAAACAGGAAGTCCTTTTACTTCCTGTCCTCCATGTCTGGTAAATCAGTTCACTTCTTTTCATGATCACTGAAGCCAACCAAGTTTAGGAGAGTAACAGTTCTCCTTAGAATACACTCTACCTGCAGACCCTCTGCCCTCATCACACTTTTCTAGGGTCCTGCAGACATAACCCCCACCCATTCCTCTTTTTCCCTAAGTACCACAGACTAGGCTCTGCAACTTATGCTACCCTCTGTGTGCTCAGCCCAGGGGCTCAGTAGTGCTTTCATGAAGTCCAAATCCCTAATGTGTTTGCCCAGTCTCAGACCACCCTCCAGCAAGCTGCCATTGTGATTGAATCCTGCAAAGCATGGGCTGCTTTCAGTTTCCTATTGCTGGATGTTCTTTATTATAAAGGCATATTGGCAAATAACGACTAGAGTTTGTATTGAAAATTAACGCCAAAAAGTTTTTTAAAAAATTTTTCAAATAGAAAAGTTCTATCCTGCCTAGTTTAAAAAAATACAATGTTACTTTAATCAATGATTTAATAAAAATTTAAGTGATGTTTGTCTTATTAGTTATTCAATTTATTAATAACTGACTGATATTTAAAAAGTAAATACTGGCTGGGCGCAGTGGCTCACGCCTGTAATCTCAGCACTTTGGGAGGGTGAGGTGGGTGGATCACCTGAGGTCGGGAATTCGAGACCAGCCTGACCAACATGGAGAAACCCCCTCTCTACTAAAAATACAAAATTAGCTGGGCGTGGCGGGGAAGCTGAGGCAGGAGAATCGCTTGAACCTGGGAGGCGGAGGTTGCGGTGAGCCGAGAACACGCCATTGCACTCCAGCCTGGGCGACAAGACCAAAACTCTGTCTCAAAAAAAAAAAAAAGTAAATACCATTGTACACTTAAGTAATATATTTGGCAAGAATGGCATTTACATTCATTCAAAAATGAAACTGCAAATACGAGTTACATTCAATTAAATAATTAAAATAATATAGAAAAAAATGGGTGTGTTGTTTTGGTGTTTAATATACATTCATTTTTGCATGGACGGGTATATGTGTCATTGCTGGGCTGTTGTGTATGTGTGCGTGTGTGTGTGTGTCTGTGTGTACAACTATGAAGTTTAAAATATATTATTAAATTACGTAGTTATATTAATCCAAATTTATCATGTTAAAATATTAGGAAAAAAACACCAGTAGAGAAATTACAGAGAACATCAGCAATGCCTACAGCATTTACAAGAGTCACATTAATAACAAACAAACTAGTTCAAATGTTTAGATATGACACATGCAGTAGAAAACGTTCACATGGTATTAACACAAAAATGGTGCACAACTGAGGAAATTATAATACGTTCATGATATTGGCTACATAAATGCTTATGATAGTAATGCTTTTCATCCATCAAATGCTTATGATAATGCTTTTCATCCATCATATTATAGATGATAAAACAACTCTATAAACACTTCCATCACTAGCGTTTAATATGAGATGCCTCACATCTTTTTCTGAAATAAATAAACATCTGTCCACCACTTCGATGATCATTTCAGGATTATCCTCTGAAATAATTATCCATAATAATTTTAGTAACAATTTTATTATTTTCAGAAGCCTATTTTATAAGGTCTTTGAACTATTATTTTTATGATTGTTACTTTATATTTTACACACTTTTTATTTGGAATAATTATAGGTTATCAGAACAATTGTAAGGAAAATACAGTGTGTTCACATCCATCTCCAAGTTTTCACTAAAGTTAATATGTCAAAAAAAACATGGGACATGGGACTAATATATTTACATTGATAAGTTTCTGTTTATTCAGCTCTGGGATTTATTTGAATTTTGCCAATTTTTAACAGTTTCCTTTTTTCCTTTTTCTTTTCTTTTTGAGATAAGGTCTCACTTTCCTATTGCTTTTTGTTTGTTTCTTTGTTCAACCCAGGTAACCACATCAAATTCAGTCACCATGTTCCTCTCATATCTTCTGGTTAATCACAGTTTGGGTTCCTGCTGTCTTCCCATTGAATATTCTATAAATGAAACTAGTCAAATAAGTTGATTCTGGTCACTTATATATTTACCTATTTTATCACGTTTGTTTTGTCAATCACAGTAAGTGTCGAATTCGCTATCTGTTATAGATGTTAGCCTATTTTCTATCCCAGATCCATTGGTTAAATCTTTGGTGATGCCTTTTAGAAAACTGATCCCTTTACCCTATGTAATATGCCCCTTGATTCCTGAAAGTCTTATGTCTACCTTGTCTGAATTTAACATAGCTAAGCACGCTTTCTTTTCATTCATATTTTCATAGTCCATGTTTTCCTGTATTTAACTTTTCTATGTAGAGCAAATTTCTGTACAGAGCTAGTAGTTGGGTCTTGCTTTTTAAATCAACTATAATAAATTCTATTTTAAAACTGGTATTACTATTTTTCTGTTAATTTCTATTTTAATTTGGCATTTTATGATCATGTTTATTTCTCTATTAACTTATTGTTTAGCTCATCTTTTATGAATATTGTATTGGCCCTAAGATATACAATAAGAATTGTGTATAATCAGATTCTAATTCAAATAACGTAAAACCTCTTCATAGGTTGTAGAGCTATTATAACTTATTCTTCTAAACCCTCTTTCTCATCCGTTGTCTTAGTTTATTCTCAGTTTGCACTTATATGTGCTATAAAATATAATATGTGCATTTTTATCATTACATAGACATATATTAGAACAATTAAAAATATAAAAACTACATTTCAACTTCATTTTTTCATTCTTGACCACATTTTTTATTTGGATAGATTCATGTTTCGGATGTATATCATATGGCTACTCACCCTGGCGGAAAATTTGCCAAAGCACCTACTGAAGGATGAATGCACTAGCAATAAATTTTCTCAGAATCGATTTGTCTTACAGGGTATTCATTTGACTTTCGCTTTAAATGAAATTTTTAATATATATAGAATTCCAGTTTGACTTTAATTTGTAATTTATTTTCTTGTACTCATGTATTCATTATTTTCTTCCTGAAGATGGTAACACATTCCATTCTGCTGGGCCTTCATTATAGATATTTGTGTGTATCTATTCAGGGCTATATTTGCAATTTATGGATGCCACAATTATCAGAGTTGAAGTCAGCTTCTGCTGTCCACAGAGATTTCAAGTTCCTCCCATGATACTTGCTTTTGTGTCCCTGTTTGATCCTGGGTCTTTATATTTAGTTTTCCCCAGGGAGGCTGTCTGTTTCAGCTGTGGAAAGTGCACCCTACTGACAGTTTAAATTGATGACTGTGTGGTGAAGGAGGTTGGACAAAGCGGGACTTCCTCCAACCTTCTGACTGAGTCTCCTTCTTATGCAGGAGTAGTAAGCATAGTTCTGGGGAGTGGCCTTCCACATTGTCCTGTCCTTAACTCTTTCCCCAGGGCTGGAACGTCTTTTCCCAGACACAACTGTTTTTCACCAGTGTCCCCAGCTTTTTACCCACTATCCTTACCCTAAAGAGTAAGGATTTCTTTCCTGAGGAAAGAGATAGGAGGTGTTTCTGGATCAAGTTTCCTTGGTGTCGTCTGTTTCCTTTTGTTTCTGTTGACTTCACCACAGCTCATATGACACATGCTTTGGTGGATTTCCCCTGGAGGTAGTGGAGGTGCATTCAGGCATTCCACAGGAGCTGCTGTTCTTTTCCCCAGTCAACACCACAAGACACCAGATGAGGAAGTTGTCCGTGGATTTTTCAAGTTCTCTAGGAAAAGCTTGCAAGCACTAGGCCAATCTAACACCATTAGTACATGCATACTAAAAAAAAAAAAGTCATTAAGTATTTCTAGGTTAGTCTGTTTCTATCTCAAATGCCATCCAGTGGCACCTGCCCTATGTACACTAGCAGGTAGGTCCTGGTTCTCTCTGCAGGCTCCTATCTTCTCAGATTTCAGTTTTCTTGTTTGCTTGGTGAAATCAACTCAGATATGTTGAATGTTTTTTCTCTCTTTTATTTGTAGCTGTTCAGCTTCGTTGTTAATGAGGTCAGAATAAAATCACAGTTTTCTCATTTTTTTCACATTCCCACACTGAATAGCTGCTTTCCGTATAAAAGCCAGAAACTGAGAGAACACATTGAATATCCATTACAGGTGAATGTTAAACAATTTGAGATATGTTTGTGTACTGGAATAAAATGCTGCATTACAATCAAGTCATCACTCATTCACATAAAACATGGCCACATTCTCAAATAATGTAGGGACCTGAGTGCCCCTCCATCTACTGGCCTCTCCTGGGGCCCTAGCCTGGCCACACCTTCTTGCAGGGCAGTCTTGGACGCCCTGGGATCCCGCACCAAAATTTCTGCCCTGGCAGAACATGCCTGACTGGTGGAGAGCTCCAATCGGGCAGCCCTCATGTGCACACACCAGCTTACACACTTCCTCCGAATACTGTAGGTTCACCCAGGCCCACGTAACTTCCCACATCACTTTGCAGTCACATGTCTGTATAGGTGGGTTTTGCTTTTCTTGTCCCACCATTGCGTGGAGTGCAGTCCCCTCCCCCCACCCCAACCACCATGGCAGAGGAAGCTTTGGTGGGGAAAAAGCCAGGGCCGCTCCTGTCAGCGTCCCGCACTTGCGCTAATTCTGCACAGAGAATAGCAGATCATCTCACACATTCAGAAATCACTCCTGCTTGTGGGGCATGAATACGGCACCCGGGCCTGTGCCCACAAGTGTCCCATCCCTGAGCCAACACCTCCTCCAGTGTGACCTTGAACACAGTCACCAACAGGGCCCCACACACCCACAGACGCAATGCCTCTGCCACTGTGGCGAACACCTGCAGGGAGGCAGGCACCCAGACACCCACTAGCACTCTGCCACAGCTGCCACACCTCCAACAGCCCAGGACAGTGGATTCCTAACCTTAAGGAGCCGGAGAACCAAGTCAGGGACTAGTATAACTTCCCCCAGAGTCAGAGCACACAGTCTAGGTGTTGGGAGCTGAGCACTGGCCACCTAAATTTTTCCAGAAATGAAGCCAGTTGGCTGAATCCACCTTATACCACAATCAAACCCTCAAGGTCATCCAATAGGGTAAAAGAAAATAAAAATGTATCCAAAGGTCAGCAACTTCAAAGATTGAAGGTGGATAAGCCCACAAAGATGAGAAAGAACCAGTGCAAAAGTCCTGAAAACAAAAAGGGCGCCCTCTTTCCTCCAAACAACCACAGCACCTCTTCAACAGCAGTTCTGAATGGGGCTGAGATGGCTGAAATGACAGAAACAGAACTCAGAATATGGAGAGTGAAAATGTAGATGAATACAGCTATTTATGGAGAATACTATAAATGTTCCTCAAAAAATAAAGAAACAAAATCTACTGTAGAATCCAGCAGTCTCACTGCTGGCTATGTATCCAAAGGAAATGAAATCAACATGTCAAAGAGATATCTGCACTCCATGTTCACGTTCATTGCAGCATTATTTAAAATAGTAAAGATATGGAAACATCCTAAATTCCCATGAATGGATGAATGAATAAAGAAAATGCATACAGACACAACAGAGTAATGTTCATCCTTAAATAAGAAGGAAACCCTGCCTCTGTGACAGCATGCATGAATCTAGAGGACCTTATGCCAAGTGAAACAAGCCAGGAACAGAGGAAGAGTCATTCATGATTTCACTGTATATATTAAAGCAGTAGACTTGCAGAGGTAGAGTAGAATGTTGGTTACCAGGGCCTAGAGGGGTGGACTGGGAAAGGGAGATGTGGGTTAAAGTGCACAACGTTCCAGTTAGACAGGAGGTATAAGTTATGCCTTTCTAATGCACAGCATGTCAACTATAGCTGATAAGGTAGTATATATTTCAAAATTACTAAAAAAATAAACATTAGAATTTCCCCACTAAGAAATGATAAATTTGTGAGGTGATGAATATAAGCGGCTTGAGTTACCCAGTTCATAATGTATACATGTATCATAACTAAACAACATATGTCATAAATATATGCAAAAATTATTTGTAATTTATAATAAAATAAGTTTCATATTTAAATAATTACATTAAGAAAATGAACAGAAACTTTCAGATTTCAAGAATATTTTATATATATATATATATATCTTAAAACAAACTTGCAACAGAATATAGAAATAAGTTTTACGACTCAATGGAAAAGAACAGAATTCAATAAAAACTGGCTAAAAGAAACAACAGCTGCATCATTATAGAAAATTCTGGAATAATCAGCCATATAAAGATTCTCACTCTCTTAGAACTAGAATTCCGTAGGACTTGTAATTCCTCCTGACCTGGGTGGGAGGCAAAAGGAAGAACAGCTAATGGTGATTCAGTGAGTTTTATACCTGTGTGTACTTCTGGGCTCACTCAGCAGAAAGAAAAGAAGAAAAGAAAGAAAGAGAGAAAGAAAGAAACAGAAAGAAAGAAAGAAAGAAAGAAAGAAAGAAAGAAAGAAAGAAAGAAAGAAAGAGAAAGAAAGAAGAAGGAAGAAGGAAGGAAAGAAAAGAAAGAAAGAAAGAGAGAGAGGGAGAGAGGGAAGGAAGGGACAGCAGAAGTCATTGTGGTGTGTGTGAAAACACAATCCTTGGGCTCCCCCACATCCATCTCTACTCCAGTCCCATCAATGTCCAGCAAATACATTTTCTAAGATGAAGTATTTTAAACTTTCTAAATCCTGCTAGAAAACCCCTCAGCTCTTTCAGTTTTGCTCTATCACTTGAATTATTGAATTAAATCTAGTTTTTGTGGGCCTATCAATACCATAAGCCAAAATAACACATGAAGAAATTGCACTGAGACACATGAAAACCTTCTGAAAGCTCCATAATTTCAGATCTGCATTCTTATTTCCCCGAACCTAAATCACTGAATAGAGACTCAGAACGAGTTGATCTTGTTCCTGAACGTGCACAGAGCCAAGGACATCCTGTCTGTCTGGAACAGCTCAGGTTTGTTCCTGTTTCTCCTAGAGGATATAAAATCTTGAGTTAGGGAAAAACAGCCAGGGACACCCTGGGCTTTGTTCTTCTCTCCCCTGGAGGCAGGATGTCCTTCAGAGCTTTGTCCCAGTGGGTAACACAGCTGCTGAGGTGTACAACCCACGTGGCCTCGTTTTGGTCACTTTTGCATGGTGAGCCTGCTTTGCACCATGGCCTACAATATGCGTGTGTAACTAATCTGTCTCCATCTTCAAAATGACATTATTCCACATCAAATCTAGTGCAGGTGCCTCACACAGAACATTCTCAATTACCTCCATCATTCATAAAATTGATGCCATTAATTTCAAGTATACATACATCAGACTCATTTAACGTATTGTTATTCTCATTGTTTGAAACATAACTTTTAGATCAAATAATTAACAATAATAAAAATATAAATTTTGAAGTCAGGTAATGTGATTTCTCTAGTTGTGTTCTCTTTGCTCAGAATGGCTTGGGCTGTTCTGCATCTTTTGTTTTTCCACATATATTTTAGGATTTTTTAAAAATTTCTGTGAAGAATATCATTGTTGTTTTCATAGGGATTGTACTGAGTCTGTAGATTGCTTTAAGTATTATGGACATTTTAACAATATTGAATCTTTGAATTCATAAACATGGAATATTGTTCCATCTTGTGTCCTCTTTATTTCCTCAATGTTTTATAGATTTATTGTAGTTTTTTTTTACTTTGTTCATTACACATTGTATGCCTGTACCAAAACATCACATATACCCAACAAATAGAAATATATATACTATTATGTGCTTATAACAATTAAAAATTATGTATGTATATTGAATCTATTCAAAATCAGAAACTATTTCTTTTTACTGTTTGTAAGGTCTTGTCTCTAGGCTATAAAAAGAATTTGTAAAACTCAACAGAAAGCATAATATAAACAGAATTCTAAAATGAGTGAAAATCTGAACAAACACCTCACCAAGAAAAAATGTTATCTGAAAATAAGAATATATAAAATTGTTCAGTATCAATTGTCATAAACTGATACTCATATTTACCAAATACAAAAGTAAACATGATGTATTTCAACAGAATTGATTCTCAAATATTTGTATACTCATACAGTGGAATACTATCAGTCATAAAAACTATGGGTTATTAATTCAGAAGACAACATTTTAACATTTTTTCTAAGTGAAGGAAGATGGACAAAAGAGACTAAGTATTGTACAATTCCATTCATGAGACCTGCTAAATACAGTAAAATTAAAAGGATTTTAAAAACAGGTTTGTGATAGGCAGGGCTTTTGGGGAAAGACAAGAGACTGACTTGGCAAAGCTCAGGGGATATTTTTAGGGTAAAACAAACTGTGTGCCATTGTGATATGCCTAATTTCTTATTATATTTGTTCAGAGTTAATAGTGTACGTTTCAACCAACTCGGTGATTTTATATTTTCTATTTGCTGATAGAGACATGTTCATTTTTGTCAATCACTTTGCTAAATGTGGCTGAGAGGCTGTTGAAATGAACGCCGAGCAAATGTATTCACCAAATCTACAAGAGCAAATTATTTGCCAATTGCTGATTGAGTGGGGTCTATAATGTATTTGAGATTGGGTGTGGGGATGTTATTGTGTGAGATCATGATGTTTAGACCATGACACTCTCTGGTGAGGGATCACTCATTCATTGCACATTTAATGAAAGGCAGGTAGGAGGAGCAGAAGGGGATGAGTCACACTCCTGACCACAGCCACAGGTTATTGAAGGCAGAACTGATGTAATCCCCTAAGGTAGACCACTGCCCCTCCAAGGTGACCTTATCCTAGAGTTGACACACATCCTGGGACACCAGAGACAACTCCTTCTCTCCCCTTTCTCTGCACTTCAGCTGGAAGCAACTGTCTCACCGAGCACCTTGTGTTAAGGAATGAGAGTTCCTGTTCCAGGTGTGAGGGCCCAGGTGCATCCACTTGATCCAGCACAAGAGCAAGAACAGCCTTCCAGAAAATGACATCGCCTGAGGTATAACCAGCTCTCACCTGCTGCAGCTTCCTCTGAATAAAAAGGAAACTGTTGAAACTTCCTCATAAGTGTCCTGCTGTGCCATTCCCTTTGTCCCCACATGTTCAGTTGTGTCTGTCCAGATGTCACTTTTGTGTAGGGAGATTAGGGTTCTGCTTCCAGTACCAGAACACACATGACCTCTTAGGGGACTTCAGGGTTTTGCTGACATATGTGATGATCTTAAAAGTCATTAGCTCCATTTCTACATCAAAAAACATCTGAACCAGAGGAGCACATAGGCTCAGGCCTGTAATCCCAGCACTTTGGGAAGCCAAGGCAGAGGAATCACTTGAGGTCAGGAATTTGAGACCAGCCTGGTGAACATGGTGAAACCCCGTCTCTACTAAAAAATATATACAAAAATTAGCCAGGCGTGGTGGCACTAGCCTGTAATCCCAGCTACTTGAAAGGCTGAGGCAGGAGAATTGCTTGAACCCAGGAGGTGGAGATTGAAGTGAGCTGAGATCGCACCACTTCACTCCAGCCTGGGCGACAGAGTGAGCCTCCATCTAAAAAAAAAAAAAAATTTATATATATATATATATATATATATAATAAATATATATTATATATTATATATATATTTTATATAATATATATGTATATTTTTATATATTATACATACATATTTATATATTATATATAATATGTATATATAATATATAATATGTATATTTATATATTATATAATATGTATATTTATATATATTATACATATATATTTTTATATATATATATCTCCAAACCATCTAAATATCAAGTATTTTTTAATCCATCTAAGAGCTGAAATTGCTGAAAAAACTACTCCCTCCAAAAGCTGTAGAGACAGGCACATCCACAGTCACAGCAGAGACTTGCTGACTTGGAAGGGAAGCTCCTGGAGACACATTGGTGAGAACATTTACCTGGTGATTATGCTGAATGTCTGGAGGACAAATGTGGACTAGGGGGAGGGTGAGCACTCCTAGAGGCTGTACACCCCACACTTGTGTGGACTTGCCCTCCAGGGCCTTCAGGTTCTCGTGGAAGCAATTAAAATAGATTCCCTATAGCCATGAACTGGGGAGGAGTAATCACGGAGAAAAGATGCACAAAAAGACTTTTCTAGAAAGCTCATCCAAGGGAAGGTATTCTCCAAAATCTTAGTTTATGTGGGGGAAGGAAATACTTCCAAATTACAGACCCCTCCTCCTCAGCCTTCCTCTATCACGCAAATGATAAAATTAGCCAAGAGGAGTCAGATTCAAGGCGGTAGCCCTGGGTGCAGCATCTGCAGAAGGGAGGAAAGAGAGAAAATCAGCTGTATCACTGGAGATTCCTTGTGAAGGTCACTGCTCAGGAGAAGAGGGCAACCAAACCAGGGAGAGTCAACTGTAAGAACATACCATGCTCCCCTGCCCCACACATTACCTCCTCAACAGCATCATTAATATGGATTAAAGAGGGCAGTGTGATTGCTTTAGATCTGTTTGAGAAAGAAAGTCACATACTGAGGCCTAGGGTCAGGGTCGGCGGCACTTCCCGTGAGTAAGATACTACGAAGAAGGAAAAATTAGGGGTCCATAACTGTGAAAATCAGCCACAGTGTGTGTGAGAATGTTTGTGTTTGTGTTTCTGTGTGTTTGAGTAGGAGTTATTGGAACAGCGGACGTGGAGTGAGCTTTAATCCACATCCATCTGCAGCTTCAGGTATTCTCAGATGCAGTATTCATCTGCAAGAGCCGAAATGAGAAAAGAGCCACCTCCAACCCCCCCAGAGTTTTAGCCTCCCTTTGTTTCCAGTGATCCAGTGCATCTAGACCTCCAGGAAGTGGACTCCCTGGTGATTTTAGCGATTCTTCTCTTGGAGCCACCCTGAAGAGGACATTGGGTTTCCAAAGGCCCATTCACTATTTCAAGAGGTGGTGTCATCAGCTCATGTTGTCACTGAAGGAGCATTCTGAGCCAGGTCACAGTCACTTCCTAGTGAGCTACAGAGGCTGAGAGAAAAATGCTCTGTGAGACCCAATGGGAAGCTCCCTGCAGTGCAAGGTCTGGGTGGCAGGGAGCGCTAGGGCCTCGCCCAGCACAGGCTGCAGCCCTGGAGCAGGTGCAAGGGAGGCTGGGGAGGGGTTCCTCCCAGGGTCTGATGTCTTCCTTTTCTCGGACAAACATGCTTTAATAAGTTAAACAAGACTTTAGTAAAGACTATTGATGTGTCTTTGTGTCTTTCAGTATACAGTTCTATTTGTAGGATTTATCTAACCTAACAAGTCAATGAGAATCACATGTAAAAGGAGAAATTTCTAGGATTTTCAGATATCTTAATAGGTAGGAGATGGAGAAAAGGGATGGTTTTATTAATTCAGTGCTTGCCAATCTTAACAGAGACAGTAGTAAGACATGCAGAAAGCAAAGCCCAGAAAAGTATGAAGGTGTCAAAGTGCCATTTAAGTATGGGTTCACTTGGAGGACCATGTTCTGCGGGAACTTGTTTTCAGCAGACAATCTATTTTAGCAGAGTTCTGGGCATACAAGGGGACACACATCATTAAACAAGGATTGGGACAGGGACTTCAGCGTCCCACTGTTGCATGGCCCATAAATTATGTGTGTTCTCTTTCTCATCTTGGATCAAGTCTAGAGCTATGAAATAGTATCCCTCATGAATATGCAAATAACCTGAGATTTACTGAAGTAAATACAGATCTGTCCTGTGCCCTGAGAGCATCACCCAGCAACCACATCTGTCCTCTAGAGAATCCCCTGAGAGCTCCGTTCCTCACCATGGACTGGACCTGGAGGATCCTCTTCTTGGTGGCAGCAGCCACAGGTAAGAGGCTCCCTAGTCCCAGTGATGAGAAAGAGATTGAGTCCAGTCCAGGGAGATCTCATCCACTTCTGTGTTCTCTCCACAGGAGCCCACTCCCAGGTGCAGCTGGTGCAGTCTGGGGCTGAGGTGAAGAAGCCTGGGGCCTCAGTGAAGGTCTCCTGCAAGGCTTCTGGATACACCTTCACCGGCTACTATATGCACTGGGTGCGACAGGCCCCTGGACAAGGGCTTGAGTGGATGGGATGGATCAACCCTAACAGTGGTGGCACAAACTATGCACAGAAGTTTCAGGGCTGGGTCACCATGACCAGGGACACGTCCATCAGCACAGCCTACATGGAGCTGAGCAGGCTGAGATCTGACGACACGGCCGTGTATTACTGTGCGAGAGACACAGTGTGAAAACCCACATCCTGAGGGTGTCAGAAACCCCAGGGAGGAGGCAGCTGTGCTGGGGCTGAGAAATGAAAGGGATTACTATTTTTAATGTTGTTTACAGTATGTCATTAATAAATTGAAAAAAAGTAACAATAGAAGTATATACTCTAATTATATGGGAACTTTGTTTTTTCAGTTTTTTCATTTTTTTTTTTTTTTTTGGTTTGTTTGTGACAGAGTCTCACTCTGCCACCCAGGCTGGAGTGTAACGGCACAATCTCAGCTCACTACAACCTCCACCTCCCAGGTTCAAGCAATTCTCCTGCCTCGGCCTCCAGAGTAGTTGGGATTACAGGCACCCGCCACCATGCCCGGTGAATTTTTGTATTTTTAGTAGAGACGGGGTTTCACCATGTTAGCTAGGCTGGTCTCAAACTGCTGATCTCAGGTGATCTACCCTCCTCAGCCTCCCAAAGTCCTGGGATTACAGGCGTGAGCCACTGCGCCTGGCCCAATTATATGGGAATTGTTTATATAATTATCACCCTATAAGCAAAATTCATGGAGGAGGAAAAGCTCTACTGAAGAAAGCTGATACCGGCATTCCCATGAAAGTATCTGTGTAGAAGTAAGTATTAAAATCAGTTGAATAGGCAAGGCATGGTGGCTCACGCCTATAATCCCAGCACTTTGGGAGACCGAGGCAGGTGGATCACAAGGTAAGGAGTTCAAGATCAGCCTGCCCAAGATGGTGAAACCCCTTCTCTACTAAAAATACAAAGAATTAGCTGGGCGTGGTGGTGGGTGCCTGTAATCGCAGCTATTCGGGAGGCTGAGGCAGAGAATTGCTTGAACCTGGGAGGTGAAGGTTGCAGTGAGCCGAGATCACGCCACTGCACTCCAGCCTGGGCGACAGAGTGAAACTCCATCTCAAAACAAAACAAAACAAAACAAAACAAAAAAACAGTTGAATAAAGTACCTTAGAGTCATCTGTTCAATTAACATGTTTAACTCCAAAGAAATACTGAAAATATTTTCCAAAAAGGAAGTGCCATTTTACGTTCCTACCAACAGTGAATAAGATTTTCTTTTCTGGAGCCTTGTCAGTATTCACTAATGCTTTGCTGTGCAGCCGTTGTAATATTATAGTAAATGAGTAGCAGTATTTAATGGTTGTTTTAAATATACATATTCTTAATACAAAGTCTTGATGAACACTTTTTTATACATTGTTTTATGAGGTGTGTGTTCAGATCTATGTATGCCAGAAATGCCTGGCAGCGTTAATTTAAGCACACTGTAAGAATGACCCTATAGTTTATGAAGAATGTATGTTCAGAGCTCTGAGCTAAGAAATCCAGGAGCTGTCAACCCAGAAGTTTATTCCTTGTCTGTGAAGGACATCTGAATCCCTGGCCTATCCCTTGGAACACAGGATGTCCAGGTGATTGATGCTCTTTGTTAAATCTGGAGGTTGCTAGGTAGAGGGTGCTAAGTGAAAATCATAATATAAACTACATGTGTTTTACAAATGGTAGTGGTTTTCCTGTCCAACACACTTTTCCTGGGCCACATTGTATGCAAGTCCTCAATACACCCTAGGTCTTGTTCATGGGCTCCAGGTCTCCTCTTCAGCCTTTTGGACATGGTGCCACGCCTATTACAGTCAATAGGGGTCTAGCATGACAACTGGTAGGCCCAGAACAAGGTCAAAGAAAATCCTGCAAGCTCTTAGACAACAGCGTCAAGGAAGGGGAGACCTGTGAGGAAATCCCAGGCAGGCCATGCACATCTCTGTGGGCCCAACAGCTGCAATCCTTGATGGATGGGGCCCGCTGCATGTGTACGGGGATGCCTCCAAAATGCCAAAAGTTCTGGAGGACCTGTTGCCTGAGGTGGATGTGACAATGTGACAAAGTGACAGTCAGATTCCTGAGCTGTGGCAGCTGTTGGCCACTCCTGACTGCACTCTGAGCAACCACTGAGGCAGAGCTCATTGCACAGGCTAGGGTGTGTCAGCCACGAGAACAGTTGTAACTATAATGAGATGCCGCCTGTAGGGATAGGATAGCAAATTGGAGACTATTGTTTATTTGGTAGGCCATTTAAAGTGTTGCTGACTGCCACACCAATGCATTAGGACTACTATGACTACGTCATCCTGGGAGCCTAAGTCCTGGCGTCCGATGTAGAGCTCCAGTGGGAAGGAGATGAAGGTTAGGATGAGTCCATAAAGGTTCTTGCTCTGCAGCCCCTGCTTTGCTGTCTCACTTGGTGAACAGAGGATGGGAGGTCAATGCGGACAAAGTCCAGGGTCCAGGCTTATCAGTCAAATACTTGGTGTCATCTGGTTACATAAGACTATAGTTATTCCATATTTCATCATAGATAAGATAAGATGCAGGTCTACTCATGTCCCACCACACCAAAGCAGTTGGAAACCTCCCAAGGCCTCCTGGGACATTGGCGATCCTTTATTCCCCATTTCGGCAAACCCCTTGGGCCCCCATGGCACTTAGACAAGAAGGTGCCCCACTGCGACTGTTCCAAAAGGGAGGATGAGGGCTCTGAAGAAGCTGAAGTCACAGTGAAATGAATACAAACCTTGGGAGTTCTAGTGCAGGGACAGCCCTGTGAATTGGATGTAGTCAGTTACCCTGAGGGGTTTAGGTGGGGACTGTGTTAAAGGCAAGGACATAAGTGTGTGTCCCTAAGACCCTGGTCTCAAAGACAGAAGGAAGCTGAAGTGAGATATACTGTTTAGGAGTAGCAACTGCACTACATGTCATGCCTTACGAGTGTAGGATGTGACAAAGAGGGCCACTCCACATCCGGAACAACCTTTAGCAGGCTGGCTAAAGGATGCCTTCCAGACACAAAAGCCTTGGAATGCCAGGACACAGTCTGTAGCCAAATGGTACTTGTGGTGGTCACCACCAACATAAAAGTGGGCCAACTGTGCCAGCAGAAGTTAGCCCCACAGAACTTTCCCCCACCTAAGAGAAGGCAGTGCACCACAATGCGGAATTCCACCACTGTGGAATTGGGGGAGCTTAGAATTGGATTCAGACACAAGGGGAGAGAGTGGATCACAGGGTGGCTTCTCTATGGGATAGGGGGTGGAGAGTATTATACTCTCTGGACTCAAGATGAGTAAAATGACACCCATCACAAACCATCCAGCCCTATGATGGCACCTTTATGGTAAGTGGTTGCAGGCTCCAAGGGGGCCGGGTCCAATGAGGAAGATGCCCCCACAGCTCGTTCTCAATGGCAGACTATAGAAGAGTTGCAGGATATCTTCTGGGAGTCGAGATGAGGCATGCTAATTATGCTGAGAATTATTGAAGTCCCAACAATGAATTGTTTACTGCAAAATAAAAGCTACAGTTATGTATTCAGTGCCTACCCAATGGCATGGTGCACTGATTTCCATGTTAAGCCCCCTGGGAGGGCAGCCAACATTTCATGTGCCCCAGGTAGTTGCTGACTTAGGAGAAAAGAAGAAACTGAGTAAGCAAGGGATGCACCCTACTGTGATGAAGAACAATGGCACCAAAGGAAGAGAGACAGCCAAGGAGCCAGTCAGGGTGGCCAGACAACGAATGTGCTCTAACTGGCAACACCTACCAGTTCTCTGGGCCCATAGCGGCAATAGGTGGTTATGGAAGGGCCACGGAAGTCAGACCGGTTGAACTAGTGATACGACCTGGGGGACTGCCACCCAGACCCTGTGTAGTATACACAGCTTCCATCCTAGAACACATGAGAATGGATATCTTCTTAGGCGTGACCCTCCAAACAACGGCCAGGGAATTCCAACGGAGAGTTAGAGTGGTGATGTGTGTGACCAAGCAGAAGGCAAACTGGATGCCAGTAGAGCTGCCAACCCATGGGGAGTCCCACAGCTGGAGCAACACCACCTGCCCTGGGAGGGGAAGATGATCCAATCATGAAGATTGTTAAGGAGCTAGCCCAGGTAGGCATTAGGAGGCCACTGCATGGTTCCTACAACAGACCTGCATGGCCCATGCAGAGGCCAGTTGAGACATGGAGAATGACAGTAGATTACTGGGAGTTAAATAAGGTGGTCTCCCGAGTGAATGCAGCTGTTCCTAATATCTCCTCCAGTCTGACGAGAATAGGAGAGGTGTTAGCCACGTAGCATTTCCTTATCAGTTTAGTCAATACCTTCTTCAGCATTTCTGTTGCCCCAGAGTCAAGATCAATTTGCATTAACCTAAAAAGAACAATGGACTTTTACTGTCTTGTTCCAGGGATATTTACACAGCCCAAATCTCACAGCCTAGTGACCTCCAACCTCAGTCGATGGGCTGACCCAAAGGGGATACATGTTTTCCACTACATTGGTGTTATCATGATAACCTCTGAGTCTTTTTTCAGCTTATAAATTACAGCCCCTGTCTTGCTGTCTCACTTGCTGAATAGAGGATGGGAGGTTAATACAGACAAAATCCAGGGTCCAGGCTTATCAGTCAAATAGTTGGTGTCATCTGGTTGGGTAAAACTAAAGTCATTCCATCTGCCATCATAGATAAGGTGCAGGCCTACCCACGTCCCACCACAACAAAGCAGCTGCAAACTCTCAAGGCCTTCTGGAGCATCAGTGTCCTTTTATTCCTTTTATTTGACATCCCTGAAGGAGGCTGCTAGGGGAGACTGTGTCCCTCCTAAATTCATGTGCTGAAGTCCCAACCCTTGGTCCTTCAGAATGAAATCATACTTGGATTAGTGTCCTTTAAAGAGGTGAATAAGTTAAAGTGAGATTCCTGGAGTGGGGCCCTAATGCAATCTGACTGTTGTTATAAGAAGAGGAAGCAGGAGGGAGGGTGCACAGGCCCCGAGGGACGGCCATGTTACCACAGAACAGTGAGAAGGCGCCATCTGCATGCCAGGGAGCGAGACCTCAGAGGAAACCCACCCAGCTGGCAGCTTGATCTTAGGCTTTCATCCTCCATAAGTGTGAGGAAATTGGTTTTGTATTGTAAGCCATCCGATCTGTGGTATTTCGTTATAAAAGCCCTATAAAATGAATACAGTAGGTAATAGGAGAGCTTCTATACATTGAAAAAGTCGGATGGCCAGAAAAACCTAGACACTCCTGTTCAGACCTGAGCAGGGTGATGGACCTGCTTTGGGACAGGAGAGGGGAAGAGATGAACCCAGCACCCAGACCCAGCTGAGCCCATTCCTCAGCAGGCCGTCCCTGGGCCGGAGCTTGCACAGGTGTGAAAGAGCCTGTCTTGGTCTTCAGGGGCTCATGGAGTTGGACGGAGAATGGTGTAGACTCAAGAACACGTCATCGGTGTGCCCGTGTTTATGTGAATGGGATGTGTTTCTAGGGTGTGCTCATCCCCAAAGAAGAATTAATCAGGTCTCTTGGGCTAGAAAGAGGTTGTGGCATTTGTGTGTATTAATAACTGTGGTCGGACAGTAAATTATGTTAAACTGCTTATGGGAAGGCACAATGGAAAGAAACACTTTGTTACAGAAGGAAAAAAAAGGTGATTATTTAAATGAGGTGCCTTTGAAGGTCACCATGCCAAGAGGAGCCCATCACATGATAGTGCTGGCTTTCATGTTCAGGAGATCAGGAGGGTCCGTCCGCTGGCTTTTATGACACCCTAGACAGAGCTGAGAGTGTAATGTATGAATGGAGGGGAAGTGGAGAGAGGGGAGGCCAAATGTTTGGTGGGAATGGAGGGTCACTATTGGAGCCATTAGGAAATACACAAGCATGAATTATGCTGGAGGACAGAACAGTGTTCCTGGGGAATATTGTGTTGCTTTGGGAGCTGCTGAACATACAGGAGTTTCACTGTTCCTAGTTCTCAAATTCTCTAGACTCTCTTGACAACCCAGTTTTAAATATTGGGAATATAGGTAAGACACATTCGTTATTAAAAATTATTAAGAGAAGATGTAGGAAGAAATTTAAAGTAATCCATTTGGTTATGAAAATTTAGTTACAGCGAACTGTGATGTCCGTTTCTTACTTGGAATAATGGAATGTAAGTCATTAGTCATCTCAACGGTTCATTTTTCCATAACCATCAATTACAAAACTGCTGAGTAATTTCCTGAATTGCCCACCATAGAAACTGACCTCACATTTCCTCAATGAGAAACTGCCAGTCCCGTTGATCCAGCCTCGTTCTTCCCATCAGGGATTTTGTATCTCTGTGGACGTGTGGCACAGTGCTGCATATCCATCGGCATATGGCCTCAGGAAAGGCGCCAGCCTATCCATGCATGATGAAGCTTACTTAGGGGATGAAGCCCGCATGCTGGGTGAGCCAGTGCCGACAGCTGAAAGAATCAACTGCCTGGTGTATGATGCTTTTATGAAAACAAGCCCAGGGCCTCTTGCATTCTTCTGTATTAGATTCTCTGGTGAAGATTTTTATTCATTTCTGCCTGAAATTGCCACATATAATTACCTAGAAGCATTACAATAAACTGATTTGGAAGTTAACTGACTTCCTGGTGAGGTTAAAATGAGTGTCAGGTGCATAGTGAGACAGACCGGAGACATGGATGCATAGCAAACTTGTGCTCACCATGGTTTCTATCTTAGTTAGGGAAACTTCTGTACCTTCCTTAGATGTTCAGGCACTCCATTGAGGACCCTGGCATAACATTATTTATTGACAGACCATAGCTCAAAGTATAGAACTGGATACTACCAAGGAGGATATACTATTACTATTTTATCTTTATCTTAAAATATACTCTTCCATCTGAGGTGAAAATTAATCCAGATGGTAGAACTTATTGCAGTTACTACAGCATTTTAGCAAATCAAAAGCCGCAGAACAAACATATGGACAGATGGCAGGTATGTTTTCGGAATCGTAAACAAGTTCGTGATGACTGTAAAACCAAGGGGTGTCTCACGAGGGCTGGAAACCTCTCACAATGAAACAACACAATGAGGATCTTTGAAAAGTACTCTGACCTCCTGGTGAGCTGGCTGATACGGAGGCTGAGCTCCATGTAGAAAGCCAAAGGAATTTCTGCAGGACGTCATCATGCCAAGCACAGCCGTAACCTGGGTCCCAGCCCTTTTCACACGCTCAATGGTTAGATCTTGGGAGGGAATCAAAGAAGCCATAGTAAAATATCAAAATTTAAACCCCGATTTTGAATTTAAAAAGTGTTAAAATATGGTTGTGGCCTACACTCAGAAAATCTGTGTCCTTCAGATGGTTTCTCAGTGGCACCAGATGGTTTCAAGTGGCTATTCATTAAGTTTCTCAGTGAAATTACCAGACATAGAATAAATAAATTGTCACTGTCTTAAATCAACCCATGGGAAAGGAAAACTGTGTAAATACAGCAGAGAGGAAACATTGCTCAAGGGAAAAACAATCTCCAGAAAGTATTGTTAAAGAAACAGAGGCCCTCTTTCCAGCCAGCGCCGAGCGATGGGCACCTCTCGGGACAACTGGCACAAGGGCCGCAAAGCTGGGGGCAAGAGATGGCCCTGCCACAAGAAGCGGAAGTATGAGTTGGGGCGCCCAGCTGCCAACAGCAAGACTGACCCGTGCCGCATCCACACAGTCCGTGTGCGAGGAGGTAACAAGAAATACTGTGCCCCGAGGCTGGACGTGGGGAATTTCTCCTGGGGCTCAGAATGCTGCGCTGGTGAAACAAGGGTCATCGATGTTGTCTACAATGCATCCAATAACGAGCTGGTTCGTACCAAGACCGTGGTGAAGAATTGCATCGTGCTCATCGACAGCACGCCCTACCGACAGTGGTACGAGTCCCACTGTGCACTGCCCCTGGGCCGCAAGAAGGGAGCCAAGCTGACTCCTGAGGAAGAAGAGATTTTAAACAAAAAACGATCTAAAAAAATTCAGAAGAAATATGATGAAAGGAAGAAGAATGCCAAAATGAGCAGTCTCCTGGGGGAGCAGTTCCAGCAGGGCAAGCTTCTTGCGTGCATGGCTTCAAGGCCGGGACAGTGTGGCCGAGCAGATGGCTATGTGCTAGAGGGCAAAGAGTTGGAGTTCTATCTTAGGAAAATCAAGGCCCAGAAAGGCAAATAAATCCTTGTTTTGTCTTCACCCATGTAATAAAGGTGTTTATTGTTTTGTTCCCAAAAAAAAAAAGAAAGAAAAAGAAACAGAGGCATCACACTTACTAGAAAAACATATTCTATTTCATATATTATGGGGATATGACGTGATGTTTTGACGTATGCGGGCATTGTGAAATTATTAAATCAAGTAAATAAACATGTCCATCACCTCACATACTTATTTTTTATGGTGTAAACGTGTAAAATCTACTCTCTTATCAGTTTTCAAGTATATAGTACATTAGTATCATGGAAGTCACCATGCTGTGCAATAGATCTTCAAACGAATTCCTTCTATCTAACCAAAACTCTGTACCCTTTCACCAACGTCTCAGCTTTCACATGCCCCTGACGCCAGCCCCTGGTAGGCACCATTCTACTCTCTACTTCTCTGAGTTCAACATTTTTAGATTGCATGTGTAAGCAAGATCATGGAGTAATTTTTTATACCTGGCTTATTTCACTCAACATAAAGAGTCAAATGCTCAACATCACTAATCATCAGGGAAATGCAAATTAAAACCATGATAAGATATCACCTCACACATGTTACAATGGCTTAGTCTCAGTCTGTCTTTTTGTTACTATAACCGAATACCAGAGACTGGGCAATTTCTAAAGAAAAGGAATTTATGCTTTATGGTGCTTGAGTCAGAGAAGTCTAATATCAAGACACTGGCATCTCACAAGGGACTTCTCACTGCCTCATCTCACAGCAGAGGTGGGTGAGCAAGAGACCATTTGTCCACGAGAGAAAGGAGACCATCTTTTATTAGAAATTCACTCCTATAATAACTAACCCACTCCATTGATAGTGACAGTAATCCATTCATGAGGACAGAGCCTTCATGACTTGATCACATAATAAAGGTCCCACCTCTCAACACTGTTGCATTAAAGATTATTTCCAGATCCTAAACTTTGGGAGACACATTTAAACCATAGCATTCCATTCCTAATATCAAAATTTATGTCCTTATCACAATGCAAATTACATTCATTCCATCCCAATTGTCTCCAAAGTCTTATCCAGCATCAGTGCAAAAGTCTGAAGTCCAAAGTCTCATCTAAATCAGATATGAGTGTGACTCGAGGCACAATTTAGCCTGATATAAATTGTTTCCATCTGCGAGCCTATAAAGTCAAAACAAGTTATCTACTTTCAAATACAGTGAACAATGGGGCAGGTATGGGATAGAAATTCCCATTCCAAAGCTCAGAGAGAGGCAAGGAGAAAGCGGTGCCTAGTTCAAAACCCAACAGGGAAAAAAACATTAAGTCTTATAGCTGGAAAATCATCCTCTTTAACGGCATCTTGTGCACACTGGGGAGGGGGATGGGCCCCCAAGGCCTCCGGCAGTCTTGCCTCTATATATTTTCTGGGTTCAGTCCACTCAGCCGCTCTCACAGGTGGGACTCTCAGGCCTCTAGCTCTCCTAGGCTGACTGGAAACTCTTTGTGGTACCTCCAAACCCACATTTCTGCTTGGCATTGTGCTAAGGGCCCAGTGTGGTGACTCTGTCTCTGCAACAAGTCACTGCCCGAGACCTTAGGCTGTCCTTAGGCTGCCCGAGACCTTAGGCCGTCCACAGCATTCTTTGAAATCTAGGTGGAGAAAGCCATGCCCTCGTGGTTCTTGTATTCTGCACACCTGCAGAATTAACAACACATGGATGCCATGGAAGTTGATGACTTGTACCATTAAAGTGATGGCTTGAGCCACACCTAGGTCCTCCTGAGCCACAGCATGGGCAGCCAAGGAGTGCTGTGCCTGGACACCGGGAACAGAGTCCTAAAGTGCCTGCTAGAAGTGAGGCCATAGATTTCCTTCAAATTTCTCCCACCATATAACCTCGTTCATGGCTCTGAACTTCCACCTTACAGAAGGACCTAGGGATGAACACAATTCAGCCACGTTCTTTGCCACTTTATGGCAAGGATGGCCTTTGCTCCATTTTCCGATGAGCTATTCTTCTTTTTCTCCTGAGACCTCATCAGAACGGCCTTTATTGTCCACATTTCTACTGACATCTAATGGTCATCACCTAAATAATCTCTAAGAAGTTTCAGAATTTCCTCACAGCTCTCTTCTTCTGAGTCCTCAAAAGAATCACCTCTAGTGTTCTATTCAGGGCAATCCAGACTTTTTATAGTCTGATCCTCCAAATTATTCCAGTCTTTGTGCATTACTACATCCACTTCTACATTTTGGGGTATTTGTTATCGCAACAGCCCCACCTCTTGATACTGATTTTTCGTCTTAGTCCACTTTGTGGTGCAATGAGTGAATACCACACACTGGCTAAAGTATAAGGAAAAGGAATTTATTTTCTCGCAGCTCTAGAGGCTGGGAAGTCAATATCAAGGTGTTAGCATCTGGCAAGAGCCTTCTTGCTGTGATGTCCATGTGGAAGGCAGGAGAGCAGGTGCGAAGGATGGAAAGGGGTTTAAACTCATTTTTTAATGAGGAACCCAGGCCTGTAGTAACTAATCTGCTACCACAATGAGTAACCTACTCTGACGATAATGGCATTCATTGCTTCATGAGGGCAGAGCCCTCATGACCTAATCATTTCTTAACATTCCCACCTCTGGACACTATGGAATTTGGGATTAAGTTTCCAATACACATCCTTTCTAAACAGCAGGGGCTTTTTAATAGGTTGACCACCCAAGGCTGCAGGAGGCTCTGAAGCAGTGGCCTGAGGTTGGCTGTCCTTTGTGAGAATGGAGAGAAGTGAACTGACTCATGGAGACACAAGTAGATGAGGTAAAGGCATTCATTGCTTCATTACATGGATGGTGAGGTCGATTGAAGGCATTAACGGATTAAAGATGGTGGCAAAACCGTCTGAGGTGGAGACCACGGGGAGTCCATCAGAAATGGAGGACACGTCCCAATAAATGGTGCTTCATTTCCCTGCAAAGCAGATGAAAGCAAAGAACAAAACACAACATCATAGTGTACACTGAGCAGTGGATTGAGAGAAGAGTTTCCTAAGGCATAACTGACAGAGTGGAGAAGACACACAAATCTTTGCATGATGCTAACATTTGGACTGTGGCTTCATTATTTCTTATTAATATTTTACTGAAATATCGCTAGAAGGAGACTGAAAATGAAGTGTGAAAAGTTAAATGGGATTTCTGCTCTATGTCCTTTTCAGATGAGAGGAACTAGGGAATTCCAGGGAAGAAACAATAATAGCTGCTGAGCAAGGCTTTTGCAGGGCAGGACAAGGAATCCCCAAAGAGAAAACGGAAACCTCAGCTTCACTTTGCATCTGCTCCTGAGCCAGGTCCTGAGCGACCCCTGTAGGTCCTGAGTGCCCCTCCGTAGGTTCTGAGCATCCCTTGGTTGCTGGGCGCCCTCTGGTGGTGTCTGAGCCCCTCTGGTGGTTTCTGAGCCCCCCCGCCTTATGTCTGATCCTCCCTGGTGGTGTCCGAGTGCCCCTGCTAGTGTCTGAGCCCCCTGGTGGTGTCTGAGTCCCCTTCTTAGTGTCTGAGCCACCCTATTAGTGTCTGAGGACCCCTGATGGTGTCTGAGCCCCCAGTTAGTGTCTGAGCCACCCTATTAGTGTCTGAGCCCCCCTGGTGGTGTCTGAGCACAGGAGAGCTCCTCTGAAGGAAGGGTCTACATGGGGACAGGCGTGCTTGTCTCAGGGAAGGGTCCATGTGGGGACAGGTGTGCTTGTCTGAAGGAAGGTTCCACATGGAGACAGGTGTGCTTGTCTCAGGGAAGGGTCCACATGGGGACAGGTGAGCTTGTCTGAGGGGACAGAAGTGCTTGTCTCAAGGAAGGGTCCTCATGTGGACAGGTGAGCTCTTTTGAGGGAAGGGTTGACCTGGGGACAGGCATGCTTGTCTGAGGTAAGGGTCCTCCTGGGGACAGGTGTGCTTCTCTCAGGGAAGGGTCCACGTGGGGACAGAGGTGCTTGTCTAAGGCAAGAATCCAAGTAGGGACAGGTGAGCTCGTCTCAGGGAAGGGTCCAGGTGGGGACAGTTGTGCTCATCTGAGAGAAGCGTCGAAGTGGGGACAGGTGTGCTTGTCTCAAGGAAGGGTCCATGTGGGGACAGGTGTGCTAGTATCAAGAAAGGGTCCACATAGGGACAGGTGTGCTTCTCTCAGGGAAGGGTGCATGTGGGGACAGGTGTGCACATCGGAGAGAATGGTCCACCTGGGGACAGGTGTTCTTGCCTCAGGGAAGAGTCCACCTTCTCAGGGAAGAAGTGTGCTCCTCTGAGGGAAGGGTGCACATGGGGACAGGTGTGCTTGTCTCAGGGAAGGGTCCATGTGGGAACAGGTGAGCTCATCTGAGGGAAGAGTCCACGTGGGGACAGGTGAGCTCATCTGAGGGAAGGGTCCACATGGGGACAAGTGACCTCGTCTGAGGGAAGGGTCCACGTGGGGACAGGTGAGCTCGTCTGAAGGAAGGGTCCACTTGGGGACCGGTGTGCTCCTCTGAGGGAAGGGTCCACGTGGGGACAGGTGTGCTCCTCTGGAGGGAAGGGTCCACGTGGGGACAGGTGAGTTCATCTGAAGGAAGGGTCCACATGGGGACAGTTATGCTCCTCTGAGGGAAGGGTCCATGTGGGGACAGGTGTGCTTGTCTCAGGGAAAGGTCCACGTGGGGACAGGTGTGCTCACCTTGGGGAAGAGGACAGATGAGCTCATCTCAGGGAAGGGGCCATGTGGGGACAGGACCAAGGGTTGGGACTTCAGCACAAGAATTTAGGAGGAACACAGTCTTCCCTAGCAGCCTCCTTCAGGGATGTCAAATATTTTCCTTCTGTTCCCTGTGAAAGCCTTAAAGGGGTAGGGAAAGGGCGTTCAACCTGCACACTCGTAGAGGGGAAACCAGCTTCATTAGTAATCGTTCATCTGTGGTAAAAAGGCAGGATTTGAAGCGATGGAAGATGGGAGTACGGGGCGTTGGAAGACAAAGTGCCACACAGCGCAGCCTTCGAAACACACCACGGTCACGTTAAGTTTAAATGGAGTGACCACATTCGCCAGGAAAGGGAAATATTTACACTTTTGAAGAAACAGTAATTTGTGTTTCTGATTATGATCTGGCCTTGGATTTTCCCTCCCCTCATAAGCAATGACAGAATTGGCAGAAATATGTGAAACGTTAGTTCTCAGACATGAGACACCCACAGAGGGCCCCCTGTGCCCTTCCCTGAGAGCTGATCAGCTCCTGCATCTGAAGAAATGACCAAAGACCAGGAGAGAACCACACAGAAGCATCGGAGGGACAGCACCTGGGGCTCTGATGGGGTCAGGAATAGCATCTGTTCCCAATAGATGGACTAAGTAAAAAGTATCATAATTCACAAGAGTTTTACATAGCACAGAAGAAAAAGTTACCCTATATCAACTGTTGATCTTGTGAATCCAGGAACTCTGGATTCAAGGTGGTCGGGCACATCTTGATTTACGCATTTCAGGGACACATGAGACATCAGTCAATATAAGTAAGAAGGACATTAGTTCCATCCAGAAAGGCTGAGACAACTCAAAGCAAGTCCTCCCCACTTAGGGCTTCCAGGTCACAGGTAGGTGAGAGACAGATGGTTGCATTCTTTTGAGTTTCTGATAAGTGTTTGCAAAGGAGGCCATGAGGATATGCACCTGTCTCTGTGAGCAGAGGGACAACTTTAAATAGACTGGGAGGCAGATTTGTCCTGAGTGGTTTCCAGCTTGACGGGGCCCAAGATATTTTCCTTTCACAATCTGGTAACTTCAAACAAAACTTCAAAGCCACAACAAAACAACACAACAACAAAAAGAATAAGACATGGGTACTTATTAAGAGTAGAAAAACATTCAGTCCCCAAGGAAAATATTGGCAGTGTCTACCTCCACATGACAAAGGAGTAAGCAGTGTGAGCCACAGAAAGGAGCACTATTAACCCACAGAGCAACCGAGAATAACACGGGTGATGCAAGGGCATTGGACGCACATCATTGCATTTTGTAGATTCAGAAAGAAACGGAAAAGATTGACGGTGGTAAAAGAGACAGCCCTGCTTCCCTCTCCCTTTTCCCTCCCCGATGAGGCCTCACAGCCATGACCCTCAGCCTCATCCCGCAGTGCAGCAGCTGCCGTCCTGTCCAGGCCCACCCCCTGCCCCGCCCTGGGACTGTTACCTCATTCCCTCCCGGAGTCCAGGTGCCCCCCGGGGTGTGGTGCGGGAGCCTGGGGAGGCCCTTTGTTCTCTGTCAGGGTCTCCCTGGGAGGGACGCAGCCACCGCAGCTGGTTGGGGCCTGGCTTCGCCCAGGACAGTCCTTTCCTTTCCCATTGTCTTTGGATGACTATCGCTGGGCTGGGACATGAGGCGGGCAGAGGCGCGGGTCACCCTTAGGACCCCCCTCTTGCTGCTGGGGCTCTGGGCGCTCCTGGCTCCGGTCCGGTGTTCTCAAGGCCGTCCCTTGTGGCACTACGCCTCCTCCGAGGTGGTGATTCCCAGGAAGGAGACACACCATAGCAAAGGCCTTCAGTTTCCCGGCTGGCTGTCCTACAGCCTGTGTTTTGGGGTCAAAGACACGTCATTCACATGCGGAGGAAACACCTTCTTTGGCCTAGACATCTGCTGGTGACAACTCAGGATGACCAAGGAGTCTTGCAGATGGGTGACCCCTACATCCCTCCAGACTGCTAGTACCTCGGCTACCTGGAGGAGGTGCCTCTGTCCATGGTCACCGTCGACACGTGCTATGGGGACCTCAGAGGCATCATGAGGCTGGACGACCTTGCGTACGAAATCAAACCCCTCCAGGATTCCCGCAGGTTTGAACATGTTGTTTTTCAGATAGTGGCCGAGCCCAACGCAACAGGGCCCACATTTAGAGATGATGACAATGAGACAGACCCCCTGTTCTCTGAAGCAAATGACAGCATGAATCCCAGGATATCTAATTCGCTGTATAGTTCTCATAGAGGCAATATAAAAGGCCACGTTCAATGTTCCAATTCATATTATCGCATATATGGCAATATTACAACTTGTTCCAAAGAGGTGGTCCAGATGTTCAGTCTCATTGACAGCATTGCTCAAAATATTGATCTGCGGTACTATATTTATCTTTTGACCATATATAATAATCGTGACCCAGCCCCTGTGAATGAATATCGAATTCAGAGTGCAATGTTTACCTATTTTAAAACAACTTTTTTTGATACTTTTCATGTTCATTCATCCACACTACTTATTAAATACGTGCCACATGAATCTAACTATGAACCTGAAAGGTATAACTTCTGTTCCCGTATAGCCCTGTTACACATTGGTACTCCAGGCAGACATTATTTATTGGTAGCCGTCATAATAACCCAGACACAGATGAGAAGTATTGGTCTGGAGTATGATGATAACTACTGCACATGTCAGAGAAGGGCCTCCTGCATTATGCAGCGATTTCCTGGGATGACAGATGCGTTCAGTAACTGTTCTTATGGACATGCACAAAATTGTTTTATACATTCAGGCCAGTGTGTTTTTGAAACACTTGCTCCTGTGTATAACGAAACCATGACAACGGTTCGCTGTGGAAACCTCATAGTGGAGGGGAGGGAGGAATGTGACTGTGGCTCCTTCAAGCAGTGTTATGCCAGTTATTGCTGCCAAAGTGACTGTCACTTAACACCGGGGAGCATCTGCCATATAGGAGAGTGCTGTACAAACTGCAGCTTCTCCCCACCAGGGACTCTCTGCAGACCTATCCAAAATATATGTGACCTTCCAGAGTACTGTCACGGGACCACCGTGACATGTCCCGCAAACGTTTATACGCAAGATGGAACCCCGTGCACTGAAGAAGGCTACTGCTATCGTGGGAACTGCACTGATCGCAATGTGCTCTGCAAGGCGATCTTTGGTGTCAGTGCTGAGGATGCTCCCGAGGTCTGCTATGACATAAATCTTGAAAGCTACCGATTTGGACATTGTATTAGACAACAAACATATCTCAGCTACCAGGCTTGTGCAGGAATAGATAAGTTTTGTGGAAGACTGCAGTGTACCAATGTGACCCATCTTCCCCGGCTGCAGGAACGTGTTTCATTCCATCACTCAGTGAGAGGAGGGTTTCAGTGTTTTGGACTGGATGAACACCATGCAACAGACACGACTGATGTTGGGCGTGTGATAGATGGCACTCCTTGTGTTCATGGAAACTTCTGTAATAACACCCAGTGCAATGTGACTATCACTTCACTGGGCTACAACTGCCACCCTCAGAAGTGCGGTCATAGAGGAGTCTGCAACAACAGAAGGAACTGCCATTGCCATATAGGCTGGGATCCTCCACTGTGCCTAAGAAGAGGTGCTGGTGGGAGTGTCAACAGCGGGCCACCTCCAAAAAGAACACGTTCCGTCAAACAAAGCCAGCAATCAGTGATGTATCTGAGAGTGGTCTTTGGTCGTATTTACGCCTTCATAATTGCACTGCTCTTTGGGACAGCCAAAAATGTGCGAACTATCAGGACCACCACCGTTAAGGAAGGGACAGTTACTAACCCTGAATAACACTAATTCAGCCTCCCGATCCCTGTAAAGATACAGAGAATATAACAGCAAAATCTATGAAACAGGATCAGGGGAAGGGATGGCAAAGCTCAAGTCCACATTTCTTGAAGTCCACAGGAAGCACAGGGTCCTGTTTCACATCACAGGGAAACGGGAGGCATTGGCTTCTGTCCCAGGTTCTTGTAGGTCGCTGATGCTCACTCTGAAATAAATCTTCAAAAACACATTGGTGCCTTCCACATTTTCTTAGACTCCTCTGGGAGCCCAAACTTGGCCAGAACCTCTTGCCTGGAGAGACATGAATGAGCATCTGGCTCTTGACCTGAGGTCTCTGGTCCCAGAATTAACGGAAGTTGCCACCAGCTCCTTACAGGGAACATTCATGACATTTCTCCAGAAGAGAGCTCCAGAGCAATGAGCTTCCTCATTCCCCAGGTAATCTGTCCTTCTCTAAACCCGAAGTCAGTTTAGGGTGATCCAGGGCTACTCCCTGTTCCCTGTCTGTTCCTCACGGGGGTGCTGTGGGCTTTTCAGTGAGAGGGACTTGGGTTCAAATCCCCCACCAAGCAAATCCCCCTACCTGGGGCCGAGCTTCCCGTATGTGGGAAAATGAATCCCTGAGGTCGATTGCTGCATGCAATGAAATTCAACTAGAAAAATAGGTAGACGTGAGGGGCAAGCTGTCTGTCATTTAGTGTGAGCTCTGTGAGTGGCAGCTGCCCCCTTTCTTCCTGCCCCCACATTTCCTTGAACTGAAACAGGAAGGGAAGCTGAGTAAGTCGTGATGAGGAAGAGAAACCAGGCTTGTAGCAGCACAGGCTGGTCCGGGTGGAAAACAGGGCTAGGTGTATCACTGAGTTATTGTAAAGGAAAATGGAAGTTAAATGTATAAATAACTGAATGAGATAACATTTTATTTTAACTTAAAATTCACACTAATATTGACTTTTAAAATGCAGTGTAGATATGTCAGAGAGAATTTCAAAGGCAAAGCCCACCGACGGAAGAAATCACCCTTCCCATACCATCCACAGAAAACTGTTGGTATTCTAGGGTAGTACTGAGATCTAGCATTTTTCTGAATACATCCGTGGTTCTAGATGTCCTGCTTCCATAGATATTGTTTAGAATTCCCACCCCTTTCTCCAAACACAGCTTGATATCCTTTCTCTGAACCTGTTAGAAATTTCCTCCATTCAGCTGTCATAAAGATGCGAGCAATCCATTCCTGTGCCTCTGTCAGTGTGTTCTATTATTTTGTGGGTGAACGCTAATGGACAGTTAAGTGTGAGGTCAGTGAATACAGTGCCCTCCCTCTATGTGTCCTTCGGGTGTGAGGGGTTTTGCTGATAGAGCAGCAGGCCCCATCCCACCCTTTATGCATCTCCGCCCCCCACCTCACGCTCCAGCTGACCTCTCCCCTGTGGCCTGGGGCGTTCCCCAGGGGGAATGACCTCTCCTCTCTCCAGGGCCCACCCACTCAGTGCCCGTGCAAGACCACCACGCTTGGCACGGCCCCACCTCGCGTCAGGGCCTGTGTCCCCTGCCCCACCCCCTAAACAGATGGGAACCACTGGGACTCTGCTCAGGGCAGGGGGCGGAGGTATGTGTGAAAGGAAGGCAAATGTGCACTCTGTTGGAGAAATATTATAGGTAGTTTGAGCAAAAAATCTAATGCCATGTGAACTTTTAGAATGATACGTATTTTAACAAAGAACATGACCAATAGAGTTTGTATTGAAGCCAGGAAAACACTATTTAGAGCAACAGCAATATCAAAAACACAAGCCAACAGTTCACCAAGAAAAACCACCATTAACCCCATGGAAATGGTCTTCCAAGAGCATCGGCACTTAAATCCTCGAAATCTGCCTGCCTCAGCACCTGTTGTCCTGACCTGCCCTCCTGTGTGTCCTAATCACTCCCAAACACGGGGCCTGCACTGTGGGAGATTCACGCTGTGCCAGGTGGAGGGAGCAGGACAACTGCTAACAGGTTGTTGGTGTGGATGCCGAGGCCACCCAAGCAGGTGTAAACTCCCACCTGTGGGCCAGGGAAGAGTGCACGGGAGACATGTCCCGGGCATAGGGTGAGGGAGAGCTGTGGGGGCTCTGGGTTCTGAAGTGGGTTCTGAAGAGGGTTCTGGCCTGGCAGGGATAAGACCAACCAGCATGTGAGGCCAGGCTGGAGTCTGGACCTCTGAAGCTGCAAGGGTCATGGGCTGCTTGGCCCCAGGGGCTGTCCTGGTTCTCTATGGAGTACTTTCAAACATTCTTTCTTCTTCCAATCCCCCTCCTTCTCTCCCAAAGCCTGCATCTCCCAAATCCTCTTTGTCGGATCCTCGGCTTCACTCTGCATCCGTCCTGAGCATCGATCTTCCAATTCCATCCTCTTCTCTTCTGCTATGTCTAAGCTGCTGTGAAGCCACCTGCTGTAATTTACTGCTTTATATTTAATATTGTACCGTACATCTGTTCTGTTTCCCTCATCATAAATGCTTCATTTCATGCTCAGCATCTGAGAACACAAGGCCTTGTCAGCTGTCACCTCCTTCCGTTCTCTGTTTCCTTCCTCCTATCCCCATATTGCTCATCATGTCCAGTCTCCTGCCATCCTGAATGCTTCTGATGGAAGGTCTGAGATGTCTCATGAGCACTGTGAAGATTCTTTGTAATGTGACCTTGTTCCAGGCAGGAATTCTCCTTCACCCAGCCCTGGAAGCCAAGTATAGGCAGATGGCCATGCTCAATCAAAGACTGAGCTAACTTAACAGTGGCTTTGGTTTTAAGGTTTCTCCAATCCCCAGGGCACAGGATTTCAGGGAATTCAGGTGAGAGTCTGGGTGTTACCCTTCAGGAGGCTGTAAACTCCATTTCACCTAGTCTACACCACAGACTATGGAAACTATATATATATATAGTTCTGTCCCTCTAGAGAAACCTAATATGTATATATACAATATATAATACGTATTATATATTATATATAATATATATATATATTAGAGTTTATTGAGGAGTATTAAACTCACAATCACAAGGTCCCACAGTAGGCCATCTGCAAGCTGAGGAGCAAGGAAGCCAGTCCGAGTCCCAAAGCTGAAGAATTTGAAGTCTGATGTTCGACGGCAGGAAGCATCCAGCACAGGAGAAAGATGTAGGCTGGGAGGCTAAGCCAGTCTAGTCTTTTCACGTTTTTCTGCCTGCTTTATATCCTGGCCACACTGGCAGCTGATTAGATGGTGCCCACCTAGATTAAGGGTGGGTCTGCCTTTCCCAGTTTACTGGCTCAAATGTTAATCTCCTTTGGCAACACCCTCACAGACACACCCAGGATCAATACTTTGCATGCTTCAATCCAATCAAGTTGACACTCAGTATCAACCATCACAAGTCCACCCCTTGTCAACTTGAACCCATACAAATCTCCTGAGATCATACATAATCTTCAAATAAAGACAATAATAAGGTCATAATTACACCTAATGTAATACAACTATCTTTTGTACAACCAGAAATGCACCAATCCCCAACCCAAATGCTATTATGTAAAGTTAAGAACACTTAAATGCTGATATGAAGTCAATAAATTTTATGTCACATGATAAAGGAAAAAAGAAATGAAGGAATTTTCTTAGTACAAGTGTGTACATGCACAAACATGTTTTTAACAAAAGAAGAAGGAAATACTGATGACAATTACGGTCCTCATTTCTGCAACTGATCACGTGGTTGTAGCTGGTATTGATGACTACCTTCTTCTACTACCCATTCTGTATTCCCTTTGCCTTCAGCAAGCATCACAGCAGGTAGAGTTTTTTCTCCTAGTGGAGTGATGCAAACCTTCATTCCTGAAGGGTCTGGGCCATTTGTAGTCCTGCCTGGATTGGGCTGTTGTAGTTTCCCGTTGACCTTAATGACAGGGCATGGTAATGTTAAGAGACGCCCTAATGGATCTCCTGTATTCCATACATATTCTTCCTTGCCTCCATTGTGGAGTAATAGACTGATTGCATCTTGATAGTCCAGGTCAATCAGCCCAGCCAACACTGTAACTCCCCTCTTAGCCTGTGGACTTAAAGGTAGGAGGGGCCCAAAGTGGCCAGGTGGAAATCTTTACTTCCAGTTTAATGGAATTGTTGTTGTTTCTCCTGATGGCAGCATTATTCCCACTGGAACTAAGACCTCTAGGCCAACAGAATGTAATGTCATGGGACCAGGAAGCAAAAATTTTGCTAGTGGATCACTAGGGGTGATGGTGAATGGTGCCATTTCCACTTCCACCCCTTGATTCCTGGATCCATGAATTATGGCTATGGGAGAAAGAGTACCATATATTGGATGCTGATTTGGAGCATACATGGCCTTTTGGAGAGCTTTGCCCCAGCCCTGCAAAGTATTGGAGCCTAGTTGACATTGTAATTGTGACTTTGAAAGGCCATTCCATTCTTCTATCAATCCAGCTGCTTCAGGATGATGGGGAAAATGGTAAGACAAGTGAATCCCATGAGCATGAGCCCACTGCCACACTTCTTTAGCCGTAAAGGGAGTGCCTTGGTCAGAGGCAATGCTATGTGGAATACTGTGACAGTGGATAAGGCATTCCATGACTCCACAGATGGTAGTCTTGGCAGAAGCATTGCATGCATATCTGCAGTAAGTGTCTATTTCAGTGAGGACAAACCTCTGCCCTTTCCAGGATGGAAGAGGTCCAATATAATCCAACCTGCCATCAGGTAGCTCACTGATCACCCTGAGGAATGGTGTCATTTGGGTAGAGACCCAGAGCCAAACCAGATCACGCCACCCAACCCCTCCCAAATCTCATGTCCTCTTTGCATTTCAAAACCAATCATGCCTTCCCAACAGTCCCCCAACATCTTAACTCATTTCAGTATTAACTCAAAAGTCCAAATCCAAAGTCACATTGGAGACAAGGCAAGTCCCTTTCATCTATGAACCTGTAAAATGAAAAACAAGTCAGTTACTTCCAAGACAAAATGGGGGTACAGGCATTAGATACATGCTCCCATTTCAGTTGGGAGAAATGAGCCAGAATAAAGGGGCTTCAGGTCACATGCAAGCCCAAACTCCAGTGGGGCAGTCATTAAATCTTAAAGCTTCAAAATAATCTCCTTTGACTCCATTCCTCACATTCAGGGCATGCTTATGCAAAGTGGGGGCTCCTACAACCTTGGGAAGCTCTCACCCTGTGGCTTTGCAGCTCTGACCCCATGGCTGCTCTCATGGGCTTTGCAGAGTTCAGCCCTCCTGGCTGCTCTCATTGAGTGCATGCAGCTTTTCCAGGTGCACAGTGCAAGCCGTTAATGGATCTACCATTCTGGGGTCTGAAAGATGGTGGCCCTCTTCTCACAGCCCCATTAGTCACTGTCTCCAGTGGGGACTCTGTGTGGGGGCTCCAACCCCACATTTCCCTTCTGCACTGCCCTAGCAGAGGCTCTCCATGAAGGCTTTGCCCCTGGCGCAGACTTCTGGCTGGACATCCAGTCATTTCTATAAATCCTCTGAGATCTGGGTGGAGGATCACAAAGCTGAACTCTTCTCTTCCGCACATCCCTAGGCCCAACATCATGTAGAAGCCACCAATGATTGGGGCTTTCTGAAGCAATGGCCTGAGCTGTACATTGGACTTTTTTAGCCACAGCTAGACCTGGAGCAGCTGGGACACAGGGCACCAAGTCCCAAGGCTCCAAAGAGAAGCTGGGCCCTGGACCCAGCCCATGAAAACATTTTTCCCTGATAGGCCTCCAGGCCTGTGATTGGAAGGGCTGCTGCAAAGATCTCCGACATGCCCTGGAAACATTTTCCCCATTGTCTTGATTATTAATATTCATCTCTTCATTACTTATGCAAATTTCTGCAGCCAACTTGAATTTCTCCCTAGCAAATGTGTTTTTCTTTACTACCACATGGCCAGGCTGCAAATTTTCCAAACTTTTATGCTCTGTTTCCCTTTTAAACATAAGTTCCTATTTCAGATCATCTCTCTCAAGGGCAAAGTTCCACAGATTTCTAGGGCAGGGACAAAATTCCATCAAGCTTGGTTTTATACATTTTAGAGAGGCATGAGACATCAATCAAATACATTTAAGAGACACATTGGTTTGGTCCAGAAAGGTGGAACAACTCAAAGCTAGGGCTTCCAGGCTATAGGTGAATTTAAATATTTTCTGGTTGACAATTGGTTGAGTTTGTCTAAAGACCTGGGATAGATAGAAAGGTAATGTTCAGGTTAAGATAAAGATTGTAGAGTCCAAAGTTCTTTTGAAGTCTTATAGTGGCTGCCCTTAGAGATAATAGGTGACAAATGTTTCCTATTCAAATCTTAGTTGAACTCTTTAGGATTGGGAGGTTCTAGAAGAAAAAGATCTAGCTATGTTAATAGAGATTCTTTACAGATGCAAATTTTCCCCCACAAAGAACAGCTTTGCAGGGCCCTTTCTTTCTTTCTTTCTTTCTTTCTTTCTTTCTTTCTTTCTTTCTTTCTTTCTTTCTTTCTTTTTTAGATGGAGTTTTGCTCTTGTTGCCCAGGCTAGAGTATAATGGCACGATCTTGTCTCACCACAACCTCCACCTCCTGGGTTCAAGTAATTCTCCTGCCTCAGTCTCCCGAGTAGCTATGATTACAGGCATGCACCACCACACCCGGCTAATTCTGTATTTTTAGTAGACACAGGGTTTCTCCATGTTGGTGAGGCTGGTCTCGAACTCCCAACCTCAGGTGATCCGCCCACCTCAGCCTCCCAAAGTGCTGGGATTACAGGCATGAGCCACCATGCCCGGCCTGCAGGGCCATCTCAGAGTATGGCAAAGAAACATGTTTTGGGGTAAAATATTTTGATTTTCTTATTTGTCTTATAATGTTATGCCAGAGTCAGTTTGGAAAGTAAATCATGATATATAGGTTTAAATAAAACCCATCTGATGAGAATTTATGATTTGTAGAGCATGCCTCCCCAGACTCTTTAGATAGGAATTTGGGCAAGATGAAAAAAAAATCAGAGTTTAGTCCTCACTACCTAAGACCAGCTCAGCTTGGACTTCACTGTTCATGTCACTATCAGCATTTTAGTCAAAACCACTCAATAAGTCTCTAGGAAGTTCCAAACTTTCCCACATCTTCCCTTCTCCTTTCAAGTTCTCCAAACTGTTCCAACCGCTGCCAGGAGGTACCCAGTTCCAAAGTTGCTTCCAGATTTTGAGTTATCTTTATAGCAGTTCCCCACTCCTGGTACCAATTTACTATATTAGTCTGTTTCCACAGTGCTATAAAGAACTGCCCGAAAGTGGTTAATTTGTAAAGAAAAGAGGTTTAATTGACTCACAGTGCTGTGTGGTTAGGGTCGGAGGCTCAGGAAACTTGCAATCATGGTGGAAGTGGAAGCAGGCATGTGACACATGGCAGCAGGTGAGAGAGAGAAAGAGAGAGAGAGGGAATGAAGGAGGAACCACCATACATGGATAAAACCATCAGATCTCATGAGAACTCACTCACTATCAGGAGAACATGAGGACAGCATGGGGGAAACCACCCCCATGACCCAGTCACCTCCCACCAGGTCCACCCCTTGACACATAAGGATTACTATTTGAGATGAGATTTGTTTAATGACACAGAGCCAAACCACATCAGCATGTGACAAAGGTCTAATATCAAGAATCTATGAGGGGGCAGTTCCAAAATGGCTGAATAGGAACAGCTCCAGTCTACAGCTCCCAGCATGAGCTACACAGAAGACAGGTGATTTCTGCATTTCCAACTGAGGTACTGGGTTCATCTCACGGGGGCTTGTTGGACAGTGGGGGCAGGACAGTGGGTGCAGCCCACCAAGAGTGAGCTGAAGCAGGGTGAGGCATTGCCTAACCCAGGAAGTGCAAGGGGTCAGGGAATTCCCGTTCCTAGCCAAGGGAAGCGGTGATGGACGGCACCTGGAAAATCCGGTCACTCCCACCCTAATACTGCACTTTTCCAACGGTCTTAGCAAATGGCACACCAGGAGATTATATCCTATGCCTGGCTTGGAGGTTCCCATGCCCACGGAGCCTCGCTTATTGCTAGCACAGCAGTCTGAGATCAAACTGCAAGGTGGCAGTGAGGCTGGGGGAGGGGTGCCCACAATTGCTGAGGCTTGAGTAAGTAAACAAAGTGGCTGGGAAGCTCAAACTGGGTGGAGTCCACTGCAGCTCAAGGAGACCTGTCTGCCTCTGTAGACTCCACCTCTGGGGGCAGGGCATAGCTGAACAAAAGGCAGCAGAAACCTCTGCAGACTTAAATGTCCCTGTCTGACAGCTTTGAAGAGAGTAGTGTTTCTCCCACATGGACTTTGAGATCTGAGAATGGACAGACTGCCTCCTCAAGTGGGTCCCTGACCCCCGAGTAGCCTAACTGGGAGGCACCCTCCAGTAGGGGCAGACTGACACCTTACACGGCTGGGTGCCCCTCTGAGATGAAGCTTCCAGAGGAATTATCAGGCAGCAACATTTGCTGTTCAGCAATATTCGCTGTTCTGCAGCCTCTGCTGCTGATACCCAGGAAAATAGGGTCTGCAGTAGACCTCCAGCAAACTCCAACAGACCTGCAGCTGAGGGTCCTGACTGTCAGAAGGAAAACTAACAAACAGAAAGGACATCCACATGAAAACCCCATCTGTACATCACCATTATCAAAGACAAAAGGTAGATAAAACCACAAAGATGGGGAAAAAACAGGGCAGAAAAGCTGAAAATTCTAAAAATCAAAGTGCCTCTCCCCCTCCAAAGGAATGCAGCTCCTCGCCAGCAATGGAACAAAGCTGGATGGAGAATGACTTTGATGAGTTGAGAGAAGGTTTCAGATGATCAAACTTCTCCGAGCTAAAGGAGGAAGTTGGAACCCATTGCAAAGAAGCTAAAAACCTTGAAAAAAGATCAGATGAGTAGCTAACTAGAATAACCAGTGTAGAGAAGTCCTTAAATGACCTGATGGAGCTGAAAACCATGGTATGAGAACTACGTGATGAATGCACAAGCTTCAGTAGCCGATTCGATCAACTGGAAGAAAGGGTATCAGTGATTGAAGATCAAATGAAAGAAATGAAGGGAGAAGAGAAGTTTAGAGGAAAAAAAAGTAAAAAGAAAGAAACAAACCCTCCAAGAAATATCAGACTATGTGAAAAGACCAAATCTATGTCTGATTGGTGTACCTGAAAGTGACAGGGAGAATGGAACCAAGTTGGAAAACACTCTGCAGTATATTATCCAGCAGAACTTCCCCAACCTAGCAAGACAGGCCAACATTCAAATTCAGGAAATACAGAGAACCCCACAAAGATACTCCTCGAGAAGAGCAACTCCAAGACACATAATTGTTAGATTCACCAAAGTTGAAATGAAGGAAAAAATATTAAGGGCAGCCAGAGAGAAAGGTCGGGTTACCCTCAAAGGGAAGCCCATCAGACTAACAGCTGATCTCTCAGCAGAAACTCTACAAGCCAGAAGAGAGTGGGGGCCAATATTCAACATTCTTAAAGAAAAGAAATTTCAACCCAGAATTTCATATCCATCCAAACTAAGCTTCATAAGTGAAGGAGAAATAAAATCCTTTACAGACAAACAAATGCTGATAGATTTTGTCATCACCAGGCCTGCCCTACAGGAGCTCCTGAAGGAAGCACTAAACATGGAAAGGAACAACTGGTACCAGCCACTGCAAAAACATGCCAAATCATAAAGACCACCAAAGCGAGGAAGAAACTGCATCAACTAACGAGCCAAATAACCAGCTAACATCATAATGACAGGATCAAATTCACACATAACAATATTAACCTTTAATGTAAATGGGCTAAATGCTCCAATTAAAAGACACAGACTGGCAAATTGGATAAAGAGTCAAGACCCATCAGTGTGCTGTATTCAGGAGACCCATCTCACATGCAGAGACACACATAGGCTCAAAATAAAGGCATGGAGGAAGATCTACCAAGCAACTGGAAAACAAAAAAAGGCAGGAGTTGCAATCCTAGTCTCTGATAAAAGAGACTTTAAACCAACAAAGATCAAAAGAGACGAAGAAGACCATTACATAATGGTAAAGGGATCAATTCAACAAGAAGAGCTAACTATCCTAAATATATATGCATCCAATACAGGAGCACCCAGATTCATAAAGCAAGTCCTTGGAGACCTACAAAGAGACTTAGATTCCCACACAATAATAATGGGAGACTTTAACACCCCACTGTCAACATTAGACAGATCAACGAGACAGAAAGTTAATAAGGATATCCAGCAACTGAACTCGGCTCTGCACCAAGCAGACCTAATAGACATCTACAGAACTCTCCACCCCAAATCAACAGAATATACATTCTTTTCAGCACCACACCACACCTATTCCAAAATTGACCACATAGATGGAAGTAAAGCACTCCTCAGCAAATGTAAAAGAACAGAAATTATAACAAACTGTCTCTCAGAGCACAGTGCAATCAAACTAGAACTCAGGATTAAGAAACTCACTCAAAACCACTCAACTACATGGAAACTGAACAACCTGCTCCTGAATGACTACTGGGTACATAATGAAACGAAGGCAGAAATAAAGATGTTCTTTGAAACCAGTGAGAACAAAGACACAACATACCAGAATCTCTGGGACACATTCAAAGCAGAGTGTAGAGGGAAATTTATAGCACTAAATGCCCACAAGAGAAAGCAGGAAAAATCTAAAATTGACACCCTAACATCACAATTAAAAGAGCTAGAGAAGCAAGTGCAAACACATTCAAAAGCCAGCAGAAGGCAAGACATAACTAAGATCAGAGCAGAACTGAAGGAAACAGAGACACAAAAAAACCCTTCAAAAAATCAATGAATCCAGGAGCTGGTTTTTTGAAAAGATCAACAAAATTGATAGACCACTAGCAAGACTAATAAAGAAGAAAAGAGAGAAGAATCAAATAGATGCAATAAAAAATGATAAAGGGGATATCACCACCGATCCCACAGAAATACAAACTACCATCAGAGAATACTATAAACACCTCTACGGAAATAAACTAGAAAATCTAGAAGAAATGGATAAATTTCTCGACACATACACCATCCCAAGACTAAACCAGGAAGAAGTTGAATCTCTGAATAGACCAATAACAGGCTCTGAAATTGAGGCAATAATTAATAGCTTAACAACCAAAAAAAGTCCAGGAACAGATGGATTCACAGCCGAATTCTACCAGAGCTACAAGGAGGAGCTGGTACCATTCCTTCTGAAACTATTCCAATCTATAGAAAAAGAGGGAATCCTCCCTAACTCATTTTATGAGGCCAGCATCATCCTAATACCAAAGCCTGGCAGAGACACAACAAAAAAAAAGAGAATTTTAGGCCAATAACCCTGATGAACATCAATGCAAAAATCCTCAATAAAATACTGGCAAACCGAATCCAGCAGCACATCAAAAAGCTTATCCACCATGATCAAGTGGGCTTCATCCCTGGGATGCAAGTCTGGTTCAACATACGCAAATCAATAAACGTAATCCAGCATATAAACAGAACCAACGACAAAAAACACATGATTATCTCAATAGATGCAGAAAAGGCCTTTGACAAAATTCAACAACACTTCATGCTAAAAACTCTCAATAAATTAGATATTGATGGGACGTATCTCAAAATAATAAGAGCTATCTATGACAAACCCACAGCCAATATCATACTGAATGGGAAAAACTACAAGCATTCCCTTTGAAAGCTGGCACAAGACAGAGACACCCTCTCTCACCACTCCTATTCAACATAGTGTTGGAAGTTCTGGCCAGGGCAATCAGGCAGGAGAAGGAAATAAAGGGTATTCAATTAGGAAAAGAGGAAGTCAAATTGTCGCTGTTTGCAGATGACATGATTGTATATCTAGAAAACCCCATCGTCTCAGCCCAAAATCTCCTTAAGCTGATAAGCAACTTCAGCAAAGTCTCAAGATACAAAATCAATGTGCAAAAATCACACGCATTTCTATAACCCAATAACAGACAAACAGAGAGCCAAATCATGAGTGAACTCCCATTCACAATTGCTTCAAAGAGAATAAAATACCTTGGAATCCAACTTACAAGGGACGTGAAGGACCTCTTCAAGGAGAACTACAAACCACTGCTCAATGAAATAAAAGAGGATACAAACAAATGGAAAAACATTCCATGCTCATGGGTAGGAAGGATCAATATCCTGAAAATGGCCATACTGCCCAAGGTAATTTATAGATTCAATGACATCCCCATCAAGCTACCAATGACTTTCTTCACAGAATTGGGAAAAACTGCTTTAAAGTTCATATGGAACCAAAAAAGAGCCTGCAATGTCAAGTCAATCCTAAGCCAAAAGAACAAAGCTGGAGGCATCACGCTACCTGACTTCAAACTATACTACGAGGTTACAGTAACCAAAACAGCATGGTACTGGTACCAAAACAGAGATACAGACCAATGGAACAGAACAGAGCCCTCAGAAATAATGCCGCATATCTACAACTATCTGATTTTTGGCAAACCTGACAAAAACAAGAAATGGGAAAACGATTCCCTATTTAATAAATGGTGCTGGGAAAACTGGCTAGCCATATGTAGAAAGCTGAAACTGGATCCCTTCCTTACACATTATACAAAAATTAATTCAAGAGGATTAAAGACTTAAATGTTAGACCTAAAACCATAAAAACCCTAGAAGAAAACCTAGGCAATACCATTCAGGACATAGGCATGGGCAAGGACTTCATGTCTAAAACACCAAAAGCAATGACAACAAAAGCCAAAATTGACAAATGGGATCTAATTAAACTAAAGAGCTTCTGCACAGCAAAAGAAACTACCATCAGAGTAAACAGGCAACCTACAGAATGGGAGAAAATTTTTGCAATCTACTTATCTGACAAAGGGCTAATATCCAGAATCTACAATGAACTCAAACAAATTTACAAGAAAAACAAACAACCCCATCAAAAAGTGGGCAAAGGATATGAATAGACACTTCTCAAAAGAAGACATTTATGGAGCCAAAAGACACATGAAAAAATGCTCATCATCACTAGCCATCAGAGAAATGCAAATCAAAACCACAATGAGATACCATCTCACACCAGTTAGAACAGCGATCATTAAAAAGTCAGGAAACAACAGGTGCTGGAGAGGATGTGGAGAAATAGGAACACTTTTACACTGTTGGTGGGACTGTAAACTAGTTCAACCATTGTGGAAGTCAGTGTGGCGATTCCTCAGGGATCTAGAACTAGAAATACCATTTGACCCAGCCATCCCATTACTGGGTATATACCCAAAGGATTATAAAACATGCTGCTATAAAGACACATGCACACGTATGTTTATTGCGGCACTATTCACAATAGCAAAGACTTGGAACCAACCCATATGTCCAACAATGATAGACTGGATTAAGAAAATGTGGCACATATACACCATGGAATACTCTGCAGCCATAAAAAAGGATGAGTTCATGTCCTTTGTAGGGACATGGATGAAGCTGGAAACCATCATTCTCAGCAAACTATCACAAGGACAAAAAGACAAACACTGCATGTTCTCATTCATAGGTGGGAATTGAACAATGAGAACACTTGGACACAGGAAGGGGAACATCACACACCAGGGCCTGTTGTGGGGTGGGGGGAGTGGGGAGGGATAGCATTAGGAGATATACCTGATGTTAATTGATGAGTTTATGGGTGCAGCACACCAACATGGCACATATATACATATGTAACAAACCTGCACGTTGTGCACATGTACCCTAAAACTTAAAGTATAATAAAAAAATTTTTAAAAAAAGAAACACCTGCTTTTTTCTGTTTTCCATTTGCTTAGTAGATTTTTCTCCATCCTTTTACTTTGAGCCTGGGGATGTCATTGCATGTGAGATGGGTCTCTTGAAGACAGCATACATTTGGGTCTTGCTTCTTTCTCCAACTTGGCAATTCTCTGCCCTTTAATTGGGGCATTTAGCCCATTTACATTCAAGGTTAATATTGATATGTGCATATTTCATCCTGTTATCATGTTGTTAGCTGCTCAATATGCAGATTTGATTGTATAGTTGATTTATAGTGGCAATCGTTATGTACTTAAGTGTGTTTTTGTGGTGGCCAGTAACGTTCTTCCATTATCATATTTAGCAATCCCTTAAGGGCCTCTTGTAAGGCAATCTAGTGGTGATGAATACCCTTAGCATTTGCTTGTCTGAAAAGGATCTTATTTCTCCTTCACTTGTGAAGCTTCGTTTGGCTAGATATGAAATTCTTGCTTGGAATTTCTTTTCTTTAAGAATGCTGAATATAGGCCCCCAATCTCTTCTGGATTGTACAGTTTCTGCTGAAACCTCCATTGTTAGCCTCATTGGGTTCCCTTTGTATGTGACCTGAACCTTCTTTCTAGCTGCCTCTAATATTTTTTTTCCTTTCAACCTTTAAGAGTCTGATGTCTGATGGCTATATGTCTTAGGGATGGTTGTCATGTATAATATCATGCAGAGGTTATTTGCATTTCTTGAATTTGAATGTTGGCCTCTCTGGTGAGGTTGGAGAAATTTTCATGGAGGATAGCCTGAAATGTTTTTCAAGTTTCTTTTTTTCTCTTTCTCTTCTTAAGGGATACCAATGTGTCATAGATCTGGTCTTTTTACATAATTGCACATTTCTCTGAGGTTTTATGCCTTCTTTTTTATTCTTTGTTCTTTATTTTTGTCTGACTGAGTTAATTCAGAGAATCAGTTTTTAAGCTCTGTGATTCTTTCCTCAGCTTGGTCTATTCTGCTGTTAATACTTGTAATTGTATTCTGAAATTCTTGAAGTGAGTTTTTTAGCTCTATCAAATCAGTTTGGTTCTTTCTTAAAATGGCCATTTCATCTTTCAGCTTCTGTATCATTTTACTTTATTTCTTAGCTCCCTTGGATTGGGTTTCAACATTCTCCTGAATCTCAGTGATCTTCTTTCCTGTGCATATTCTGAATTCTATGTCTGTCATTTCAGCCATTTCAGTCAGGTTAAGAACCATTGCTGGGAAACCAGTGTGATTATTTGGAGGTAAGAAGACACTCTGGATTTTAGAGTTGCAGAGTTTCTTGCATTAATTCTTTCTCATCTTTGTGGGCTGTTTCTTTAATCTTTGAAGTGGCTGTCCTTTGGATGTTTTTGTCTTTTTTGTTGTTTTTTGGTGTGTGTTTTTGTTTGTTTGTTCATTTGTTTGTTTTTTGCTCTTATCTTCTTTGATACTCTTGCAGGTTTGATTGTGGTATAAAGTGGATTCAGTTAGCAGTGTTTCTTGAAAATCTTAGAGAGTCCAGGCTCACCTCAGCACTCTTGTGGTGTGTTCTCTGCTCTGGGACTGGGCCCCTGGCTTTATTCTCTGGCCCCTTGAGTTTAGAAACTTGCTGCATTGGAGGGGCTGAGGTGTTCCCAGTCCATTGGCCACAACACTATAGTAGGGGGTGCCGGCCAAAGCACTTCATTAGAGTGGTGGCAGTGGGATCCATTCTTACTCATGGGTGCCAGCAGTTGTGGAGTCATGGCAGGGTGCACATGCATCTGCTGGGGTGGGGGTACTGGCAGGAGCAGAGTGGCAGCATCCCTACATAGGTTCCTGCTGGCAGTCACAGCGCAGTGAGGTGTCCGTGTGTTGGCAGGGACAGGGTGGTGGGGCACACATGCACATGCTTGCTGGTGGTAGAGGGAGTTGTGATCTGCTGTGCACTCATGCCAGCAAAGCAGTTGGGAGGTACTATGGGTGGACTGGTGCACATCAGCAGAGGCTGGCCTGCTGGAGGTCTCCAATGGTTAGGCATGGTCTGCTGGCAAAGGAGCTATGATGAGGGCCCCCAGGAAACACCCTGGTTGGGCTTCCAAGGCTGTACTGCAAGCAGGCACAGCCAGCCTGGGGCCCCAGGAGAGGCCAGAAGGCAAGGAAATTCTCATTTCAGATGGGCCCTGTCCCATGGACAAGACCACCCTGCTTTATTCAGGTCCCATAGTCACTCTAAGGTTAAAATCTCCTAGAGGAGGTTGGTGAGCCTTGGGGGATGGGTGTCCCCTGGCTGTGCTCCACTACAGCCATTCTCATGTCAAACACTCTGGGCTTTACACAGACTGGAGTCCTGCCCCTGGCATCTCTCTAAGCAGCTGTCCCTTCCAGCACAAGTGTCCATGGGGGTCATGGGGTCTCCTGCTGCTAGGATTCTGGAGGCCCATGGCAACAGCAGGCCACTCCTCACCTGTTCAACTCAACCTTTCCCCAGGAGTTGCTGGGAGCCAGGAATGAGTCCTGGTGCTTGGCATCCCCATGCAGGGTTCCCATCTTCCTCCACCTTCAGCTCAGCATCTGTGTCCTCCCCCATCTACTCTCAATCCACTCTCAATGCCTCCCCTTCAAAGATCTGCTTGGAAAGCACCCGTCTTCCTGATGTCTCACTCCCTCCATGACAGATATTCCTCCTGGCTGCATCTAGTCAGCCATCTTGACTCACCTCTGAAGTCTTTTTAATTACCACTTCGGTTAAATTAGTAACTATCATTTTACAATGGCCTGTGATTCTGTTTTGATCAAATATTTTGAGCCTTTTAGCATCTATAACAAATGTTCTCAAAAATCAAAATCCTAAATCAAGTCTCTGACTTAGTCTTATTTCTGGGGCTTATTAAGGCTATAAAAACTAATCACCATAAGGTTGTACAAGCTTTTTACAGCTTCCAGTCAGGCTATGAACTCCAGTATCACCACCTCCAGCCTCATAATTACATATATTGGAAGAAAATCAGTTAAAGGACTCCCTCTAGACCCTTGAAAGGGTGTGAGAGACAACATGGTTTCGCCTGCCTTCATGTGTCCCAGTCCATCCCTGTGGCTGCCTCTGTCCACCTCAGCTTGCCCACTGTCTTTCCTTCCCAACTGTCTGCCCTGCTGACTTCTGGCTTCAGTGACAGATGCAAAGACAAGGTGACAGCCCCACATAGACCATTTAACCAGTCCCACATTTGCATAAGCTAAATGGTCATGTAACAGTCTGTTGCCCAGGCTGGTCTCAAACTCCTGGGCTCAAGTGATCCACCCACCTTGACCCCCAAGGTGCTGGGATTACAGGCTTGAGCCACAGTGCCCAGCCAAGAACCCGTTTTTGAGTGGGCACCTTGGCACACACCTGTAAACGCAACACTTTGGGAGGCCAAGGTGGGAGTGTGGCTTGAGGCCAGGAGGTTGAGGTTGCAGTGAGCTATGATGGCACCACCTCACTCCAGCGTGGGTGGCAGAGTGAGATCCTTTCGAAAAAAAAAAAAAAAAAACTTGTTTTCTCTGCAGCCGGGCTCCGTGACCAAACACAAACACAAACTTCCCCTCCAGAGGGTCCAGGAGGGGCTGGGCTGCAGGAGGTGCTTAGGGCCTCTTAGGGAATGGTAAGTGACCACCCAACGCAGGCACTCAGCCCCAGGGGCATATGCAGAGAGAGGGTCCAGGAGGAGCTGGGCTGCAGGAGGTGCTTAGGGCCTCTTAGGGAATGGTAAGTGACCATCCAACGCAGGCACTCAGCCCCAGGGGCATATGCAGAGAGAGGCTGGGAGGACACTTTCAGTGACTGGGGTTACAAACCCCAACCATAAGACATTGCTGGCTCTGTGAGCCGCCACCTCCAGAAATCTCCCACTTAGTTCTTAGCACTTATCCACTCTTCCCTTTTCCTACTCTCAATTCCTGGAGGATGCCCTCCTTTCTCAGGCTCAGACCAACCTACCAGCTCCACTCTAGACCTGAACACATAACTCCTCCCTCTGTCTCCACCTGGAAATCTCATCAGTGCCTCACATTTACACTCCTGAAAATCAGGTCCTGCCTACCCACCCTCTTGCTCCACCTGATTCCTGCCCTGTTTCAGCCAGAGACCTTGCAGTCTCCTTTAACTCTCAAACCCACCCATGTCGTGTGAGCATACTGACTGTGTTCTATGCAAGAAAGAGCAGTTTCTTGGTGGTCCTGCGGTTTTATTAGTCCAGAGGCAAAGCGTTGGCAGAGCTGGTTTCTTCTGAACCCTGGGAGGGAGATTCTGTTTTCATGCCTTTTCCAGATTCTAGAACCCATATTCCTTGCTCTGTGTCCCCTTCTTCCATCTTCAAAGGCCATCCTCTCATCTCTGTGTCCATCATCACATCACCCTTCCCCTGACTCTGGTTCTCCTGCTTCCACTTATAAGCACCCCTGTGATTACATCATACCCACCCAGACAATGCAGGGCCATATTCTCCCCTCTCGAGATTAATTTAATCACATCTACAAAGTTCCTCGTGCCATATGAGGTCACTAAACCACATGTTCTGGGGGTTTGAATGTAAACATTTGGGGGATGCATTATTCAGCCACCCACAAGCACTGCTCCCCACTGGCCACACACTATGCACAGCCGAGATCATGCAAGTGAGGCACGTTCATCAACAGCAGCTTCAGCAGGAAACTATATGCTCCACTTTCCTGCCATTTGTATCTGGATTTTTTTTTCGCTATCATTGTAGAAAGAGTGGTATTGTAAAATTAAAGATGGATTATTTTCTTTCTAGAACACTTTGGCAATCTATCCAACATTATTTATCCCCTTCTGAGTGTCAAGTGTGAGGTCATTCTTTCATTGAGAGCTCAATGCCTACAATTATGATAATGCATATTGGGTACTTTCACACATCAGAAAGTTCTTCTTTCTTAAAATCTGTTCTTGAATTATTCATTCTTCTCTAGCTTTTTGTTGATCTATTTTATAATTTTAGAAAAATCAGAAAGTAACTTGAAGTATCTGTCATCTCTACAGGTTTACCTCCCTCTTTGTGGCCTTCAGAATGTCATGACACGCTTTTCCCTTGCTCATCACATGGTTTCTATGTATGAGACCTCATCACAGGAGCTGTGGTCCCCCGGGAGCAGGCATCTGTGGATGGTGCCTTGCTCCTGGCTGCTGGGACCTGTGTGCTGCCAGTGGCACTCCACGACGGTGATTTCCCAGCTCAGTTTTGCAGCTCCAGATGGTGGGTGAGACACTAGGACCACTTTGTGAACAGCGAGGGCTTGGGGTTTGCTTTTCTACCATGTCCAGGGCTGCTGTTCATGAGGGAATGTTTCTAACCTGACATCATGGCTGAAGCCAACTTAGAACCTCTCTAGCCGTATGGGGAGTAGGTGAGTGATACAGATGTTAATTAGCTCAGTGGAGCCACTCCCCTATGTAGACATGTTACAAAACATTATGCTGTACAGAATAAATATAGGTCATTTTTATGTGTCAATCAAAAGAGAAACTAATTATTTAAAAAAAAAAAAACCTCTCTACTCAAGCCGAAACCTCAGCTCCAGTCCCACAAGTCACACAAGGCTGCTCCCGTCCTGTGTATGTTAAACCTACCTCAGAAATGCAAGGGGCATTCAGGTTTCATTCTCAATTCAAATGCCCTTTTTAATTTTGTCTATTCCTAGCACCTGGCAACTTCCAGCTCTTTTTTTCGGGCTCATTCATTATTTAAAGCACGTATAATTTTTCACCCACATTCTAACACATGTAGTACTGTAGAGAATCCTTCCCTAGGAGGATCTACAGCATTAGAAAAGAATTAAGAACTCCAATATTTACAAGAAGGAAAAAGCAAAAAGAGATCAAAAAATGGGCAACTTCTAGAAATAGAAAACCCTCATGAGTATGATGATAAATCGCTGGCACACATGTGAATAGTTACTTGATGCTTATAGTGATGTCTGGGAAAATAACATGAAATACTTATAATCTGTTTCTCACACATGTAATTCAAAAGAATAGAGAGAAGATGATTTGAAATATTCTTAAGTTTGTAGGAAAAAAGCTACTTCCATATGCATAATTGCATGTATTTTGATACTGCCATTATTAAGAACTATCTAAGAGGGTCCATTAAAAATAAAATTTCTTGGCTGGGCACAGTGGCTCATGCCTGTATCCCAGCACTTTGGAAGGCCGAGGCAGGTGGCTCACCTGAGGTCAGAAGTTCAAAACCAGCCTGGCCAACATGGTGAAACGCTGTATCTACCAAAAATACAAAAATTAGCTGGGCATGGTGGCATGCACCTGTAGTCTGAGCTACTTGGGGGGCTGAGGCAGGATAATCGTTTGAACCCAAGAGGTGTAGGTTGCAGTGAGCTAAGATCATACCACCGCACTCCAGCCTGACAGACAAAGCAAGACTCTGTCTCAAAAATATTAAAATAAAATTTCTCATTCCTATTACAGAGTAATTTAATTCATTAATGCCCTGCCCTGTTACAAAACTCATTTGTAAAATACTAATTGTAATTGTGAAAAAATGGCAATTGATACTAATTTTAAATTCTAAAAACAGGGCACCCATATTAAAGATTATTCTGCAGTAAGAGAATTAGCTATAACATTTTGTAATAAGGTGGAGAAAACATTCTCCAACTTACAATGGTTGGTGAGAAGAAAGTTTCCAGCACGGTAGATGGACCCTAAGAGCCCTTGTTGAAATAATAAGACAAAAAGATATACAGAGAGATAAGCCAGATGAAGGGAGACAGAGAGAGAGAGAGAGAGAGAGAGAGAGAGGCACAGAAATGAGAGATACAAAGTGAAAGAGGGCAACCTGTGGGGTCATCAGACAGACACAGGGGAAGAGGAGAAACACAGGGCGGTGGCTTGCCCTTGGACTGTTCTTAGTTCCTCAAAACGTAACAGCTTTGCCCAACCTAAGGGAACTTTCAGCAGCTGCTCTTCTGCCATAGGCCTCTTTCCTGCCTTGTTTTCATGTGGCTGACTGTTTCTGTTCCTGCAGGTCTTAGCTCATCAGACAGGCATTTATTACCTCTGTGTCAACAGTGGGAGCTTCCATTACTCTCTAGCATGACACTCCCCTTCCTCTTTTAGGAAATTTAACATGGAAGTGAGTTTGCCATCGGCCTTCTCCCCACAGTGTTAACAGTGGTGAGGAAGCCAGCCTGTTCCACCTTGCCCCTCCCATGATTCCAACACTGAGTTCAGACTTGTCACATGGAACTTATCTTTGCATGTTTGTGGCACAGACAGATGGACCCAACCATGGATTAGTGGATGGATGGATGGATGGATGGATGGATGGATGGATAGATGGATGGATGGATGGCTGAGTAGGTGTGTGGATGGAAGAGTGAAAAGATAGATGGATGCATGTATGGGTGGATGGGTAGGTTGATGGATGCATGGATGGGTGGATGGATGGGTGAGTGGATGAATGGGTGGGTAGGTGGGTGGCTACATGCATGGATGAGTACTTGGATAGATAAGTGAGTGGATGGATGGATGGATGGATGAATGGGTATGTGAAGGGATGGATGTATTAGAGTGGGTAATTAGGCAGGCATGAGCTGATAGTCAAGGGATTGTTAAACTGCCTCTCTAAAATAATTATTGGTCTCGGCTGGACGCGGTGGCTCATGTCTGTAATCCCAACACTTTGGGAGGCTGAGGTGGGCGGATCACAAGGTCAAGAGATTGAGACCATCCTGACCAACATGGTGAAACCCTGTCTTTACTGAAAATACAAAAATTAGCTGGGCGTGGTGGCGTGCATCTATAGTTCCAGCTACTCGGGAGGCTGAGGCAGGAGAATTGCTTGAACCTGGGAGGAAGAGGCTGCAGTGAGCTGAGATTGTGCCACTGCACTCCAGCCTGGTGACAGAGCAAAGCTCTGTCTCAAATAATAATAATAATAATAAATAATAATTGATCTCAGCCAGCGCCAAGAAAAGGCAGTCTCCCAATAGATAGAAAACACCCGAAACTGGTCATCAGCAGCTTCCTGATAAGATCTCAGGCATTGGGTGAGTGGGCTCAAGCATATGCACTAAGAGGCAAAGTGGCAGAGTTTAACTGGCACATAATCTTCCTCTAGGAACACTCTAATAGTAAGAGAAGGACACCTCAAATGAGCATGTGCACATTTCATTAAACCCACTGTGTATGCAGCCCCTCCCAAGTGCTGGCAGGCCACTGTACATGTGGGCAGCCCACTCCAAGGGAAGAATCAAGGGAGAAGAAATACAAATCCCAGAACCATGTCAATGTATAAAACCCCAAGTCAAGGGCCGGACAGAGCACTTAGATCTCTCAAGTCGCCCACTTAGCCCTCTTCCAAGTGTACTTTACTTCCTTTAGTTCCCACTTTAAAACTTTAATAAACATTTACTCCTGCTCTAAAACTTGCTTGGGTCTCTCACTCTTCTGTATGCCCCTTGGCCAAATTCTTTCCTCCAAGGAGGCGAGAATCAAGTTGCTGCAGACCTGTATGGATTCGCTCCTGCTAACAGATAGCTGGATGGGTGGACAGATGCATGAATTAGTGGATGGACGTTTGGATGTGTGGGTGGGTGGGTGGATTGTGGGATGGCTGGATGAATGCATGGCTGGATGGGTGGACACATGCATGAATTAGTGGATGGATGTTTGGATGTGTGGGTGGGTGGGTGGATTGTGGGATGGCTGGATGAATGCATGGCTGGATGGGTGGACAGATGCATGAATTCGTGGATGGACGTTTGGATGTGTGGGTGGGTGGGTGGATTGTGGGATGGCTGGATGAATGCATGGCTGGATGGGTGGACAGATGCATGAATTCGTGGATGGACGTTTGGATGTGTGGGTGGGTGGGTGGATTGTGGGATGGCTGGATGAATGCATGGCTGGATGGGTGGACAGATGCATGAATTCGTGGATGGACGTTTGGATGTGTGGGTGGGTGGGTGGATTGTGGGATGGCTGGATGAATGCATGGCTGGGTGGGTGGATGGATGCATGGATAAGTGGTGGACGGATGGACGGGTGAGTGGATGGGTGGATGTGTGTGTGGATGGGTGGATAGGAAAGCCCTCTAATTGATTACAGGGCTCAGTGTGTGCTTCAACATCATGATGGCATCATCACATTGGTCCCTGTATGAAGCAGTGGGGGAGGAGAGTGTACCAGGGGAGCAGGAATGACTTTTCTCCAGAATCGACCTCTCCCACCCTGCAGCCTGGGCTGTGCAGGCCACATTGGAGAAGGTGCGGTCGACTACTCCTAAATGTTGTTGTGTCCAATGGCTTGTTGACGTTGATGTAGGAATGAGCCTACATCTCCACCATAGATGGAACTGTTTGGGTCCCCAAAGCAGAAAGCCTCTTCTGTTGCAGGTGCTGAAGTTTCCATCTTCTTCTGCTTATACGGAAGCTCACGCATCCCTTGGGTGGCAGGCGTCAGGTTCCTGTGCGCACTGAGTTCCCCCCTTACATGCTTTGGACAGAAGTGTGAGACACACAAGATTGCTGCAGGAAGTCCACCTGTGGGGATGCTGCGACTTCTCCAGCAAGAACACGAGTCTGCTCATTGACCATCACCACACATAACAAATTAAGTGTCCCTTTTTTGATAACACGTCATTGTTTCACAGAGTATTCTTTTAAAGTGTATAAGTTGACTGCAGTTATTATTTTTTACTTCTGTTACTAATTTACTCATAATTAGGCACAATTTACACTTAAGAAATTTCTTAATAGTTTTTTCCTCCTTAAGGTGAACTACAGTCAGATAACATACTTATCAATTGTCTCTAGCTCTTGTCAGAAAAACATATAGATGTGTGTGTGCGTGTGTCTTGGCCTTTCCAATGATGAATTAAGATGTGCATTGAGAAGGCATTCACTTTATTTGACGTTAAGGAAGTACCAAGAAGACGCTCTCCACAGACCCTGGGAAAGCCAGCAGCTGCACCCCGAGGCTGTGCCAGGCAGGGAACAAGGAGGCAGCACCACCTGCTGGGCAGGGAAAATGTCCTCCCAGTCCCTGCCGCTTCTCTGCAGAGGCACAAAGAGCTGCCCCTTCTCCTGGGCCTTCTCCTGGGCTGATGAGATTGCTCCCCGATATGCCAAATCAGGGTTGTGCATCTGAGGCTCTGTCTAGACTCTCAGCTCCTTCCTACTCCTGCAAAGTGAAGAAAACAATGCCAAGGGGTCCTGGAGGCGTCTCTACCCCTGGAGAGTTTTGACTCTCTTCAATAGTCTCCACTACCCTGCCCTCACTCCATGTCCTCCGTTTCTCCCTAAAGCGGTGCCCAGTCTGATTGCACTGTGGCAGGGATAACGAGGGGCCAGGACATCAGGGGAGAGAAGTTTCTACCTGAGTCACAGCAGCGGCTGCCCTGCAGACTCCTGAAGACACAAGACACATTTCCATCCCAGAGACCCAGCGAAATGCAACCTCAAACTAGAGACAGCCAGTTATTTTTTCTTGTTCTGTCCTGGAGAGGCCACTGAGAAAGTCGAGCCCCTTGTTGAGGAAAACATGAGATCTCTGTGTGTCGTCCTCTGCCTGATGGCTGTACCTCCATGTGAGTGTCTCAGAGATTTCAGAACGGGGGCTGTGGGCTGTGGTGTCCGCTTGTGACTCATCTCTTTGCTTCTTGTCCCTGAGTGTCCTGCATCAGATGCAGCTACTGGAGTCATGCCCAGGGCTGGTGAGGTCCTCACAGACCTCTGGGCCTGGACCCAGCAGCCCTCTGGGAAGGCGCTGGGGCACCTCAGCTCCAGGGGCAGCACACACTTCAGCCCAGCCTTTCTGGGCCAACTCTCCATCTGTAGAGACACATCCAAGGCCCAGTTATCCCTGCAGCTGAGCTCCGTGATGGCCAAGGGCAGGGCCGCACATTCCCGTGGGAGACAGAATGGGGACCTCAGCGTGAGCCCAGACACAAACCTCCCTGCAGGGAAGCACAAGACCACCAGGCGGCGCTCCAGACCACACAGCGGCCCCAGAAGCAGGTTTTAGGGGGCGGGGCAGACGTGTCCGCGTTGAGTCAGGTCATTGGTTTTACTTTCCCTGAGCAAACGGCCTCTGCCAAGGACTCACTGCACCTCTCACCTTCACAGTTGTTTTTTTTTTTTTTTTTTAATCACCCTGTAGAGTTTTGCTAGCTAATTTAGATATTGAGGAGTGCTTCATACTTCCTTGGGCCTCTGCTTGCAGAAACATAGCAATTGTAAGGAGGCACGTGGGAAAGCCCCGGCTCGGTGACCCGGGGGATGCTGCTGTGGCCCTGGCAAGAGGGCGTCGGGCCGCAGTAACAAAGGTGCAGACGGCTCTCAGCCTGCGCCCGCGGAGTACAACACATAAGGGCTGTAACCTAACGAAAAAAGAATCGCAGTGCAACTGTCCTGCATTTGAGTTTGTGATCAGTTTTGCCCTTTGTCTTTAACAGGTTCTAACATAAAATTTTGAATGTTGGTTCAAGCCCTGTGGGTAAAATGCACTTACCCACATTCCTTAAACAAATAGAACACTGAGGTGGAAATGTTTTGAAAAAGTAGTTTTCAGACATTTGGAAACAAGCATCACAGGATCATAACCCCTGAGAAAAGAAAAACAAATGAACGAATCCTGCTATTGCCTGAAAGCAGCTGCCAGGACACACGGAAAGGCTTAGTGAGCTGAGCGGACAGAGAGCAGAGTTCAAGGCAGCAGCAGCCCGAGGGGAGGAGCACCGGGGAGCAGGCTGCTGTGCAGCCAGGATGGGCCGGGGTGGGGCGGGGGGAGAACAGCTGGAGACTTGCCGCAGGGAGGGGGATCCCTCAGGTTTGGGGCTGAGAACTGACTTATGCCTGACTTATGCCTGCATGAAAAGAAACTACTCGATATCAGGGGGAAATCACCAGAAACCTGTGGACCCAAAACTACACAGAGCCTACACAAGGAAAGCATTGTTTGTGTTCTCCCAGCCAGGGTGGAAAGACCTTGAGATATGTAAAGCTTCAAGCAATCTTCCGAAGTAATCTCGTGAGTAGTGGTGCCACATTAATTCAGGACTAAAGGCTGCTCTGAACTGAACCTAAGAAATGCTTCAAGTGTAGCCTGGAGCCCGGGTGCAGTGGCTCACACCTGTAATCCCAGCACTGTGGGAGGCCGAGGCAGGCGGATCACTTGAGGTCAGGACTTTGAGACCAGCCTGGCCAACATGGCAAAACCTGTCTCTACTAAAAACACAAAAATTAGCTGGGCGTGGTGGCAGATGCCTGTAATCACCTCCCACCTGGACCCTTCCTTGATACATCAGAATTACAACTAGAGATGAGATTGGGGTGGGGACACAGAGCCAAACCGTATCACATAGGAACCTAAAAGGATAATAAAGTAGGAAAACTTCCCACATCAGTAACCCTTTATCCGATAGTAATCCCAATCTGCAAAGTAAAACTGTGTGATTTTACTAAGATAACGGAATCTTCTCTACAGGACTTTCCAGTGCAAAAGCTCCCCACCCTCACCATGAAATGCACGTGACCATTTCCAATTTGTGTAAAGTCCTCAGTTAGTACTGAGACTTCGGAAGGTTAGAAATCCCTTTGCTCATGCTGCATGGTCCGGATGAGATGTAAGAATCATTAGCTAATAGACATGCAACAGCTTTTGTGTGAAAGATGTTATGAGACATTTAAGGTATTTGCTTGTGATTACTAAGCATTCATTGTATCATTGGAGCACATGTGCTTTTATACCCTGGAGAAATTCCAGTAATTGAATTGCTGGGTTGAATGGGATTTTGATTTGGATTAAATTTAAACTATAGATTTTATTTAGGGAAAACTGGCATCTTAATTATGTTATTGGGGGGCCCTTGCTCCCAGAGCTCCCAAGATGGTGGCAGGCCGCTTCCAAAATGACCGCAGGCCACTTCCAAGATGGTGGCAAGCCTCATGTTCTCTGACCTGGGGTTCTTGGCCTCACGGATTCCAAGGAATGGAAGCTTGGGCCATGCAGTGAGTGTTATAGCTCTATTAGAAGCCGTGGGTCACGGAAGAGAACCGTGGAACCCAGTGACTAGTGTTCAGCTCGATTAGGACGAACCCAGGCACTTAGCCGTGCAGGAACAATGGCGAGCATTTGGTCCGATCGAGAGTGGCAATGGGCGCCTCGCTGGATCAGGAGCACAGCGGATACCCTGATGGATCCGGAGGGATGGAAGCCAGCGGTGGGTCTCCCACGGGGGCAAACAGCAGTGGTGGACGGTGAGCGAAAGCGAAGCTCGAGCCGTAACAAACATGGACCAGAAGAGTGCAGTTGCAAGATTTAGTAGAGTGAAGACAGAGCTCCCATACAAAGGGAGGGGACCCAAAGAGGGTAGCTGTTACCGGCTCGAATGCCTGGGTTTATATCCCGATCATTGTCCCTCCCGCTGTGCTCTCAGGTGATAGATGATTGGCTATTTCTTTACCTCCTGCTTTTGCCTAATTAGCATTTTAGTGAGCTCTCTTTACTATCTGATTGGTCGGGTGTGAGCTGAGTTGCAAGCCCCGTGTTTAAAGGTGGAAGTGGTCACCTTCCCAGCTGGGCTTAGGGATTCTTAGTCGGCCTAGGAAATCCAGCTAGTCCTGTCTCTCAATTACACTGAGTTTTCCAATCCATGCATCCAATATGTGGTGTATCTCTTCATATGTTCATAGCCTCTGAGCAATGTTTTACAATTTTCTGTGTAAAGAACTCCACATCGTTTTATGTTTCTTCTAAGGTATATCCTGATTGCTTTTTATGTCTTCACAAGTTTTTTCCTTTCAAAATTAATTTTCCAATTGTTTGGTGCTAATATGCTCAAATGTCCTTGATTTTCTTAGTTTGAACAGTCCGTTTTTGTTTTGGGGATTTATTTTTTTTTCAGATTCTTTAAGATTTTCTATGTCTATAACCATATAATCTCTGAACAGAGACAGTTTTGCTTTTTCCTTTCAACTTGAGGTAGGTTTTCTGGGTAGTTCAGGACGCGCAGGCACTGGGTGGGTGGTGTTAGCAGCTGCACGGTGCCTTGGAGAGGACACTCTCGGGGGACTGTGGCCGCTGCTCAGCTGTGACCGTTCTTATAGCACCAGCAGCTGCGGCCACCATTCTTATCCAATTTCCAAAGCCACACCACAGGCCCTCTCAAGAACGAGGCGTGGAGGCTATGCCCTCTCCTGGACACATCATCATTCCCAAGCCCCACGATGTGGGCCCCATGGGACGCACACCTTTGTCTGTCCAGACCTCAGCCCCACCTCCTCATCCTGCACCAGAACTCTTCAGAGCCCAGTGCATGAAATGGGCTACCAAGGAAATGAGGGTAGGTTCCTGAGAGGAAACTGGCCCTGCATTTGGGAGCTAGGAGTCTGCTAATTCGCCTGGCAGCACTGTGCAGCCCTCCGTGGCTACAGTCCACCCCGTGCCCATCAGTGCCTCCTTCCTGTGCAAGCCTGGACCTCGCCCTGGGCTCAGGATGGGCTGTAGACCGAGAATGCAGGCGGGAAAGTCTTTGTCTATCGGGGCCATAGTCAGGTTCTACAGTGAGTCAGGGAAAGGCCTGTGGAGGTGTGGATGAGGACAATGGGTCCACCATCAACAGGAGGACACAGGTTCGACCCCTTGCAGAGGCACAGTCCCACATCACTGGGAGGCAGCCACACTCACTGCCTCGCCCTCTCCTCACACAGTGCAGTTTCCATGTTCACAGCCCCAGCCAGTCACCAGGAATGCCCTGGGGGCGGCCTTTCCCCAGTGCACTCCGAGCCCTCCCTTGGCTGTGCGGTGAGCTCCATGCCCAGGAGATATCCACCCATAGTCCTCCGGAAAGCAGCTGACCTGCCATGCCCTGGAACCACAAATCCCCACAGATCAGCCAGCCTGCAGTGGGCCTTGGATGTGGTGAGGAGTGGTGGCACCCCCGTTCCCACCCCACAGATGCAACGCCTGTGGGTGACGCATGTGAGTACTGAGGAGTAGAGGGTAGAACTGTAGGCCCCGAGAACCACAGAAACTCGGGTGTTACACTCTGGGGCCATGTAAGGAGAAAGTGTCACTGGACAGAAACAGGCCCCTCCTAGACACTGTGTGCGCCATAGTCACCTGTCATTAGCTCTCACTCTTGCAGATTCATGATTGAGGTGGTTAAAAAAAAAAAAGCTCCTACTCACCCATCCAACCCCATCCTGGGGTGTTTCCACCACCCTTGGGGTTTGGGATGAGCTGCCCTTGCCCACTGTGCTCTGTGGACCTCCCTTTAGAAGCTCACAGCTCCCTGCACTCGGCTCCATCCTGCCCCACCACACAGAAGCAAAACCCCTCTCCTTTCCACTGCAGGCTTTTCCTGGACCAGAATGCTGACCTGCTGCCCTTCACTCCCGAAGTGGTGGGACTGCCTGGGGTGGTGTGGGTGTTGAGCCTTCTTACTCTAGGGACCTGGCACCTGGCCCCAGGGGCACAGGGATGGTGCATCTGCCTAGGGATGCCTCCTCATGCCAGGGGGTGGGGGTTAGTACCATCGGCCCTCAGGATTTGTTGCATGAATGAGTGAATGGGTGAATAAATGAAGGGGATCTGATCTATGAATAAGGGTATATAGACTTTGGTTGATGTAGGACGCCAAATGCTGGAATTTCAGAGTCATCACACCCAGGGGCCCTGCCTCTGAGCTCCTCTTTGCATCCAATCTGCTGAAGAACATGGCTCTAGGGAAACCCAGTTGTAGACCTGAGGGCCCCGGCTCTTCAATGAGCCATCTCCGTCCCGGGGCCTTATATCAGCAAGTGACGCACACAGGCAAATGCCAGGGTGTGGTTTCCTGTTTAAATGTAGCCTCCCCCGCTGCAGAACTGCAGAGCCTGCTGAATTCTGGCTGACCAGGGCAGTCACCAGAGCTCCAGACAATGTCTGTCTCCTTCCTCATCTTCCTGCCCGTGCTGGGCCTCCCATGGGGTCAGTGTCAGGGAGATGCCGTATTCACAGCAGCATTCACAGACTGAGGGGTGTTTCACTTTGCTGTTTCCTTTTGTCTCCAGGTGTCCTGTCACAGGTACAGCTGCAGCAGTCAGGTCCAGGACTGGTGAAGCCCTCGCAGACCCTCTCACTCACCTGTGCCATCTCCGGGGACAGTGTCTCTAGCAACAGTGCTGCTTGGAACTGGATCAGGCAGTCCCCATCGAGAGGCCTTGAGTGGCTGGGAAGGACATACTACAGGTCCAAGTGGTATAATGATTATGCAGTATCTGTGAAAAGTCGAATAACCATCAACCCAGACACATCCAAGAACCAGTTCTCCCTGCAGCTGAACTCTGTGACTCCCGAGGACACGGCTGTGTATTACTGTGCAAGAGACACAGTGAGGGGAAGTCAGTGTGAGCCCAGACACAAACCTCCCTGCAGGGATGCTCAGGACCCCAGAAGGCACCCAGCACTACCAGCGCAGGGCCCAGACCAGGAGCAGGTGTGGAGTTAAGCAAAAATGGAACTTCTTGCTGTGTCTTAAACTGTTGTTGTTTTTTTTTTTTTTTTGGCTCAGCAACAGAGATCATAGAAAACCCTTTTTCATATTTTTGAAATCTGTTCTTAGTCTAATGGAGATTCTCTAATATGTGACAATGTTTTTCTCTTGCTGTTTTTGGAATTCTTTGTCTTTGACTTTTGACAACTTGACTTTTGACAGTGTGCCTCAAAGAAGTTCTATTTTGGGTTCTGTGAACCTCCTGGATCTGGGAAGTTTTCAGCTATGATTTCATTAAACGTGTTTTCTACACCATTTCCCTACTCTTTTGGAATACCCATAATGCAAATATTTGTTCACTTAATTGTGTCCCATAAATGCTGGGGATTTTCTTCATTCCTTTTTACTCTTTTTTTCTTTTTATTCATCTGCCTGAATTATTTCAAAAGATCTGTCTTCAACTTCAGAAACTCTTTTGCTTGGCCTAGTCTAATCTTGAAGGTCTCAATTGTACTTTTAATTTCATTCATTGAATTCTTCAACTCTGGAATTTCTGTTGGTTCTTTTTTATGATACTTATCTCTTTGTTGAATTCCTCATTCAAATGATAAATTGTTTTCCTGATTTCACTGAATTTTCTATCTGTACACTATTGTATCTCCCTGAGTTTCTTAGAGATTATCCTTTTGAATTATTTTTCTGACATTCTGTATATTTCCTTATGATTGGGGTCTGCTACTGGAGAATGACTGTTGTCTTTTTCAGGTGTCGTGTTTCCTGGCCTTTTCATGTTTTATGTGTTCCTACGTTGATTTCTACACATCTGGCGGACCAGTCATCCCTTGCAATTTAATGGAGTAGGTTTTGCAGGAAAAGACTTCCTAGTACAGACGGGTCTCAGGGTGTCAGTGTGGCGGGGCGTGCTGGCTTTAGTTCTAGGTTGACGCAGTAGCGTAGTCTCCATGTCGTTTCTTCAGCTGCCGTCCACATTGGTGACGTTTGCGAGTGTCTCAGTGGCCTGGGCTGAGAGGTTTGTGGCAGTGGAAGTGCAACGTTGCTAGAGGTGGACTCACCAGGCTGTTTCTGAGGTCGGGGCACATGCATGCACATGGTGGATTGACCAACTTGGTGCCAGGCTCACTAGGGTTGGGGACATGGGGCTGTTTCTCAGGCCCAGGATGCAAACACAAGTCTCTTTGGCTGGCCTGGGGGTGTGGCTTCTGAGGGCAATCCACAGGGCTGTTTCTCAGGTTCAGGACACAAGTGCATGGCCGCTCAACTGGCCTGGGCATGTGTCTCCCAGGGCCACCCCATGGGCTCTTTCTCAGACCCAGGACATGGCCACATGGCTTCCTCAGCTGGCCTGGGTGTGTGTCTGCTGGGGGGCTGCAGGGGCACAGGGTTATTTCTCAGGCCGGGGTCATGGGCGCACAGCTGCTTGCTGGCTTATAGGAGTGCCTGCCAGGGGTGGCCCATGATGCTGTTTCTCAGGCCTAATTTCAGGTGCAGAGCCTTTGGGCAGGTCAACGGCATACCTGTGGAAATTGGAGTGGATGCCACAGGGCTATTTCTCAGGTGCCTGAGTGTGGGCACATATCCACTCTGCCAGCCTGGAGTTAGTATCAGGTGCTCGGTGGCTCAGGGGCCTCTCCTGCTCAGGGGAGGGCCCTCAGCAGCTTGGCCAAATCAATGGTGGATTCACCCTGGGCAGGCCTGGCAGGCTCTTCCTCCAGCTGGATGTGCAGCAGCAGGGGTTGGGTTTTTTGCTGTGCAGGGCCAGAGTCACGGCCAATCCTCAGCCTAGGCTCTGCACAGCCAGGGTTGTGGCATTCAGCCACCCAGATATGGGCATCCTGAAGATGGAGCCCCAATGCTAGAAAGGGGCAGTGGCTACCAGCCTCAGGGCAGGATGCACTCCAGAGGCGGCTCCGGTCTCAAGGTGGCGCTGGGCTGCAGCAGCTAGGCTCACAGTGGATGAATGGGGGCAGGGAGTACACACCTTGTGCTCCTAATCTGGGATCATTCCTGGCAGCTCCCAAACTTGGCTGAGGGCTTGCAAAACCTGTGGAATTCTCCTGTTGCAAGGGCTGTAGATGTTTGCAGTGGCAGTGGGTGCTGGCGGGAAATCTGCTTACCTTTTCCCTACATGGGAAGTCCCTCCTGTGTCCAGACCAATCCGATCTGGGTGGGGAAGACAAGGCTGCAAAGGCCAGGTGCCTCCATGCTGCCCTCCGATCACCACGGGTGCGTTTCCACACCTCCACTGCACTCCGTCAGTCTCCCTTCAACACTCCAGTCAAACCTTAGCTGTTTCTTCTTTGCCTTATTCCTTCCTCATGGGGAGGGTGTGGGTGAACACCAGGCTTCTCTAAGTTCTTCATCCATCTTGCTGATGTCATTCTCCATCCAGGCATGGGTTTTTAAGAAGTAGTGAATACTGAAATTTCAGCAGAGGACACCTCTATAAAAATTCTGCAACTGGAAAACCTCCTTAAATTGGCTGATTGTCATTACAATTGGAGGAAAACTGCCAATAATTTCAAATTTAGAAGGCTGAGACTCTATAAACAAAGACTAACAATATGTTTTCTGATATTTTTCCCCAAAATAATACTTTTCCAAGACGAAAATTTTTCCAGGGTATATAAGCACATGTGCTCCAATGATACAACAAATACTTACTAATCATAAGCAAATACCTTAAATGTCTTATAACATCTTTCACACAAAAGCTGTTGCATGTCTATTAGCTAAAAATTCTTATGTCTCGTCCAGATCATGCAGCATGAGCAAAGGGATTTTTGACCTTCAAAAGTCTCAGTACTAACTGAGGACTTTACACAAATTGGAAATGGTCACCTGCATTTCATGGTGGTGGTGGGGAGCTTTTGCACTGGAAAATCCTTCTGTAGAGAAGATTCCATTATCTTGGTAAAATTACATAGTTTTATTTTGCAGATTGGGATTACCAACTGATAAAGGGTTACTGATGTGGAAGTTTTCCTACTTTATTCTCCTATTAGGTTCCTATGTGATATGGTTTGGCTCTGTGTCCCCACCCCAATCTCATCTCCAATTGTAATTCCCATGTGTCCAGGGAGGGTCCAGGTGGGAGTGATTAGATCAAGGGTGGTTTTTCCCAGGCTGTTTTCATGATAGGGTGTTATCATGAGATATGATGGTTTAAAAGTGGCAGGTTCCCCTGCTCTCTCTCTCGCCTGCTGCCACATAAGACGTGCCTTGCTTTCCCTTCACCTTCTGCCATGATTGTAAGTTTCCTGAGGCCTCCCCAGCCATGCGGAACTATGAGTCAATTAAACCTCCTCTCTTTATAAATTACCCAGTCTCAGGTAGTATCTTTATAGCGGTGTGAAAATGGACTAATACACTATGGCTTTGAATTAATAATTTAAAATTTGTCAGCTTGGCAATAAAACATCCTGTTGACATTTATTTTTTAGGTAATATTTTAAATTGGCAGTTTCATTCATGTTTTTACAAATTCTTATTTTCAGGGTGTTTAAGGCCTTTGCTTTGAACTTGGTGGTTCCTTACACTCCATGCTGTTAGTGAAGAGGGACCAGGTTGGGAGGCATTGGTTTGGGTGGTGGTCAGGAAGGGCAGAGTGATTTGAGTAGGGTCTGAGTGGATAATAGCTCATCAGTTTGGAATTTATAAATGACCAGGGATGATTTAAGGAGATTCCTGCCAGACACCTATGCCATGGCCATGCCCTATCTGGATCTCCAGCCGTGAGATGAGAACCCAGCCATGCGGGGGAGTCTGTTCGTTCTGCTCAATGTTGTAAGTGGCACATGCTATTGGATAATGTAGAATTGAATGGATATCATTTTATTATTATAATTTACAAACTTCCTACAATAAACTTATCACCTTTATACATAGAAACAAATATAAGTACATTTTCCCTCCCCTATGTCATTTTGAGCCCCTCTCTCCAAACCATCCTCCCACTCTGCGACCTCACTGTCCCTGCATTTGGCTATGCTCTGGCAAGTCCCTGCTTAGACAAGCACTCACCAGACCACCCTACTCAGCCTCCCCTTCAGCGCCCACCTGGCCCACCTGCTCAAATACATGTTGAGTGGTCACACACATGGACTGAACACCATCTATTCCATGCACTGCCCCAGTGACCGCACTGAGCAGCAAGAGAGAAATGATGCATTAGCTATCAAGGATGCCAATTCAAATGCTGGAGTCTTTCTCAGATACTTTTCAATGTTCAAGAATTGTTGATTGTGAATTCTATACCCAATGAAACTATCCTTCAGAAATGAGCAGAAAATGGATACCTTCTCAAATAAACAAAAACTAAAAGAATTCTTGCTACAAGATGTACTCTTAAAGACTGGCTAAAGGAAGTTCTTCAAACAGCAAGGAAATTGAATTGATCTTATGTCCTGCACACTTGCTAAATTTCCTCTCAATTTTAGCAGCACTGTTTAGATTCCATAGGATTTTCCATACAAACAGTCATGTGGTCTATATATAGAGACAGATTTTCCTCTTTTCCAGTGGGGATAAATTTATGTCTTTTTCTTTCTGTGTTACAGCAGGTAGGACCTCCAGTACAATGTTAAACAGAAGTGGTGAAAACAGACATTCTTGCCTGTTTCCTAACGTTGGAGTTTGGTCTTTTACTATGGTGTCAGATGTTAGCTGTAGGGTTTTTATAAATGCCCTTCATCACATTGAGGAAGTTTGCTCCTATGCCTAATTTTCTGAGAGTCTTTTAATGTGACACTCATGCTAGAATTTATTAAATGCTTTCTGTCTACTAAGATGATTATGCAGTTCTTATATTAACATGAATAATTACATTTATTTATTCTTTAATATCAAGGCAATTTTGCATTCCTGAGACAAACCCCATTTAGTCATCATGTGTTGTTATTGTTACATATTGTTGGATTCAATTTCCTCAAAATTTGTTAAGAATTGTTACATCTATGTTTACAAGGAAGATTAGTCTGTAGGGTATTTTTTCTTATAATAACTTTGCCTAGTTTTGCAATCAGGGTAATGCTGGACTCACAGAATGAGTTGGGAAGCTATTTCCTCCTCTTCATTTTTCTGAAAGAATTTGTATAAAATTGGAATTATATCTTCCTTAAAGGTTTGCAAGATTTCATAATGAAGTCATTGGCCTAGAGTTTTCTTTGTGGGAAAGTCTTTGTTTGTTTGTTTTGTGGTTTGGGTTTTTTTTTAAGAGACACAGTCTCACTCTGTTGCCCAGGCTGGAATGCAGTGGTGTAATCATAGCTCACAGCAGCCTCAACCTCCTGGGCTCAAGCAATCCTCCTACCTCAGCCTTCAGAGTAGCTGGGACTACGGGCATGTACCACCACACCCAGCTGTTTGTTTGTTTGTTTATCGCTTTGTCTTGTTTTTGAGGTCTTATTATGTTGCCCAGGCTGGTCTTGAACTCCTGGCCTCAAGTAATCCTCATGCCTCAGCCTCCCACAGTGCTGGAATTACAGGCATGAGCCACTGCACACAGACTGTGGGAAAGTTTTTAACTAAAAATTCAATTTTCTCTTCCTTTTCCAGTGAGCTTTCCAGTGTCTTTCAATTAATGTATCTATTTTATCTAAGTTGTTGAATTTATTGTCAAAATTTTTTTAAACAATATTCCTCTCTTAGAGGTTGAACATCTGTAGAATCTGTAGTGATGGCACCTCTTAAATCCCTGATCTTGCTCATCTGTGTCGTCTCTCTTTCTCTAATCAGTATGCCTAAAGTTTAATTTCATTGATTTTCTTAAAAAACTGGTTTTGGTTTTATTGATTTTTTTCCCTAGTTTTTTGTGTTACATTTCATTGACTTCTGCTCTGATATTTACTATTTCCTTTCTACTGCCTACAGTAAGTTTAATTTGCTATTTTCTTAGTTTCCTAAAGTGGAAGCTAAGTTTATTGACTTGAGGCCTTTCCTCTGTCTGGATGCGGATATTTGCTGCTAAACATTTCCCTCCAACACCATGCTGTGAGTTTTAGTTACAGCGGGCTTGGAGTTGGCCTGAGAAATTCTACTTAAACAGCTGCACCTATCATGTAAGTGATAAATGATGTACCTGCCTGGCCCTCACCCCTGGTCAAAGAATGGGATGTACTAATGAGCAATGTTGCTGCGTAGCTGTGGATTTCAAGGTATTTTCTGTGTGGTTTTATCATCAGCATTGTTTGTTGATGACTGCAAGACTGATGATTTGCACCTGGCCTCGGTGAGATCCCCGAAAGACCCTGCAGATGGGCTGGTTACTTAGCAGAAAATATGACAACGTGGCCAGCAGGAAACAGGAAGGTACAATCGGCTGCAGGTGAGCTGTTGGAAGTAAGTTCCAATTTTCCTATTTTGTATTTGCATTTTAATAGTGAGACTGCGCTTATGTTATTTGTGTGAAACAGCTTTATTCATAGCACTGTAATTTAAAGAGAAAACCCATTCATGGGAACAACAAACGACCTAGACACCAAGGTAGCTCATGCCATCCAAGGCTATACTGTGCAGTGATTGGGAAAATGGGCACTGGTCCCAGAAGTCTGATCGACACTCTGCCACTGGCTAGTCCCGTGCTGGGGGGCGAGGATCCACACTCTGCCACTGGTTAGTCCCATGCTGGGGACAAGTATCCACACTCTGCCACTGGCTAGTCCCGTGCTGGGGGGCGAGGATCCACACTCTGCCACTGGTTAGTCCCATGCTGGGGACAAGTATCCACACTCTGCCACTGGCTAGTCCCGTGCTGGGGGGCAAGGATCCACACTCTGCCACTGATTAGTGTTGTGAAGATTTAAATAAAGAACCCACACCATATTCTTTGACTTGTGCTTTCCGTATACTGAGAGATAGTAAGAGTACATTATTATTATTTATAAAGTAAACTAGAAAGCACATGGGAAGACAAGAAGAAAACCTGAATAAACATGAATTACCCCATTTTCCTCAGGAGAAAACTTTCACACTCTGAAGGTACACAAATTAGCCTACAAATTTAATGTAAAGCAAATAGACTGTTGTAGGTACCAATTCTCAATGTCACAGTGTTACATGGAAAGTAAAATACACAAGAACAGCCCAAAAGATGGAAACAATGGACGTGGTCAAATGACATCAGTACAACATCCATATGGTCCTAAGTAGCCATCTTTAAAATGGGTTAGAAATGCCTTCAATCATTCACACAGACACATGCATTGAACAAACTCTAAGAAGTGTTCTTACACGGGAAAAGCAAGTTACAGATGCATGGGCATGATATGGATGTAGATGTGTGTATGTGCATCCCACTCATACACAAAATACCCAGCATCGCCCACATGCCTGCTGTGTGCGTAAGTGTGAGCGAGTGCACAGACAACAGCGTGCAGAAATTCAAACCAAGCTGTGGGTACTTGTTACCACTGGGAAGGGAGTCGGTCACAGAGGGAAAGAGAAACAGGACATCAGCCTTTGACTTCAGAACTGTTCCTGCCTTTTCACATCCTGTGCTGTTTTCAGCATCGTCGGAGCCCTTAACACACATCACGGGAGTAAGAGTGTGTTAGAGGGAGCATTCGGTGGGACAGATATTGCCATGGCTTGTGGATAGAGTTCACAGTCCTTAATAATCCCCGAGATGGCAGCCAAGAGCTACGTTCTCAATCACGCAGCTTCACCCCAGAAACTGACAGAAACCCAACAACCAAAAGGTGTCCATTCTGACAGCCTCAGCCTGTGCTGGCTCAGATGAGCAAAAATGTACAGATATTAATAATGATGTTGATTTGAAGAGCACAGAGGGGGGTATGCATGATAAGGGTCCAAATTTTTACCTTAAAAAAGAATACATTTACTTCTCAATCACCTACATAACGATCATTTTTTAAAAAACTGATCAAATTTGGTGTTACAAGGGCACGTTGCAAATTCTTCTGGCTACTTTTCTCTGACTATTCTAATTACGTTACCGTGTTTTCTCCTGTATGTGCCCGTTCATGTGAATGTCATTTCTGGCTACTTTTCTCTGACTATTCTAATTACGTTACCGTGTTTTCTCCTGTATGTGCCCGTTCATGTGAATGTCATTTCTGGCTACTTTTCTCTGACTATTCTAATTACATTACCGTGTTTTCCTGTATGTGCCCGTTCATGTGAATGTCATTTCTGGCTACTTTTCTCTGACTATTCTAATTACGTTACCATGGTTTCTCCTATATGTGCCCGTTCATGTGAATGTCATTTCTGGCTACTTTTCTCTGACTATTCTAATTACGTTACCGTGTTTTCTCCTGTATGTGCCCGTTCATGTGAATGTCATTTCTGGCTACTTTTCTCTGACTATTCTAATTACATTACCGTGTTTTCCTGTATGTGCCCGTTCATGTGAATGTCATCCAGGCAGATTTCCCAAATCCGGCTTCCTGTAACCAAGGGCTGAAAGAGGGAACGGTTTCCTGGGAATCCTTTTTGCAGTTTATTTTACCCGGAGGCAGAAGCCCACGGTTCCGTGAAGAGTCTATTGCTCTCCCCTCTCTCCTTTTGTGTCTCTATTTTTAATTGACAAAAAAGCAAATGTGAAGATTCCTGGGGTACAATGCAAAGTGACAATGCCTGTCTATATTGTGGGATGATTAAAACAAGGTAAGTGGCATATCCATCACCTCACACACTTATCATTTTGTGGTGAGAACATTTAAAATCTCATCTTTTAGCAATTTTGAAATAGTCATTATTGTTAACTATAGTCACCATGCTGTGCAACAGATCAAAAGAACTGACTCCTCCCATCAGCAGAAACTTCATGCCCTTTGACCAGCATCTCTCCTTTCCCCGTCCACGACTAACCCCCAGCCCAAGAGAACAGCCAACACCCACCTCGCTGCTGCCACACGACATGTCGGGCTTTGATGGGATGGAGGTGAGGGTGGGGAAGACAATTCCAAAGCTGGAGCACTGGCCTCACAGCTCAGACACTCTTCTACTTATCCTGAGAGAATGATGTGCTGAGACCAACTAAACCTCCCCTGCTCTTCCCACATGGCAGAAAAGAGGCAACCCAGGGAAGCCATTGCCAGGACATCATGGTCACCCAACCCTTGTGCAGAAAGGAAGCACCTGCCCAGGATGCCATAGCACCCAACCCTCATCCCCAAGGAAACACAGCCCAGGGCACCATGGACACCCAACCGTCATCCCCAGGGGAGGACACAGCCCAGGGCACCATGGACACCCAACCCTCATCCCCAGGGGAGGACACAGCCCAGGGTATCTTGGACACCCAGCCCTCATTCCTAGGGGAGTACACAGCCCAGGGCATCTTGGACATCCAACCCTCATCCCCAGGGAAGGACACAGCCCAGGGCATCTTGGACACCCAACCCTCATTCCCATAAGAGCACACAGCCCAGGGCATCGTGGAGGCCCGACCCTCATCCCTAGGGGAGGACACAGCCCAGGGCACCATGGACACCCAACCCTCATCCCCAGGGGAAGACACAACCCAGGCCACCATTAACACCCAATCATGTGCAGGGAGGGTGTCCTTGGAGCCTGGGACTCTTGCCAGTGAAGCGGTGGACAAGAAACTGAGGATGCGATCAGCACACAGAAATCTCAGGCAGCCTAGGATACATGAGGCCTCTCACCCCTGGGAACACTGAGCAGCCACCAGGAGCCCACACCTTGAGGTACAGCAGGAGCCATGCGCTCTTGCTCTTGCTCACTCACACTCCTGCACACAGCCACTGACACACGCCCTCGTGCACGTTGCAGATTAACTCCACTGGCCTTGCACTTGCAACGCTGGAGGCTGAGAGGTATCCCCAGGTTCTTTTCTCGTGAGAGGGGCAGGCTGACTTTCACTCTCCTCCATGTGCTAGAGGCAGCTCCACCAACACTGGCTGCCCTGAGTGGATGCACCTGGCTCTGGAATTCCTGTCATTTGCTTTGGATCCAGGAGCCCCTGCCTCATGTAGCTACTTAACAGAAAGGAGGAATCCACCCAGGACATGCCCAGACGGGAGCCTCACAGGATGGACAGTGGTGTCTGGGGTCACGGGCAGCCCTGACCCAGCAGCGCCAGCACCAGCACACCCAGTGGGGAAGGCGGGGAGGCCCAAACGCCACCCACAGTTTGTTACTCCACTGGGTGGGACCCGGCACCCCTGCCTTCCTGACACCCTGGAGTCCCTGCCTCTTCCTAGAGCCCCCAAGCCCATCTGCCTCAGAGCATCCAGAGACAGACCTGGGGAGCCATTTCCTCAGGCCCTGGACAAGGAAACAGGGAATTCCAGGTTATGGGTGCCTGGGGCAGGTCTCAGGCAGGTGCTGGGAACCAGAGAGAGGGGTCACCGCGAGGCCTCAGGCCTGGCACCAGCACTTTGAGCCTCAGTTTACCAGCCCACGAGGTGCTGAGTCTGGACTGGATGACCTTCCCACCCCCAGTGACCTCTGCCCTTTCCCGAGCATGTCAGCTCTGCTCCAGCATCCTGGTGTGAGCGCAATGCCACTTTTTTTCTCAACAAATACGAAAGGAGGAAGGTGCCCCCAGGGCCCTGTGCCCTGAGGATGCCTGTGTGGAGGGGTCCATTTCATCACTGGTGTCACTCACAGGAAGGGACGAAGCCACCTGCCTTGACGGAGCTTACTCCACCTCCGCCGAAGGCCGGGGAGGTCCCTCACAGAGAACCTGAGGCCCAGCAGGCTGCAGAGGTGCTGGCATGGAATGACTGCTCAGACGCCCGGGGCCGGCAGAGAGGACGGATGTGGGGGAGGTGCACACTGAGGAGCCTCTCCTTGGAGGTGGAGACACGTGCACCACATGGACCAGGACACAGTCCACGAAGCCTCGCATCCCCCTGAGCTGCAGCTCAAGGGCCTCTCTCTGAGCCCAGAGTCCCACCCCTGGGAGGCAGCTGCCCCAGCTCTGAGGGAGGAGGGCATCCACCAGGCCCTCCATCTCCTGGGGGCACCAGCCCAGCCCAGAGGCTCTGCAGGACTCTGCACCTCCAATTCATGGCCAGGACTTTCTGGATGTATCTTAAGGACTGAGGACTCCACATCAGGGACCACACAAGACCGGGGTCCCGGACACGGGGGTTGGGGGTGAGCATGTCACCGGGATGGGCTGTGGCGTCACTCTGGTACTTCATCCGGACAGCCAGGGACCAAAGCCACGCCCTCAGCCCCACCCCACCCCTGCCTCACATGGCAACGCAGGGTCTGCAGATGCAGGAGAGTGAGAAGCATGGTAGCCAGGCAGACTAGAGGACCCGAGCTGGGGTTGAGCACCTCCCTGTCTACCCAGGGCATGGCCTGTGAGACTGCAGGTGGCCTAGTGTGTGCTGCAGGCTCAAGGTCCTGCCCCAGGGAGCATGACATTCAGGCCCAGAAATTGCATCGTGCTGCACACAGTCCAAGGGGATAACCCTGTGAAGTTCAGGTCACCAGCAGGCTTGGGGTCAAGACCGAGCTGCAGAGGACAGGTTTCTGGAAGGCACAGCATCATGGGTGGAGGGACTTGGAGCAAGGTCCTTAGCCCCGGGACCAGTGAATGTGTGCCCTTATAGGGAAAGGGGGTCTTTGCAGAAGCAAGTTAGCTGAAAATCATGAAGTGGAGAGGCTCCCCTGGATTAAAGGGGTGAGCCCTAATGTAATCACAAGTGTCCTTCTAGGAGGTTGGCAGAGGGAGACTGACATAGACAGAAGCCAGGTGAGGTGGGAAGCGGAGGCAGAGGCCGAGAGAGCAGACGCTACGCCCTGGCCCTGAAGACGGAGGAGGAGCCGAGAGCTCAGGGATGGAGAGACTGGAGGAGGCAGGGAAGTTCTCCCCGCAAGCCTGGAGGGAGCATGGCCTCCAGCACCCCCAGACCTTGGCCCTGCAGGATTCATCTGGACCTGTGGTATAAATGGTGTTTAAGCCACTGGGCTGTGCAAATTGTCATAGCAGCCATGGCGCATTCCTAGAGGGAGCCCTGGTGGGGACCCAGCAGGCAGCGACGGGGCCCTCACAAGCCTGTGAGCCACTCAGAGCCGCGAGAGTGGCTAGGCTTGGTGAGGTGCAGGCCACGCGCACCTCCACTAAGGCAGCCTTAGGGCCCACACTTCCTCTCTCTCTCTCTCTCTCTCTCTCTCTATCTCTCTCCCTCCCTCCTTCCCTCCCTCCCGCTCTCTTGGTTGGACAGCTCTCCATCATCCCCCTGGACACGACCACCTCCCAAGGCCGAGCTGGGGCGCTTTGCTCGAGGTGAGCACTGACATCCTGGGGGTGTGAGGGGCACCTGCCCAGCGGCCCCGTGTGCAGGATGGGCGGTGGGCCCTAGCTGGCACTGGGCATATGGCCCGGCTGGTGCCTGCAGGCTGCAGCTTTTCTGGGGTGGCTGGGATCAGTGAAGGCCTCCAGAGTCTGGGCCTGGGATCCCTGCAGTGCTGGCTGAGGACAGGCGGGGCTGGGCAGTGAGGGCACTGGGTCACTATCACCACCCACGGTTTATTACTTCACTAGGTGGGACCTGGCACCCCTGCCTTCCTGACACCCTGGAATCCCTGCCTCCTCCTACAGCCCCCAAGCCCATCTCCCTCAGAGCCTCCAGAGACAGACCTGGGGAGGCATTTCTTCTGCCCCCAGCAGAAGCCCGGGAGGCCGGGAAGGCACAGTGGGTCTAAAGGAGAGGATCCCAGGACTGCCTGAGGGGTGACTCCGACGAGGCAAGCATAGAGCCCACTGAGAAGCGGGGTGGGAGCCCCACCAGGGATGGGCTAGTTCCTCATGAAGGACCAGGACCCAGGAAGGACAAGGGGGCCTGCTGGGGCAGGGTCTGCTATGCCGGAGTCCCTGTGAGCCTGGCCCAGACCTGCCTCTCTCTTTCCTCATTGGTCCCCACAGGTCCGTGGTGGTTGCCGTATCGGGAGGCCCCATGGTGGCAGGGGTGGGACACCTGGTATACGTCGCCAGGTGTGTCCAATAGGCTCATGCTCACACCTTCTCCTGGCACCTGGGCAAAGCCTGAGCACCCAGGCACTGAAGTGAGGGCAAGGCCTCGGGGCCCCACAGGATGGCCGAGGAGACAGCTGCAGGGCGCCTGGGACCCCTGGGCTCAGGAGGTAGAAGGATACAGCCTGAAAACCCACACCACAAGCTCACCGGCCAGTGCAGGCCCACAGAGCTCGAGGAGGCAGCCCTGAGCCTCCCAGGGAGAGATGCTCTGTGCACGCCGGCACAGGCCCTGGGTTACAAACCCTAGGCACAGCCCAGGAGAGGCCCAGGCCCCAGTCCAGCAAGGGGTTGCAGGAAGCAAGAGGTCCCCGGCCACAGCATGAGATAAGCCCATCAAGCCAGGGCCAGGTGGGCAATGGGAGGCAGGCAGGGCTTGGGGGTGAGTCCCTGCTGCAGCGCCGTCCACTGTCGACCGGAGGAGTTTCTTCCCTGTGCGGAGTCCACGGGCCTCCTGTGAGTGTGTGCATGGGCACAAGTGTGTGTGTGGCTCTGCTGTGTGTCTGTACACACGTATGTTTTGGGTTTTTTTGTGTCTCAGACCACAGAGTCTGCCCCTCCCACCAAAGCCCAGGCAGAAGGATGAACCCACGCCCCTGGGGCCCAGGCCTCAGCAGCCTCTGCAGGATCATTGTTCCCAGTTGTCACTTGCCTTTGCCACAGCCCTATTTCTCCACAATTCCTTAAAGTCCTCAACATGCATTTAAGGCACAAAGGTGAAACTGCCCAGAAACATCTGACTCCGCCGTGGAACCCAGGAGCAAGCTGGGTTAGCTAAGGAGCGGGGCCGTTGGCAGAGGCTGGGGATCCAGGCTGAACTTTGGAGGAGGCATGTGCCAGCATGGGCTCCTGACTATGTCCTCCTGGGACAAACCCAAACCCACTCTTTGAATATGGGAGGGACTTTGCTGGCCCCGGCCCTGACCGCAGCACTTGGAAACTGAGGAGTGGTCGCCTCCTCCGTGTCACAGCTGCCCGTTCACCATCATAGAAGCAACTCTGTCACCTCCATGGGCCCCTCTGTGGCTGCTGCCTGGGTCCAAGCTGAGCCCAGCTGCCCAGGCCCAGAAGGAAAGCCCAGGCCAGGTGCCCAGCACAGAGGCAGTCACATACCCCGGGGAGAGCCACAGCAAGCAGCCAATGTTGCCCAGGAGAGGAGTAGCTGACAAGGTAGAACGTGAGCTGCCATCGGCTCGAGAGGCTTTGCTGGTCCTCCTGGGGCTCTGGACATGACCAGGAGGAGCGAGGGAAGAAGTCGCATGGTGGTCCCATCCTGGGTGGGGCCTGATGGCAGCTGGCCACCCGTCCCAGAGTGGCAGCCAGATGCCAGCGCCATTCCCACAGTCACATCATTGGTCACAGAATGCAGGACATAGAGTGTCTTCTTTCCATCACAGTGCTGTCCAGACCCATAGCCTAGGGTAGACCTGGAAGATTCAATGTCCACACCCGGGGCTGGAGCGTAGCCATGAGCCACGCCCCCTGCCCGTGCATGGAAAGCCAGCCCAAGCTCTGCTCCATCCCTAGCCAAAGTCAGTGTCCTTTCCCCTTCTCCCAAGTGAGCTCTAGCCACCTGCCTACCCTGCCATCTGAGGATGACAGCCTTCATTCCATTGGAACCTGGCTCTGCCACCAGCAGGCTTGCAGTCCTGGGCAGACTCCGTCACCTCTCTATGCCTCAGCCTTTCCATCTGCACAGGAGGAAGATGATGATGGTGGTGATGATGATGGCGATGGTTTCCTTTTGCATCTGAGGCAAGGACTAATTGAGATGATACACATCAGGCACTGGGTATGGTGCTGGTCCTTCCTGAGCACTCAATCTATGTGAGCTGTCCTTGTGAAATGGGTGTCACCACATTTCCCCACGCAGAACATCCTTTGTCTGCCATACTTGAAACGTCTGCCCCAATACTAACAGCTCCTCATGGAAGATGTGCACACCCACCCACCCTCATACTCCCAAAGGTGCCCGTGCTTTATCAAGCCAAAGTCCAGCCAGGAACTTTACAGCAGCATCCCTTTCCCTCTCCAAGCACCAAGGAGCAAGGCAAAGCACTACATCTTCCATCTGGAGGCAATGCCACCCTCTTCTCCCATTTTCACTGCCATCCCTAAGAGGCAGTGCTTCCCCAAAAGGTTCCATAGCAGCCTGCCTACAGCAACTCTGTTCACACGAGTTTCAGCATCCTTGCAGTGGCTCCCCTGCCATGCTGTGGCTCTTCATTCACCCTCTTCTCCTGCTCCCCGTGACAGGCATAGATTCTGAGTGATCTGGATACATTGCTTTGTTTAATAACATTACAGCTTCTGTGCTGAAAAAGATACAGCAGATAGAGAAGGCAATTGTTGAACACAAAATAGTGACAGCAGAGATGACGGCAAGTTGGCATTTTTCTTTTCTAGCAATAAAACTTAAAGCTGACTCAAGGAGAAATGGAAATCATAATTGGAACAGTAATCCTCAAGAAAGCATTAAGATTATTAAATAATTGCCCTCACAGATGACTTCAGGCCAAGATGGCTTTATGGGTGAAGTTTAGACTTTCACAAAACTAATCAGTTCCCATAAGAACTGCTCCAGGATTTGGAGGAACATGGGAAAGTCTATTAAAGGGATCACAATTCACAGTCCCCAGAGTAAAACATGGGCTAACTTGCATTTTGGCAAAGAGCCAAATGTTATAAATGACATCCTAGAAGGCCAAATTCTGTCCATCTCGTTGAACAAGGACTTACACCAGGAATTTAGAACTATTTATAGCTCATCCCACCACTCAGGCCAATGATGACCCATGATCATCTCACCAGAAATGGAAAGACTCAGATGATTAATAGAGTCTCAATTTCTCTGAGACATCTAAGAGCCCAGCCCAAGCCCAGACCCAGGAGGGCACCCAGGCCTGGACAGAGAACACTGATATCACACCAGCCCTCCAGAGGGAAGCAGAGACTCCTTCAAGCTCTGGAAACACAGGCCCAGACAGCTGCCTAAAGTTGGGCAGGCTTCACTGCAAACCCAAATCATGAAGCTAGGTAACACCTTTACAGATTCTTTACATTTAAAAATCATCAAAACAAGAGTAAATAATAAACTCAAATAATATTAATCTAATATGTAAAGGTCTTGTACCATTATTATGCAAACAACATACATAAGCTAATAAGAAAAAGAACAAATCCCTTAAGAAATCGGCAAAAAGGATATAACACAATTTCTAAAAGAAAACAAATGGCTAGCACACATAAGGAAAACACTTTGTGAACAGACATTCTTCAGAACATTATTTATAATTATAAAATAGTTGAAAGCAAGATAGTGCCTGAAGAAATTATGGTGCATACATTAGTGGGACTATTCTGCAAACATTCCCAATTATACTTGTCACATATCTGTGATAACGTGACAGCCAGCATTCATGGGGTGACCTCATTTGGTAAAAGGGTGCAAAGCTCAACACGCATTGTGAGATGACTGTGGTGTAAAATTAGTGGGATTATTCCGCAAACATTCCCAATTATACTTACCGCATATCTGTGATAACATGACAGCATTCATGGGGTGACCTCATTTGGTAAAAGGGTGCAAAGCTCAACACGCATTGTGAGATGACTGGTGTAAATACAAAGACCAAACTGTGAAAAGGAGTCCATCAATTAATCGATGCTTACCTTCAGTTTTGGGCTAATTTTTAAAGTATGCTATAAGCATATGCTCCTGTTATAACAGAATGGAGGGATTATGAGAGATGATGCAGGTGTGTCCTGGGCCTCCCCTGGCCCACTGGGCCCTAGAGATGCCTTCCCAGGCATCGCTGTCAGGGCTTCCCTCAGAGGGAGTCCTGTATTGACCTCACCACCAAGGTCTGGAGCAGGGGATCCTTAGATATTGGTTGGGGTTATCTCACCTTAGGTCTGAATTTGGGGTTGTCTTAGACTGTTTTGTGCTGTTAGAATAGAATACCCAAGACTGGGAAATTTATACTGAACGGAAATTTATTTCTCACAGTTCTAGAGGCTGTGAAGTCCAAGAGCACAGGTGCCAGAGCAAGTCCAAGAGCAAGGGAAAGTCCAAAGCAAGTCCAGGAGCATCTGGCGAGGACCTTCTTGCTGTGTCATCACATGGCGGAAGGCAAGAAAGAGAGCAAGAGGGGGCCGAACTCACCCTTTTATAACAGCACCAATCCCACCCATGAGGTGGGGACCTTATGACCTAATCACTCTTCATACTGTTACAATGGCAATGAAATTTCAACATGAGTTTTGGAGGAGAGAAGCATTCAAACCACAGCAAGGGTGCTCCTACCTCCTCTCTCAGGGCATCTGCAGAAAGAGCTGCAACTGCACGTCCTTCCTCCGTCCATCCTCCATCCCTTCCCAATGTCCGTGCATATCCTGTGACCCAGGAGGTCTGGCATAGGGGGTGCTCCTGCCTTAGGTCTGAGGCCCTGTCTGAAGAGGGGTAGGTGAGGAGGCCATCTGATGGTCTGGGCCAAGACAGTCACAGGACGCATCATTTATCATCAAGGAGGCTGAGGGTTGAGTCTCCAGGTCCAGGGAACTCCCCACAAAGTGGGAACCCTGCCCAGCTCCACACAGCCTCTGCTGGGGGACCCTGCTCTGGTGCAGAGCCTGGGGACAGGTCTTGAGCTCAGCCAGAGTCTGCCTCCCTGTCATTTAGGAACTAAACCAAGCGGCAGGATGCTGGAGCCCAGCCCCCATCTGACCTTACAGGGCCAAGGCTGGGGCCCTGGGTTCCCCTCAAGGCGCAGCAGGACTGGAGCCCCAGGCAGTGCAGGAGTGGCCAAAGCTGGGGCTTCCTCCAGAGCCCCCAAGCATCACGGCACCAAGAAGGGTAGGACCCTGGCCTGAGGAATTGGCACCAAAGCCCCAGAAACTACCCTGGACACCATGGAGAGAGGCCTGGAGGGGAAGCACCAGGCACTGCCTCCCCTTCTGATCCCACCTGAGGTGGCTGCCAAGCCCAGAGAGCCGCTCTGATGTCCCCCAGCCCTGCAGCCCAGGGATACCTGTACTGTGCCCCTGGGGGACCCCTGGCCAGTCTGTGCAAAGAAGTCACCACCCTACACTCAGAGACAGTGGGGGTCCTCGTCCCACATCCTCAGAGCATGGCCCGGCTGCTGCAGGGATGGTCTCCTGGTCCTCAGAGCATGGCCCGGCTGCTGCAGGGATGGTCTCCTGGTCCTCAGAGCATGGCCCAGCTGCTGCAGGGATGGTCTCCTGGAGGCCCCCCAGTGCTCTATTGTCAGGGCTCCCTCCACCCCCCGCACCAAGAGAGAGCCAGACCCCAGCAAGGCTTCCAGTGGCTTCAGGTCACACCCCTAGGCTGACCCCAGCCCCATTAACACCTGCCTGAGAAAGCTCCACGCACCAGAACTGACCGTCTGCTCCAACTCTTGACCTCCCGTTCTCAGGGCGTCTGCTGAAAAGGCTGCAACTGCACATCCTTCCTCCGTCCGTTCCCGATGTCCGTGTGTCTCCTGTGGCCAGGAAGGTCTTTCTCGGGACCTGAGAGCCGCTCCCTGAAGTGTCCCCATTGGGAAGGATGGGGCCTGTGTCTCCAGGCTCTGGGAGGACAGAATCCTGACCTCAACAGTGGCCGGCACGGACACAACTGGCCCCATCCCGGGGACGCTGACCAGCGCTGGGCAACTTTTCCCTTCCCCGACGACTGAGCCCCGAGCACCCTCCCTGCTCCCCTACCACCTCCCTTTACAAGGCTGTGGCCTCTGCACAGATGATAATGGAGCTTGGCTCATTCCCCTAGAGTCGGTAGGGAGTTAAGGACAAAACTCAGTTTCCTCCACCTGAACTCAAGTCTGCCTATGTTTACCTAATCACACCTGGTGGACAGTTTGGACAAACTTGCACACTCAGAGACACAGACACTTCTAGAAATCATTATCTCCCTGCCCCGGGGACCCCACTCCAGCAGAAGTCTGCTAGGCACTGGCCTGGGCCCTCCTGCTGTCCTAGGAGGCTGCTGACCTCCTGCCTGGCTCCTGTCCCCAGGTCCAGAGTCAGAGCAGACTCCAGGGACGCTGCAGGCTAGGAAGCCGCCCCCTCCAGGCGAGGGTCTAGTGCAGGTGCCCAGGACAAGAAAGATTGTGAATGCAGGAATGACTGGGCCACACCCCTCCCGTGCACGCCCCCTCCTGCCCTGCACCCCACAGCCCAGCCCCCCGTGCTGGATGCCCCCCCACAGCAGAGGTGCTGTTCTGTGATCCCCTGGGAAAGACGCCCTCAACCTCCACCCTGTCCCACGGCCCAAGGAAGACAAGACACAGGCCCTCTCCTCACAGTCTCCCCACCTGGCTCCTGCTGGGACCCTCAAGGTGTGAACAGGGAGGATGGTTGTCTGGGTGGCCCCTAGGAGCCCAGATCTTCACTCCACAGACCCCAACCCAAGCACCCCCTTCTGCAGGGCCCAGCTCATCCCCCTCCTCCTCCCTCTGCTCTCCTCTCGTCGCCTCTACGGGAAATCCGGGACTCAGCAGTAACCCTCAGGAAGCAGGGCCCAGGCGCCGTTTAATAGGAGGCTTCCTCACAATGAAACTTTTAGAAAGCCTTGACTACAATGATGACCTTGGTGTGGCTGTGAACACTGTCAGCTCCCACAGCTGCTGCAGCAAAAAATGTCCATAGACAGGGTGGGGGCCCGGGGTCGTCTGCTGTCCTGCTCAGCCCACAGCACGCATGGAGGATCTGAGGTGCCACACCTGACGCCCAGGCCAGAACATGCCTCCCTCCAGGGTGACCTGCCATGTCCTGCATTGCTGGAGGGACAGGGGCAGCCTATGAGGATCTGGGGCCAGGAGATGAATCCTATTAACCCAGAGGAAAACTAACAGGACCCAAGCACCCTCCCCGTTGAAGCTGACCTGCCCAGAGGGGCCTGGGCCCACCCCACACACCGGGGCGGAATGTGTACAGGCCCCGGTCTCTGTGGGTGTTCCGCTAACTGGGGCTCCCAGTGCTCACCCCACAACTAAAGCGAGCCCCAGCCTCCAGAGCCCCCGAAGGAGATGCCGCCCACAAGCCCAGCCCCCATCCAGGAGGCCCCAGAGCTCAGGGCGCCGGGGCAGATTCTGAACAGCCCCGAGTCACGGTGGGTACAACTGGAACGACCACCGTGAGAAAAACTGTGTCCAAAACTCTCTCCTGGCCCCTGCTGGAGGCCGCGCCAGAGAGGGGAGCAGCCGCCCCGAACCTAGGTCCTGCTCAGCTCACACGACCCCCAGCAGCCAGAGCACAGTGGAGTCCCCACTGAACCCCACTGAATGGTGAGGACGGGGACCAGGGCTCCAGGGGGTCATGGAAGGGGCTGGACCCCATCCTACTGCTATGGTCCCAGTGCTCCTGGCCAGAACTGACCCTACCACCGACAAGAGTCCCTCAGGGAAACGGGGGTCACTGGCACCTCCCAGCATCAACCCCAGGCAGCACAGGCATAAACCCCACATCCAGAGCCGACTCCAGGAGCAGAGACACCCCAGTACCCTGGGGGACACCGACCCTGATGACTCCCCACTGGAATCCACCCCAGAGTCCACCAGGACCAAAGACCCCGCCCCGGTCTCTGTCCCTCACTCAGGACCTGCTGCGGGGCGGGCCATGAGACCAGACTCGGGCTTAGGGAACACCACTGTGGCCCCAACCTCGACCAGGCCACAGGCCCTTCCTTCCTGCCCTGCGGCAGCACAGACTTTGGGGTCTGTGCAGAGAGGAATCACAGAGGCCCCAGGCTGAGGTGGTGGGGGTGGAAGACCCCCAGGAGGTGGCCCACTTCCCTTCCTCCCAGCTGGAACCCACCATGACCTTCTTAAGATAGGGGTGTCATCCGAGGCAGGTCCTCCATGGAGCTCCCTTCAGGCTCCTCCCTGGTCCTCACTAGGCCTCAGTCCCGGCTGTGGGAATGCAGCCACCACAGGCACACCAGGCAGCCCAGACCCAGCCAGCCTGCAGTGCCCAAGCCCACATTCTGGAGCAGAGCAGGCTGTGTCTGGGAGAGTCTGGGCTCCCCACCGCCCCCCGCACACCCCACCCACCCCTGTCCAGGCCCTATGCAGGAGGGTCAGAGCCCCCCATGGGGTATGGACTTAGGGTCTCACTCACGCGGCTCCCCTCCTGGGTGAAGGGGTCTCATGCCCAGATCCCCACAGCAGAGCTGGTCAAAGGTGGAGGCAGTGGCCCCAGGGCCACCCTGACCTGGACCCTCAGGCTCCTCTAGCCCTGGCTGCCCTGCTGTCCCTGGGAGGCCTGGACTCCACCAGACCACAGGTCCAGGGCACCGCCCATAGGTGCTGCCCACACTCAGTTCACAGGAAGAAGATAAGCTCCAGACCCCCAAGACTGGGACCTGCCTTCCTGCCACCGCTTGTAGCTCCAGACCTCCGTGCCTCCCCCGACCACTTACACACGGGCCAGGGAGCTGTTCCACAAAGATCAACCCCAAACCGGGACCGCCTGGCACTCGGGCCGCTGCCACTTCCCTCTCCATTTGCTCCCAGCACCTCTGTGCTCCCTCCCTCCTCCCTCCTTCAGGGGAACAGCCTGTGCAGCCCCTCCCTGCACCCCACACCCTGGGGAGGCCCAACCCTGCCTCCAGCCCTTTCTCCCCCGCTGCTCTTCCTGCCCATCCAGACAACCCTGGGGTCCCATCCCTGCAGCCTACACCCTGGTCTCCACCCAGACCCCTGTCTCTCCCTCCAGACACCCCTCCCAGGCCAACCCTGCACATGCAGGCCCTCCCCTTTTCTGCTGCCAGAGCCTCAGTTTCTACCCTCTGTGCCTACCCCCTGCCTCCTCCTGCCCACAACTCGAGCTCTTCCTCTCCTGGGGCCCCTGAGCCATGGCACTGACCGTGCACTCCCACCCCCACACTGCCCATGCCCTCACCTTCCTCCTGGACACTCTGACCCTGCTCCCCTCTTGGACCCAGCCCTGGTATTTCCAGGACAAAGGCTCACCCAAGTCTTCCCCATGCAGGCCCTTGCCCTCACTGCCCGGTTACACGGCAGCCTCCTGTGCACAGAAGCAGGGAGCTCAGCCCTTCCACAGGCAGAAGGCACTGAAAGAAATCGGCCTCCAGCACCCTGATGCACGTCCGCCTGTGTCTCTCACTGCCCGCACCTGCAGGGAGGCTCGGCACTCCCTGTAAAGACGAGGGATCCAGGCAGCAACATCATGGGAGAATGCAGGGCTCCCAGACAGCCCAGCCCTCTCGCAGGCCTCTCCTGGGAAGAGACCTGCAGCCACCACTGAACAGCCACGGAGCCCGCTGGATAGTAACTGAGTCAGTGACCGACCTGGAGGGCAGGGGAGCAGTGAACCGGAGCCCAGACCATAGGGACAGAGACCAGCCGCTGACATCCCGAGCCCCTCACTGGCGGCCCCAGAACACCGCGTGGAAACAGAACAGACCCACATTCCCACCTGGAACAGGGCAGACACTGCTGAGCCCCCAGCACCAGCCCTGAGAAACACCAGGCAACGGCATCAGAGGGGGCTCCTGAGAAAGAAAGGAGGGGAGGTCTCCTTCACCAGCAAGTACTTCCCTTGACCAAAAACAGGGTCCACGCAACTCCCCCAGGACAAAGGAGGAGCCCCCTGTACAGCACTGGGCTCAGAGTCCTCTCCAACACACCCTGAGTTTCAGACAAAAACCCCCTGGAAATCATAGTATCAGCAGGAGAACTAGCCAGAGACAGCAAGAGGGGACTCAGTGACTCCCGCGGGGACAGGAGGATTTTGTGGGGGCTCGTGTCACTGTGAGGATATTGTAGTAGTACCAGCTGCTATGCCCACAGTGACACAGCCCCATTCCCAAAGCCCTGCTGTAAACGCTTCCACTTCTGGAGCTGAGGGGCTGGGGGGAGCGTCTGGGAAGTAGGGCCTAGGGGTGGCCATCAATGCCCAAAACGCACCAGACTCCCCCCCAGACATCACCCCACTGGCCAGTGAGCAGAGTAAACAGAAAATGAGAAGCAGCTGGGAAGCTTGCACAGGCCCCAAGGAAAGAGCTTTGGCGGGTGTGCAAGAGGGGATGCGGGCAGAGCCTGAGCAGGGCCTTTTGCTGTTTCTGCTTTCCTGTGCAGATAGTTCCATAAACTGGTGTTCAAGATCGATGGCTGGGAGTGAGCCCAGGAGGACAGTGTGGGAAGGGCACAGGGAAGGAGAAGCAGCCGCTATCCTACACTGTCATCTTTCAAGAGTTTGCCCTGTGCCCACAATGCTGCATCATGGGATGCTTAACAGCTGATGTAGACACAGCTAAAGAGAGAATCAGTGAAATGGATTTGCAGCACAGATCTGAATAAATTCTCCAGAATGTGGAGCCACACAGAAGCAAGCACAAGGAAAGTGCCTGATGCAAGGGCAAAGTACAGTGTGTACCTTCAGGCTGGGCACAGACACTCTGAAAAGCCTTGGCAGGAACTCCCTGCAACAAAGCAGAGCCCTGCAGGCAATGCCAGCTCCAGAGCCCTCCCTGAGAGCCTCATGGGCAAAGATGTGCAGAACATATGTTTGTCATAGCCCCAAACTGAGAATGAAGCAAACAGCCATCTGAAGGAAAACAGGCAAATAAACGATGGCAGGTTCATGAAATGCAAACCCAGACAGCCAGAAGGACAACAGTGAGGGTTACAGGTGACTCTGTGGTTGAGTTCATGACAATGCTGAGTAATTGGAGTAACAAAGGAAAGTCCAAAAAATACTTTCAATGTGATTTCTTCTAAATAAAATTTACAGCCGGCAAAATGAACTATCTTCTTAAGGGATAAACTTTCCACTAGGAAAACTATAAGGAAAATCAAGAAAAGGATGATCACATAAACACAGTGGTCGTTACTTCTACTGGGGAAGGAAGAGGGTATGAACTGAGACACACAGGGTTGGCAAGTCTCCTAACAAGAAGAGAACAAATACATTACAGTACCTTGAAAACAGCAGTTAAAATTCTAAATTGCAAGAAGAGGAAAATGCACACAGCTGTGTTTAGAAAATTCTCAGTCCAGCACTGTTCATAATAGCAAAGACATTAACCCAGGTTGGATAAATAAACGATGACACAGGCAATTGCACAATGATACAGACATACATTCAGTATATGAGACATTGATGATGTATCCCCAAAGAAATGACTTTAAAGAGAAAAGGCCTGATATGTGGTGGCACTCACCTCCCTGGGCATCCCCGGACAGGCTGCAGGCACACTGTGTGGCAGGGCAGGCTGGTACCTGCTGGCAGCTCCTGGGGCCTGATGTGGAGCAGGCACAGAGCCGTATCCCCCCGAGGACATATACCCCCAAGGACGGCACAGTTGGTACATTCCGGAGACAAGCAACTCAGCCACACTCCCAGGCCAGAGCCCGAGAGGGACGCCCATGCACAGGGAGGCAGAGCCCAGCTCCTCCACAGCCAGCAGCACCTGTGCAGGGGCCGCCATCTGGCAGGCACAGAGCATGGGCTGGGAGGAGGGGCAGGGACACCAGGCAGGGTTGGCACCAACTGAAAATTACAGAAGTCTCATACATCTACCTCAGCCTTGCCTGACCTGGGCCTCACCTGACCTGGACCTCACCTGGCCTGGACCTCACCTGGCCTAGACCTCACCTCTGGGCTTCACCTGAGCTCGGCCTCACCTGACTTGGACCTTGCCTGTCCTGAGCTCACATGATCTGGGCCTCACCTGACCTGGGTTTCACCTGACCTGGGCTTCACCTGACCTGGGCCTCATCTGACCTGGGCCTCACTGGCCTGGACCTCACCTGGCCTGGGCTTCACCTGGCCTCAGGCCTCATCTGCACCTGCTCCAGGTCTTGCTGGAACCTCAGTAGCACTGAGGCTGCAGGGGCTCATCCAGGGTTGCAGAATGACTCTAGAACCTCCCACATCTCAGCTTTCTGGGTGGAGGCACCTGGTGGCCCAGGGAATATAAAAAGCCTGAATGATGCCTGCGTGATTTGGGGGCAATTTATAAACCCAAAAGGACATGGCCATGCAGCGGGTAGGGACAATACAGACAGATATCAGCCTGAAATGGAGCCTCAGGGCACAGGTGGGCACGGACACTGTCCACCTAAGCCAGGGGCAGACCCGAGTGTCCCCGCAGTAGACCTGAGAGCGCTGGGCCCACAGCCTCCCCTCGGTGCCCTGCTACCTCCTCAGGTCAGCCCTGGACATCCCGGGTTTCCCCAGGCCTGGCGGTAGGTTTGGGGTGAGGTCTGTGTCACTGTGGTATTACGATTTTTGGAGTGGTTATTATACCCACAGTGTCACAGAGTCCATCAAAAACCCATCCCTGGGAACCTTCTGCCACAGCCCTCCCTGTGGGGCACCGCTGCGTGCCATGTTAGGATTTTGACTGAGGACACAGCACCATGGGTATGGTGGCTACCGCAGCAGTGCAGCCTGTGACCCAAACACACAGGGCAGCAGGCACAACAGACAAGCCCACAAGTGACCACCCTGAGCTCCTGCCTGCCAGCCCTGGAGACCATGAAACAGATGGCCAGGATTATCCCATAGGTCAGCCAGACCTCAGTCCAACAGGTCTGCATCGCTGCTGCCCTCCAATACCAGTCCGGATGGGGACAGGGCCGGCCCACATTACCATTTGCTGCCATCCGGCCAACAGTCCCAGAAGCCCCTCCCTCAAGGCTGGGCCACATGTGTGGACCCTGAGAGCCCCCCATGTCTGAGTAGGGGCACCAGGAAGGTGGGGCTGGCCCTGTGCACTGTCACTGCCCCTGTGGTCCCTGGCCTGCCTGGCCCTGACACCTGGGCCTCTCCTGGGTCATTTCCAAGACAGAAGACATTCCCAGGACAGCTGGAGCTGGGAGTCCATCATCCTGCCTGGCCATCCTGAGTCCTGCGCCTTTCCAAACCTCACCCGGGAAGCCAACAGAGGAATCACCTCCCACAGGCAGAGACAAAGACCTTCCAGAAATCTCTGTCTCTCTCCCCAGTGGGCACCCTCTTCCAGGGCAGTCCTCAGTGATATCACAGTGGGAACCCACATCTGGATCGGGACTGCCCCCAGAACACAAGATGGCCCACAGGGACAGCCCCACAGCCCAGCCCTTCCCAGACCCCTAAAAGGCGTCCCACCCCCTGCATCTGCCCCAGGGCTCAAACTCCAGGAGGACTGACTCCTGCACACCCTCCTGCCAGACATCACCTCAGCCCCTCCTGGAAGGGACAGGAGCGCGCAAGGGTGAGTCAGACCCTCCTGCCCTCGATGGCAGGCGGAGAAGATTCAGAAAGGTCTGAGATCCCCAGGACGCAGCACCACTGTCAATGGGGGCCCCAGACGCCTGGACCAGGGCCTGCGTGGGAAAGGCCTCTGGGCACACTCAGGGGCTTTTTGTGAAGGGTCCTCCTACTGTGTGACTACAGTAACTACCACAGTGATGAACCCAGCAGCAAAAACTGACCGGACTCCCAAGGTTTATGCACACTTCTCCGCTCAGAGCTCTCCAGGATCAGAAGAGCCGGGCCCAAGGGTTTCTGCCCAGACCCTCGGCCTCTAGGGACATCTTGGCCATGACAGCCCATGGGCTGGTGCCCCACACATCGTCTGCCTTCAAACAAGGGCTTCAGAGGGCTCTGAGGTGACCTCACTGATGACCACAGGTGCCCTGGCCCCTTCCCCGCCAGCTGCACCAGACCCCGTCCTGACAGATGCCCCGATTCCAACAGCCAATTCCTGGGGCCAGGAATCGCTGTAGACACCAGCCTCCTTCCAACACCTCTTGCCAATTGCCTGGATTCCCATCCCGGTTGGAATCAAGAGGACAGCATCCCCCAGGCTCCCAACAGGCAGGACTCCCACACCCTCCTCTGAGAGGCCGCTGTGTTCCGTAGGGCCAGGCTGCAGACAGTCCCCCTCACCTGCCACTAGACAAATGCCTGCTGTAGATGTCCCCACCTGGAAAAGACCACTCATGGAGCCCCCAGCCCCAGGTACAGCCATAGAGAGAGTCTCTGAGGCCCCTAAGAAGTAGCCATGCCCAGTTCTGCCGGGACCCTCGGCCAGGCTGACAGGAGTGGACGCTGGAGCTGGGCCCACACTGGGCCACATAGGAGCTCACCAGTGAGGGCAGGAGAGCACATGCCGGGGAGCACCCAGCCTCCTGCTGACCAGAGGCCCGTCCCAGAGCCCAGGAGGCTGCAGAGGCCTCTCCAGGGGGACACTGTGCATGTCTGGTCCCTGAGCAGCCCCCCATGTCCCCAGTCCTGGGGGCCCCTGGCACAGCTGTCTGGACCCTCTCTATTCCCTGGGAAGCTCCTCCTGACAGCCCCGCCTCCAGTTCCAGGTGTGGTTATTGTCAGGGGGTGTCAGACTGTGGTGGATACAGCTATGGTTACCACAGTGGTGCTGCCCATAGCAGCAACCAGGCCAAGTAGACAGGCCCCTGCTGTGCAGCCCCAGGCCTCCAGCTCACCTGCTTCTCCTGGGGCTCTCAAGGCTGCTGTTTTCTGCACTCTCCCCTCTGTGGGGAGGGTTCCCTCAGTGGGAGATCTGTTCTCAACATCCCAGGGCCTCATTCCTGCAAGGAAGGCCAATGGATGGGCAACCTCACATGCCGCGGCTAAGATAGGGTGGGCAGCCTGGCGGGGACAGGACATCCTGCTGGGGTATCTGTCACTGTGCCTAGTGGGGCACTGGCTCCCAAACAACGCAGTCCTCGCCAAAATCCCCACGGCCTCCCCCGCTAGGGGCTGGCCTGATCTCCTGCAGTCCTAGGAGGCTGCTGACCTCCAGAATGGCTCCGTCCCCAGTTCCAGGGCGAGAGCAGATCCCAGGCCGGCTGCAGACTGGGAGGCCACCCCCTCCTTCCCAGGGTTCACTGCAGGTGACCAGGGCAGGAAATGGCCTGAACACAGGGATAACCGGGCCATCCCCCAACAGAGTCCACCCCCTCCTGCTCTGTACCCCGCACCCCCAAGGCCAGCCCATGACATCCGACAACCCCACACCAGAGTCACTGCCCGGTGCTGCCCTAGGGAGGACCCCTCAGCCCCCACCCTGTCTAGAGGACTGGGGAGGACAGGACACGCCCTCTCCTTATGGTTCCCCCACCTGGCTCTGGCTGGGACCCTTGGGGTGTGGACAGAAAGGACGCTTGCCTGATTGGCCCCCAGGAGCCCAGAACTTCTCTCCAGGGACCCCAGCCCGAGCACCCCCTTACCCAGGACCCAGCCCTGCCCCTCCTCCCATCTGCTCTCCTCTCATCACCCCATGGGAATCCAGAATCCCCAGGAAGCCATCAGGAAGGGCTGAGGGAGGAAGTGGGGCCACTGCACCACCAGGCAGGAGGCTCCGTCTTTGTGAACCCAGGGAGGTGCCAGCCTCCTAGAGGGTATGGTCCACCCTGCCTATGGCTCCCACAGTGGCAGGCTGCAGGGAAGGACCAGGGACGGTGTGGGGGAGGGCTCAGGGCCCCGCGGGTGCTCCATCTTGGATGAGCCCATCTCTCTCACCCACGGACTCACCCACCTCCTCTCCACCCTGGCCACACGTCGTCCACACCATCCTAAGTCCCACCTACACCAGAGCCGGCACAGCCAGTGCAGACAGAGGCTGGGGTGCAGGGGGGCCGCCAGGGCAGCTTTGGGGAGGGAAGGATGGAGGAAGGGGAGTTCAGTGAAGAGGCCCCCCTCCCCTGGGTCCAGGATCCTCCTCTGGGACCCCCGGATCCCATCCCCTCCAGGCTCTGGGAGGAGAAGCAGGATGGGAGAATCTGTGCGGGACCCTCTCACAGTGGAATACCTCCACAGCGGCTCAGGCAAGACCCAAAAGCCCCTCAGTGAGCCCTCCACTGCAGTCCTGGGCCTGGGTAGCAGCCCCTCCCACAGAGGATGAACCCAGCACCCCGAGGATGTCCTGCCAGGGGGAGCTCAGAGCCATGAAGGAGCAGGATATGGGACCCCCGATACAGGCACAGACCTCAGCTCCATTCAGGACTGCCACGTCCTGCCCTGGGAGGAACCCCTTTCTCTAGTCCCTGCAGGCCAGGAGGCAGCTGACTCCTGACTTGGACGCCTATTCCAGACACCAGACAGAGGGGCAGGCCCCCCAGAACCAGGGATGAGGACGCCCCGTCAAGGCCAGAAAAGACCAAGTTGTGCTGAGCCCAGCAAGGGAAGGTCCCCAAACAAACCAGGAAGTTTCTGAAGGTGTCTGTGTCACAGTGGAGTATAGCAGCTCGTCCCACAGTGACACTCGCCAGGCCAGAAACCCCATCCCAAGTCAGCGGAATGCAGAGAGAGCAGGGAGGACATGTTTAGGATCTGAGGCCGCACCTGACACCCAGGCCAGCAGACGTCTCCTGTCCATGGCACCCTGCCATGTCCTGCATTTCTGGAAGAACAAGGGCAGGCTGAAGGGGGTCCAGGACCAGGAGATGGGTCCCCTCTACCCAGAGAAGGAGCCAGGCAGGACACAAGCCCCCTCCCCATTGAGGCTGACCTGCCCAGAGGGTCCTGGGCCCACCCCACACACCGGGGCGGAATGTGTGCAGGCCTCGGTCTCTGTGGGTGTTCCGCTAGCTGGGGCTCACAGTGCTCACCCCACACCTAAAACGAGCCACAGCCTCAGAGCCCCTGAAGGAGACCCCGCCCACAAGCCCAGCCCCCACCCAGGAGGCCCCAGAGCACAGGGCGCCCCGTCGGATTCTGAACAGCCCCGAGTCACAGTGGGTATAACTGGAACTACCACTGTGAGAAAAGCTTCGTCCAAAACGGTCTCCTGGCCACAGTCGGAGGCCCCGCCAGAGAGGGGAGCAGCCACCCCAAACCCATGTTCTGCCGGCTCCCATGACCCCGTGCACCTGGAGCCCCACAGTGTCCCCACTGGATGGGAGGACAAGGGCCGGGGGCTCCGGCGGGTCGGGGCAGGGGCTTGATGGCTTCCTTCTGCCGTGGCTCCAGTGCCCCTGGCTGGAGTTGACCCTTCTGACAAGTGTCCTCAGAGAGTCAGGGATCAGTGGCACCTCCCAACATCAACCCCACGCAGCCCAGGCACAAACCCCACATCCAGGGCCAACTCCAGGAACAGAGACACCCCAATACCCTGGGGGACCCCAACCCTGATGACTCCCGTCCCATCTCTGTCCCTCACTTGGGGCCTGCTGCGGGGCGAGCACTTGGGAGCAAACTCAGGCTTAGGGGACACCACTGTGGGCCTGACCTCGAGCAGGCCACAGACCCTTCCCTCCTGCCCTGGTGCAGCACAGACTTTGGGGTCTGGGCAGGGAGGAACTTCTGGCAGGTCACCAAGCACAGAGCCCCCAGGCTGAGGTGGCCCCAGGGGGAACCCCAGCAGGTGGCCCACTACCCTTCCTCCCAGCTGGACCCCATGTCTTCCCCAAGATAGGGGTGCCATCCAAGGCAGGTCCTCCATGGAGCCCCCTTCAGGCTCCTCTCCAGACCCCACTGGGCCTCAGTCCCCACTCTAGGAATGCAGCCACCACGGGCACACCAGGCAGCCCAGGCCCAGCCACCCTGCAGTGCCCAAGCCCACACCCTGGAGGAGAGCAGGGTGCGTCTGGGAGGGGCTGGGCTCCCCACCCCCACCCCCACCTGCACACCCCACCCACCCTTGCCCGGGCCCCCTGCAGGAGGGTCAGAGCCCCCATGGGATATGGACTTAGGGTCTCACTCACGCACCTCCCCTCCTGGGAGAAGGGGTCTCATGCCCAGATCCCCCCAGCAGCGCTGGTCACAGGTAGAGGCAGTGGCCCCAGGGCCACCCTGACCTGGCCCCTCAGGCTCCTCTAGCCCTGGCTGCCCTGCTGTCCCTGGGAGGCCTGGGCTCCACCAGACCACAGGTCTAGGGCACCGCCCACACTGGGGCCGCCCACACACAGCTCACAGGAAGAAGATAAGCTCCAGACCCCCAGGCCCGGGACCTGCCTTGCTGCTACGACTTCCTGCCCCAGACCTCGTTGCCCTCCCCCGTCCACTTACACACAGGCCAGGAAGCTGTTCCCACACAGACCAACCCCAGACGGGGACCACCTGGCACTCAGGTCACTGCCATTTCCTTCTCCATTCACTTCCAATGCCTCTGTGCTTCCTCCCTCCTCCTTCCTTCGGGGGAGCACCCTGTGCAGCTCCTCCCTGCAGTCCACACCCTGGGGAGACCCGACCCTGCAGCCCACACCCTGGGGAGACCTGACCCTCCTCCAGCCCTTTCTCCCCCGCTGCTCTTGCCACCCACCAAGACAGCCCTGGGGTCCTGTCCCTACAGCCCCCACCCAGTTCTCTACCTAGACCCGTCTTCCTCCCTCTAAACACCTCTCCCAGGCCAACCCTACACCTGCAGGCCCTCCCCTCCACTGCCAAAGACCCTCAGTTTCTCCTGCCTGTGCCCACCCCCGTGCTCCTCCTGCCCACAGCTCGAGCTCTTCCTCTCCTAGGGCCCCTGAGGGATGGCATTGACCGTGCCCTCGCACCCACACACTGCCCATGCCCTCACATTCCTCCTGGCCACTCCAGCCCCACTCCCCTCTCAGGCCTGGCTCTGGTATTTCTGGGACAAAGCCTTACCCAAGTCTTTCCCATGCAGGCCTGGGCCCTTACCCTCACTGCCCGGTTACAGGGCAGCCTCCTGTGCACAGAAGCAGGGAGCTCAGCCCTTCCACAGGCAGAAGGCACTGAAAGAAATCGGCCTCCAGCGCCTTGACACACGTCTGCCTGTGTCTCTCACTGCCCGCACCTGCAGGGAGGCTCGGCACTCCCTCTAAAGACGAGGGATCCAGGCAGCAGCATCACAGGAGAATGCAGGGCTACCAGACATCCCAGTCCTCTCACAGGCCTCTCCTGGGAAGAGACCTGAAGACGCCCAGTCAACGGAGTCTAACACCAAACCTCCCTGGAGGCCGATGGGTAGTAACGGAGTCATTGCCAGACCTGGAGGCAGGGGAGCAGTGAGCCCGAGCCCACACCATAGGGCCAGAGGACAGCCACTGACATCCCAAGCCACTCACTGGTGGTCCCACAACACCCCATGGAAAGAGGACAGACCCACAGTCCCACCTGGACCAGGGCAGAGACTGCTGAGACCCAGCACCAGAACCAACCAAGAAACACCAGGCAACAGCATCAGAGGGGGCTCTGGCAGAACAGAGGAGGGGAGGTCTCCTTCACCAGCAGGCGCTTCCCTTGACCGAAGACAGGATCCATGCAACTCCCCCAGGACAAAGGAGGAGCCCCTTGTTCAGCACTGGGCTCAGAGTCCTCTCCAAGACACCCAGAGTTTCAGACAAAAACCCCCTGGAATGCACAGTCTCAGCAGGAGAGCCAGCCAGAGCCAGCAAGATGGGGCTCAGTGACACCCGCAGGGACAGGAGGATTTTGTGGGGGCTCGTGTCACTGTGAGGATATTGTACTAATGGTGTATGCTATACCCACAGTGACACAGCCCCATTCCCAAAGCCCTACTGCAAACGCATTCCACTTCTGGGGCTGAGGGGCTGGGGGAGCGTCTGGGAAATAGGGCTCAGGGGTGTCCATCAATGCCCAAAACGCACCAGACTCCCCTCCATACATCACACCCACCAGCCAGCGAGCAGAGTAAACAGAAAATGAGAAGCAAGCTGGGGAAGCTTGCACAGGCCCCAAGGAAAGAGCTTTGGCGGGTGTGTAAGAGGGGATGCGGGCAGAGCCTGAGCAGGGCCTTTTGCTGTTTCTGCTTTCCTGTGCAGAGAGTTCCATAAACTGGTGTTCGAGATCAATGGCTGGGAGTGAGCCCAGGAGGACAGCGTGGGAAGAGCACAGGGAAGGAGGAGCAGCCGCTATCCTACACTGTCATCTTTCGAAAGTTTGCCTTGTGCCCACACTGCTGCATCATGGGATGCTTAACAGCTGATGTAGACACAGCTAAAGAGAGAATCAGTGAGATGGATTTGCAGCACAGATCTGAATAAATTCTCCAGAATGTGGAGCAGCACAGAAGCAAGCACACAGAAAGTGCCTGATGCAAGGACAAAGTTCAGTGGGCACCTTCAGGCATTGCTGCTGGGCACAGACACTCTGAAAAGCCCTGGCAGGAACTCCCTGTGACAAAGCAGAACCCTCAGGCAATGCCAGCCCCAGAGCCCTCCCTGAGAGCCTCATGGGCAAAGATGTGCACAACAGGTGTTTCTCATAGCCCCAAACTGAGAGCAAAGCAAACGTCCATCTGAAGGAGAACAGGCAAATAAACGATGGCAGGTTCATGAAATGCAAACCCAGACAGCCACAAGCACAAAAGTACAGGGTTATAAGCGACTCTGGTTGAGTTCATGACAATGCTGAGTAATTGGAGTAACAAAGTAAACTCCAAAAAATACTTTCAATGTGATTTCTTCTAAATAAAATTTACACCCTGCAAAATGAACTGTCTTCTTAAGGGATACATTTCCCAGTTAGAAAACCATAAAGAAAACCAAGAAAAGGATGATCACATAAACACAGTGGTGGTTACTTCTGCTGGGGAAGGAAGAGGGTATGAACTGAGATACACAGGGTGGGCAAGTCTCCTAACAAGAACAGAACGAATACATTACAGTACCTTGAAAACAGCAGTTAAACTTCTAAATTGCAAGAAGAGGAAAATGGACACAGTTGTGTTTAGAAAATTCTCAGTCCAGCACTGTTCATAATAGCAAAGACATTAACCCAGGTCGGATAAATAAGCGATGACACAGGCAATTGCACAATGATACAGACATATATTTAGTATATGAGACATCGATGATGTATCCCCAAATAAACGACTTTAAAGAGATAAAGGGCTGATGTGTGGTGGCATTCACCTCCCTGGGATCCCCGGACAGGTTGCAGGCTCACTGTGCAGCAGGGCAGGCGGGTACCTGCTGGCAGTTCCTGGGGCCTGATGTGGAGCAAGCGCAGGGCCATATATCCCGGAGGACGGCACAGTCAGTGAATTCCAGAGAGAAGCAACTCAGCCACACTCCCCAGGCAGAGCCCGAGAGGGACGCCCACGCACAGGGAGGCAGAGCCCAGCACCTCCGCAGCCAGCACCACCTGTGCACGGGCCACCACCTTGCAGGCACAGAGTGGGTGCTGAGAGGAGGGGCAGGGACACCAGGCAGGGTGAGCACCCAGAGAAAACTGCAGACGCCTCACACATCCACCTCAGCCTCCCCTGACCTGGACCTCACTGGCCTGGGCCTCACTTAACCTGGGCTTCACCTGACCTTGGCCTCACCTGACTTGGACCTCGCCTGTCCCAAGCTTTACCTGACCTGGGCCTCAACTCACCTGAACGTCTCCTGACCTGGGTTTAACCTGTCCTGGAACTCACCTGGCCTTGGCTTCCCCTGACCTGGACCTCATCTGGCCTGGGCTTCACCTGGCCTGGGCCTCACCTGACCTGGACCTCATCTGGCCTGGACCTCACCTGGCCTGGACTTCACCTGGCCTGGGCTTCACCTGACCTGGACCTCACCTGGCCTCGGGCCTCACCTGCACCTGCTCCAGGTCTTGCTGGAGCCTGAGTAGCACTGAGGGTGCAGAAGCTCATCCAGGGTTGGGGAATGACTCTAGAAGTCTCCCACATCTGACCTTTCTGGGTGGAGGCAGCTGGTGGCCCTGGGAATATAAAAATCTCCAGAATGATGACTCTGTGATTTGTGGGCAACTTATGAACCCGAAAGGACATGGCCATGGGGTGGGTAGGGACATAGGGACAGATGCCAGCCTGAGGTGGAGCCTCAGGACACAGGTGGGCACGGACACTATCCACATAAGCGAGGGATAGACCCGAGTGTCCCCACAGCAGACCTGAGAGCGCTGGGCCCACAGCCTCCCCTCAGAGCCCTGCTGCCTCCTCCGGTCAGCCCTGGACATCCCAGGTTTCCCCAGGCCTGCCGGTAGGTTTAGAATGAGGTCTGTGTCACTGTGGTATTACGATATTTTGACTGGTTATTATAACCACAGTGTCACAGAGTCCATCAAAAACCCATGCCTGGAAGCTTCCCGCCACAGCCCTCCCCATGGGGCCCTGCTGCCTCCTCAGGTCAGCCCCGGACATCCCGGGTTTCCCCAGGCTGGGCGGTAGGTTTGGGGTGAGGTCTGTGTCACTGTGGTATTACTATGGTTCGGGGAGTTATTATAACCACAGTGTCACAGAGTCCATCAAAAACCCATCCCTGGGAGCCTCCCGCCACAGCCCTCCCTGCAGGGGACCGGTACGTGCCATGTTAGGATTTTGATCGAGGAGACAGCACCATGGGTATGGTGGCTACCACAGCAGTGCAGCCTGTGACCCAAACCCGCAGGGCAGCAGGCACGATGGACAGGCCCGTGACTGACCACGCTGGGCTCCAGCCTGCCAGCCCTGGAGATCATGAAACAGATGGCCAAGGTCACCCTACAGGTCATCCAGATCTGGCTCCGAGGGGTCTGCATCGCTGCTGCCCTCCCAACGCCAGTCCAAATGGGACAGGGACGGCCTCACAGCACCATCTGCTGCCATCAGGCCAGCGATCCCAGAAGCCCCTCCCTCAAGGCTGGGCCACATGTGTGGACACTGAGAGCCCTCATGTCTGAGTAGGGGCACCAGGAGGGAGGGGCTGGCCCTGTGCACTGTCCCTGCCCCTGTGGTCCCTGGCCTGCCTGGCCCTGACACCTGAGCCTCTCCTGGGTCATTTCCAAGACAGAAGACATTCCTGGGGACAGCCGGAGCTGGGCGTCGCTCATCCTGCCCGGCCGTCCTGAGTCCTGCTCATTTCCAGACCTCACCGGGGAAGCCAACAGAGGACTCGCCTCCCACATTCAGAGACAAAGAACCTTCCAGAAATCCCTGCCTCTCTCCCCAGTGGACACCCTCTTCCAGGACAGTCCTCAGTGGCATCACAGCGGCCTGAGATCCCCAGGACGCAGCACCGCTGTCAATAGGGGCCCCAAATGCCTGGACCAGGGCCTGCGTGGGAAAGGTCTCTGGCCACACTCGGGCTTTTTGTGAAGGGCCCTCCTGCTGTGTGACTACAGTAACTACCATAGTGATGAACCCAGTGGCAAAAACTGGCTGGAAACCCAGGGGCTGTGTGCACGCCTCAGCTTGGAGCTCTCCAGGAGCACAAGAGCCGGGCCCAAGGATTTGTGCCCAGACCCTCAGCCTCTAGGGACACCTGGGCCATCTCAGCCTGGGCTGGTGCCCTGCACACCATCTTCCTCCAAATAGGGGCTTCAGAGGGCTCTGAGGTGACCTCACTCATGACCACAGGTGACCTGGCCCTTCCCTGCCAGCTATACCAGACCCTGTCTTGACAGATGCCCCGATTCCAACAGCCAATTCCTGGGACCCTGAATAGCTGTAGACACCAGCCTCATTCCAGTACCTCCTGCCAATTGCCTGGATTCCCATCCTGGCTGGAATCAAGAAGGCAGCATCCGCCAGGCTCCCAACAGGCAGGACTCCCGCACACCCTCCTCTGAGAGGCCGCTGTGTTCCGCAGGGCCAGGCCCTGGACAGTTCCCCTCACCTGCCACTAGAGAAACACCTGCCATTGTCGTCCCCACCTGGAAAAGACCACTCGTGGAGCCCCCAGCCCCAGGTACAGCTGTAGAGAGAGTCCTCGAGGCCCCTAAGAAGGAGCCATGCCCAGTTCTGCCGGGACCCTCGGCCAGGCCGACAGGAGTGGACGCTGGAGCTGGGCCCACACTGGGCCACATAGGAGCTCACCAGTGAGGGCAGGAGAGCACATGCCGGGGAGCACCCAGCCTCCTGCTGACCAGAGGCCTGCCCCAGAGCCCAGGAGGCTGCAGAGGCCTCTCCAGGGAGACACTGTGCATGTCTGGTACCTAAGCAGCCCCCCACGTCCCCAGTCCTGGGGGCCCCTGGCTCAGCTGTCTGGACCCTCCCTGTTCCCTGGGAAGCTCCTCCTGACAGCCCCGCCTCCAGTTCCAGGTGTGGTTATTGTCAGGCGATGTCAGACTGTGGTGGATATAGTGGCTACGATTACCACAGTGGTGCCGCCCATAGCAGCAACCAGGCCAAGTAGACAGGCCCCTGCTGCGCAGCCCCAGGCATCCACTTCACCTGCTTCTCCTGGGGCTCTCAAGGCTGCTGTCTGTCCTCTGGCCCTCTGTGGGGAGGGTTCCCTCAGTGGGAGGTCTGTGCTCCAGGGCAGGGATGATTGAGATAGAAATCAAAGGCTGGCAGGGAAAGGCAGCTTCCCGCCCTGAGAGGTGCAGGCAGCACCACGGAGCCACGGAGTCACAGAGCCACGGAGCCCCCATTGTGGGCATTTGAGAGTGCTGTGCCCCCGGCAGGCCCAGCCCTGATGGGGAAGCCTGTCCCATCCCACAGCCCGGGTCCCACGGGCAGCGGGCACAGAAGCTGCCAGGTTGTCCTCTATGATCCTCATCCCTCCAGCAGCATCCCCTCCACAGTGGGGAAACTGAGGCTTGGAGCACCACCCGGCCCCCTGGAAATGAGGCTGTGAGCCCAGACAGTGGGCCCAGAGCACTGTGAGTACCCCGGCAGTACCTGGCTGCAGGGATCAGCCAGAGATGCCAAACCCTGAGTGACCAGCCTACAGGAGGATCCGGCCCCACCCAGGCCACTCGATTAATGCTCAACCCCCTGCCCTGGAGACCTCTTCCAGTACCACCAGCAGCTCAGCTTCTCAGGGCCTCATCCCTGCAAGGAAGGTCAAGGGCTGGGCCTGCCAGAAACACAGCACCCTCCCTAGCCCTGGCTAAGACAGGGTGGGCAGACGGCTGTGGACGGGACATATTGCTGGGGCATTTCTCACTGTCACTTCTGGGTGGTAGCTCTGACAAAAACGCAGACCCTGCCAAAATCCCCACTGCCTCCCGCTAGGGGCTGGCCTGGAATCCTGCTGTCCTAGGAGGCTGCTGACCTCCAGGATGGCTCCGTCCCCAGTTCCAGGGCGAGAGCAGATCCCAGGCAGGCTGTAGGCTGGGAGGCCACCCCTGCCCTTGCCGGGGTTGAATGCAGGTGCCCAAGGCAGGAAATGGCATGAGCACAGGGATGACCGGGACATGCCCCACCAGAGTGCGCCCCTTCCTGCTCTGCACCCTGCACCCCCCAGGCCAGCCCACGACGTCCAACAACTGGGCCTGGGTGGCAGCCCCACCCAGACAGGACAGACCCAGCACCCTGAGGAGGTCCTGCCAGGGGGAGCTAAGAGCCATGAAGGAGCAAGATATGGGGCCCCCGATACAGGCACAGATGTCAGCTCCATCCAGGACCACCCAGCCCACACCCTGAGAGGAACGTCTGTCTCCAGCCTCTGCAGGTCGGGAGGCAGCTGACCCCTGACTTGGACCCCTATTCCAGACACCAGACAGAGGCGCAGGCCCCCCAGAACCAGGGTTGAGGGACGCCCCGTCAAAGCCAGACAAAACCAAGGGGTGTTGAGCCCAGCAAGGGAAGGCCCCCAAACAGACCAGGAGGTTTCTGAAGGTGTCTGTGTCACAGTGGGGTATAGCAGCAGCTGGTACCACAGTGACACTCACCCAGCCAGAAACCCCATTCCAAGTCAGCGGAAGCAGAGAGAGCAGGGAGGACACGTTTAGGATCTGAGACTGCACCTGACACCCAGGCCAGCAGACGTCTCCCCTCCAGGGCACCCCACCCTGTCCTGCATTTCTGCAAGATCAGGGGCGGCCTGAGGGGGGGTCTAGGGTGAGGAGATGGGTCCCCTGTACACCAAGGAGGAGTTAGGCAGGTCCCGAGCACTCTCCCCATTGAGGCTGACCTGCCCAGAGAGTCCTGGGCCCACCCCACACACCGGGGCGGAATGTGTGCAGGCCTCGGTCTCTGTGGGTGTTCCGCTAGCTGGGGCTCACAGTGCTCACCCCACACCTAAAATGAGCCACAGCCTCCGGAGCCCCCGCAGGAGACCCCGCCCACAAGCCCAGCCCCCACCCAGGAGGCCCCAGAGCTCAGGGCGCCCCGTCGGATTCCGAACAGCCCCGAGTCACAGCGGGTATAACCGGAACCACCACTGTCAGAATAGCTACGTCAAAAACTGTCCAGTGGCCACTGCCGGAGGCCCCGCCAGAGAGGGCAGCAGCCACTCTGATCCCATGTCCTGCCGGCTCCCATGACCCCCAGCACGCGGAGCCCCACAGTGTCCCCACTGGATGGGAGGACAAGAGCTGGGGATTCCGGCGGGTCGGGGCAGGGGCTTGATCGCATCCTTCTGCCGTGGCTCCAGTGCCCCTGGCTGGAGTTGACCCTTCTGACAAGTGTCCTCAGAGAGACAGGCATCACCGGCGCCTCCCAACATCAACCCCAGGCAGCACAGGCACAAACCCCACATCCAGAGCCAACTCCAGGAGCAGAGACACCCCAATACCCTGGGGGACCCCGACCCTGATGACTTCCCACTGGAATTCGCCGTAGAGTCCACCAGGACCAAAGACCCTGCCTCTGCCTCTGTCCCTCACTCAGGACCTGCTGCCGGGCGAGGCCTTGGGAGCAGACTTGGGCTTAGGGGACACCAGTGTGACCCCGACCTTGACCAGGACGCAGACCTTTCCTTCCTTTCCTGGGGCAGCACAGACTTTGGGGTCTGGGCCAGGAGGAACTTCTGGCAGGTCGCCAAGCACAGAGGCCACAGGCTGAGGTGGCCCTGGAAAGACCTCCAGGAGGTGGCCACTCCCCTTCCTCCCAGCTGGACCCCATGTCCTCCCCAAGATAAGGGTGCCATCCAAGGCAGGTGCTCCTTGGAGCCCCATTCAGACTCCTCCCTGGACCCCACTGGGCCTCAGTCCCAGCTCTGGGGATGAAGCCACCACAAGCACACCAGGCAGCCCAGGCCCAGCCACCCTGCAGTGCCCAAGCACACACTCTGGAGCAGAGCAGGGTGCCTCTGGGAGGGGCTGAGCTCCCCACCCCACCCCCACCTGCACACCCCACCCACCCCTGCCCAGCGGCTCTGCAGGAGGGTCAGAGCCCCACATGGGGTATGGACTTAGGGTCTCACTCACGTGGCTCCCATCATGAGTGAAGGGGCCTCAAGCCCAGGTTCCCACAGCAGCGCCTGTCGCAAGTGGAGGCAGAGGCCCGAGGGCCACCCTGACCTGGTCCCTGAGGTTCCTGCAGCCCAGGCTGCCCTGCTGTCCCTGGGAGGCCTGGGCTCCACCAGACCACAGGTCCAGGGCACCGGGTGCAGGAGCCACCCACACACAGCTCACAGGAAGAAGATAAGCTCCAGACCCCCAGGGCCAGAACCTGCCTTCCTGCTACTGCTTCCTGCCCCAGACCTGGGCGCCCTCCCCCGTCCACTTACACACAGGCCAGGAAGCTGTTCCCACACAGAACAACCCCAAACCAGGACCGCCTGGCACTCAGGTGGCTGCCATTTCCTTCTCCATTTGCTCCCAGCGCCTCTGTCCTCCCTGGTTCCTCCTTCGGGGGAACAGCCTGTGCAGCCAGTCCCTGCAGCCCACACCCTGGGGAGACCCAACCCTGCCTGGGGCCCTTCCAACCCTGCTGCTCTTACTGCCCACCCAGAAAACTCTGGGGTCCTGTCCCTGCAGTCCCTACCCTGGTCTCCACCCAGACCCCTGTGTATCACTCCAGACACCCCTCCCAGGCCAACCCTGCACCTGCAGGCCCTGTCCTCTTCTGTCGCTAGAGCCTCAGTTTCTCCCCCCTGTGCCCACACCCTACCTCCTCCTGCCCACAACTCTAACTCTTCTTCTCCTGGAGCCCCTGAGCCATGGCATTGACCCTGCCCTCCCACCACCCACAGCCCATGCCCTCACCTTCCTCCTGGCCACTCCGACCCCGCCCCCTCTCAGGCCAAGCCCTGGTATTTCCAGGACAAAGGCTCACCCAAGTCTTTCCCAGGCAGGCCTGGGCTCTTGCCCTCACTTCCCGGTTACACGGGAGCCTCCTGTGCACAGAAGCAGGGAGCTCAGCCCTTCCACAGGCAGAAGGCACTGAAAGAAATCGGCCTCCAGCACCTTGACACACGTCCCCCCGTGTCTCTCACTGCCCGCACCTGCAGGGAGGCTCCGCACTCCCTCTAAAGACAAGGGATCCAGGCAGCAGCATCACGGGAGAATGCAGGGCTCCCAGACATCCCAGTCCTCTCACAGGCCTCTCCTGGGAAGAGACCTGCAGCCACCACCAAACAGCCACAGAGGCTGCTGGATAGTAACTGAGTCAATGACCGACCTGGAGGGCAGGGGAGCAGTGAGCCGGAGCCCATACCATAGGGACAGAGACCAGCCGCTGACATCCCGAGCTCCTCAATGGTGGCCCCATAACACACCTAGGAAACATAACACACCCACAGCCCCACCTGGAACAGGGCAGAGACTGCTGAGCCCCCAGCACCAGCCCCAAGAAACACCAGGCAACAGTATCAGAGGGGGCTCCCGAGAAAGAGAGGAGGGGAGATCTCCTTCACCATCAAATGCTTCCCTTGACCAAAAACAGGGTCCACGCAACTCCCCCAGGACAAAGGAGGAGCCCCCTATACAGCACTGGGCTCAGAGTCCTCTCTGAGACACCCTGAGTTTCAGACAACAACCCGCTGGAATGCACAGTCTCAGCAGGAGAACAGACCAAAGCCAGCAAAAGGGACCTCGGTGACACCAGTAGGGACAGGAGGATTTTGTGGGGGCTCGTGTCACTGTGAGGATATTGTAGTGGTGGTAGCTGCTACTCCCACAGTGACACAGACCCATTCCCAAAGCCCTACTGCAAACACACCCACTCCTGGGGCTGAGGGGCTGGGGGAGCGTCTGGGAAGTAGGGTCCAGGGGTGTCTATCAATGTCCAAAATGCACCAGACTGCCCGCCAAACACCACCCCACCAGCCAGCGAGCAGGGTAAACAGAAAATGAGAGGCTCTGGGAAGCTTGCACAGGCCCCAAGGAAAGAGCTTTGGCGGGTGTGCAAGAGGGGATGCAGGCAGAGCCTGAGCAGGGCCTTTTGCTGTTTCTGCTTTCCTGTGCAGAGAGTTCCATAAACTGGTGTTCAAGATCAGTGGCTGGGAATGAGCCCAGGAGGGCAGTCTGTGGGAAGAGCACAGGGAAGGAGGAGCAGCCGCTATCCTACACTGTCATCTTTCAAAAGTTTGCCTTGTGACCACACTATTGCATCATGGGATGCTTAAGAGCTGATGTAGACACAGCTAAAGAGAGAATCAGTGAGATGAATTTGCAGCATAGATCTGAATAAACTCTCCAGAATGTGGAGCAGTACAGAAGCAAACACACAGAAAGTGCCTGATGCAAGGACAAAGTTCAGTGGGCACCTTCAGGCATTGCTGCTGGGCACAGACACTCTGAAAAGCCCTGGCAGGATCTCCCTGCGACAAAGCAGAACCCTCAGGCAATGCCAGCCCCAGAGCCCTCCCTGAGAGCGTCATGGGGAAAGATGTGCAGAACAGCTGATTATCATAGACTCAAACTGAGAACAGAGCAAACGTCCATCTGAAGAACAGTCAAATAAGCAATGGTAGGTTCATGCAATGCAAACCCAGACAGCCAGGGGACAACAGTAGAGGGCTACAGGCGGCTTTGCGGTTGAGTTCATGACAATGCTGAGTAATTGGAGTAACAGAGGAAAGCCCAAAAAATACTTTTAATGTGATTTCTTCTAAATAAAATTTACACCAGGCAAAATGAACTGTCTTCTTAAGGGATAAACTTTCCCCTGGAAAAACTACAAGGAAAATTAAGAAAACGATGATCACATAAACACAGTTGTGGTTACTTCTACTGGGGAAGGAAGAGGGTATGAGCTGAGACACACAGAGTCGGCAAGTCTCCAAGCAAGCACAGAACGAATACATTACAGTACCTTGAATACAGCAGTTAAACTTCTAAATCGCAAGAAGAGGAAAATGCACACAGCTGTGTTTAGAAAATTCTCAGTCCAGCACTATTCATAATAGCAAAGACATTAACCCAGGTTGGATAAATAAATGATGACACAGGCAATTGCACAATGATACAGACATACATTTAGTACATGAGACATCGATGATGTATCCCCAAAGAAATGACTTTAAAGAGAAAAGGCCTGATGTGTGGTGGCACTCACCTCCCTGGGATCCCCGGACAGGTTGCAGGCACACTGTGTGGCAGGGCAGGCTGGTACATGCTGGCAGCTCCTGGGGCCTGATGTGGAGCAAGCGCAGGGCTGTATACCCCCAAGGATGGCACAGTCAGTGAATTCCAGAGAGAAGCAGCTCAGCCACACTGCCCAGGCAGAGCCCGAGAGGGACGCCCACGCACAGGGAGGCAGAGCCCAGCTCCTCCACAGCCACCACCACCTGTGCACGGGCCACCACCTTGCAGGCACAGAGTGGGTGCTGAGAGGAGGGGCAGGGACACCAGGCAGGGTGAGCACCCAGAGAAAACTGCAGAAGCCTCACACATCCACCTCAGCCTCCCCTGACCTGGACCTCACCTGGTCTGGACCTCACCTGGCCTGGGCCTCACCTGACCTGGACCTCACCTGGCCTGGGCTTCACCTGACCTGGACCTCACCTGGCCTCCGGCCTCACCTGCACCTGCTCCAGGTCTTGCTGGAACCTGAGTAGCACTGAGGCTGCAGAAGCTCATCCAGGGTTGGGGAATGACTCTGGAACTCTCCCACATCTGACCTTTCTGGGTGGAGGCATCTGGTGGCCCTGGGAATATAAAAAGCCCCAGAATGGTGCCTGCGTGATTTGGGGGCAATTTATGAACCCGAAAGGACATGGCCATGGGGTGGGTAGGGACATAGGGACAGATGCCAGCCTGAGGTGGAGCCTCAGGACACAGTTGGACGCGGACACTATCCACATAAGCGAGGGACAGACCCGAGTGTTCCTGCAGTAGACCTGAGAGCGCTGGGCCCACAGCCTCCCCTCGGTGCCCTGCTGCCTCCTCAGGTCAGCCCTGGACATCCCGGGTTTCCCCAGGCCAGATGGTAGGTTTGAAGTGAGGTCTGTGTCACTGTGGTATTATGATTACGTTTGGGGGAGTTATCGTTATACCCACAGCATCACACGGTCCATCAGAAACCCATGCCACAGCCCTCCCCGCAGGGGACCGCCGCGTGCCATGTTACGATTTTGATCGAGGACACAGCGCCATGGGTATGGTGGCTACCACAGCAGTGCAGCCCATGACCCAAACACACAGGGCAGCAGGCACAATGGACAGGCCTGTGAGTGACCATGCTGGGCTCCAGCCCGCCAGCCCCGGAGACCATGAAACAGATGGCCAAGGTCACCCCACAGTTCAGCCAGACATGGCTCCGTGGGGTCTGCATCGCTGCTGCCCTCTAACACCAGCCCAGATGGGGACAAGGCCAACCCCACATTACCATCTCCTGCTGTCCACCCAGTGGTCCCAGAAGCCCCTCCCTCATGGCTGAGCCACATGTGTGAACCCTGAGAGCACCCCATGTCAGAGTAGGGGCAGCAGAAGGGCGGGGCTGGCCCTGTGCACTGTCCCTGCACCCATGGTCCCTCGCCTGCCTGGCCCTGACACCTGAGCCTCTTCTGAGTCATTTCTAAGATAGAAGACATTCCCGGGGACAGCCGGAGCTGGGCGTCGCTCATCCCGCCCGGCCGTCCTGAGTCCTGCTTGTTTCCAGACCTCACCAGGGAAGCCAACAGAGGACTCACCTCACACAGTCAGAGACAAAGAACCTTCCAGAAATCCCTGTCTCACTCCCCAGTGGGCACCTTCTTCCAGGACATTCCTCGGTCGCATCACAGCAGGCACCCACATCTGGATCAGGACGGCCCCCAGAACACAAGATGGCCCATGGGGACAGCCCCACAACCCAGGCCTTCCCAGACCCCTAAAAGGCGTCCCACCCCCTGCACCTGCCCCAGGGCTAAAAATCCAGGAGGCTTGACTCCCGCATACCCTCCAGCCAGACATCACCTCAGCCCCCTCCTGGAGGGGACAGGAGCCCGGGAGGGTGAGTCAGACCCACCTGCCCTCGATGGCAGGCGGGGAAGATTCAGAAAGGCCTGAGATCCCCAGGACGCAGCACCACTGTCAATGGGGGCCCCAGACGCCTGGACCAGGGCCTGCGTGGGAAAGGCCGCTGGGCACACTCAGGGGCTTTTTGTGAAGGCCCCTCCTACTGTGTGACTACGGTGACTACCACAGTGATGAAACTAGCAGCAAAAACTGGCCGGACACCCAGGGACCATGCACACTTCTCAGCTTGGAGCTCTCCAGGACCAGAAGAGTCAGGTCTGAGGGTTTGTAGCCAGACCCTCGGCCTCTAGGGACACCCTGGCCATCACAGCGGATGGGCTGGTGCCCCACATGCCATCTGCTCCAAACAGGGGCTTCAGAGGGCTCTGAGGTGACTTCACTCATGACCACAGGTGCCCTGGCCCCTTCCCCGCCAGCTACACCGAACCCTGTCCCAACAGCTGCCCCAGTTCCAACAGCCAATTCCTGGGGCCCAGAATTGCTGTAGACACCAGCCTCGTTCCAGCACCTCCTGCCAATTGCCTGGATTCACATCCTGGCTGGAATCAAGAGGGCAGCATCCGCCAGGCTCCCAACAGGCAGGACTCCCGCACACCCTCCTCTGAGAGGCCGCTGTGTTCCGCAGGGCCAGGCCCTGGACAGTTCCCCTCACCTGCCACTAGAGAAACACCTGCCATTGTCGTCCCCACCTGGAAAAGACCACTCGTGGAGCCCCCAGCCCCAGGTACAGCTGTAGAGAGACTCCCCGAGGGATCTAAGAAGGAGCCATGCGCAGTTCTGCCGGGACCCTCGGCCAGGCCGACAGGAGTGGACACTGGAGCTGGGCCCACACTGGGCCACATAGGAGCTCACCAGTGAGGGCAGGAGAGCACATGCCGGGGAGCACCCAGCCTCCTGCTGACCAGAGGCCCGTCCCAGAGCCCAGGAGGCTGCAGAGGCCTCTCCAGGGGGACACTGTGCATGTCTGGTCCCTGAGCAGCCCCCCACGTCCCCAGTCCTGGGGGCCCCTGGCACAGCTGTCTGGACCCTCCCTCTTCCCTGGGAAGCTCCTCCTGACAGCCCCGCCTCCAGTTCCAGGTGTGGTTATTGTCAGGGGGTGTCAGACTGTGGTGGATACAGCTATGGTTACCACAGTGGTGCTGCCCATAGCAGCAACCAGGCCAAGTAGACAGGCCCCTGCTGTGCAGCCCCAGGCCTCCAGCTCACCTGCTTCTCCTGGGGCTCTCAAGGTCACTGTTGTCTGTACTCTGCCCTCTGTGGGGAGGGTTCCCTCAGTGGGAGGTCTGTTCTCAACATCCCAGGGCCTCATGTCTGCACGGAAGGCCAATGGATGGGCAACCTCACATGCCGCGGCTAAGATAGGGTGGGCAGCCTGGCGGGGGACAGTACATACTGCTGGGGTGTCTGTCACTGTGCCTAGTGGGGCACTGGCTCCCAAACAACGCAGTCCTCGCCAAAATCCCCACAGCCTCCCCTGCTAGGGGCTGGCCTGATCTCCTGCAGTCCTAGGAGGCTGCTGACCTCCAGAATGTCTCCGTCCCCAGTTCCAGGGCGAGAGCAGATCCCAGGCCGGCTGCAGACTGGGAGGCCACCCCCTCCTTCCCAGGGTTCACTGGAGGTGACCAAGGTAGGAAATGGCCTTAACACAGGGATGACTGCGCCATCCCCCAACAGAGTCAGCCCCCTCCTGCTCTGTACCCCGCACCCCCCAGGCCAGTCCACGAAAACCAGGGCCCCACATCAGAGTCACTGCCTGGCCCGGCCCTGGGGCGGACCCCTCAGCCCCCACCCTGTCTAGAGGACTTGGGGGGACAGGACACAGGCCCTCTCCTTATGGTTCCCCCACCTGCCTCCGGCCGGGACCCTTGGGGTGTGGACAGAAAGGACACCTGCCTAATTGGCCCCCAGGAACCCAGAACTTCTCTCCAGGGACCCCAGCCCGAGCACCCCCTTACCCAGGACCCAGCCCTGCCCCTCCTCCCCTCTGCTCTCCTCTCATCACCCCATGGGAATCCGGTATCCCCAGGAAGCCATCAGGAAGGGCTGAAGGAGGAAGCGGGGCCGTGCACCACCGGGCAGGAGGCTCCGTCTTCGTGAACCCAGGGAAGTGCCAGCCTCCTAGAGGGTATGGTCCACCCTGCCTGGGGCTCCCACCGTGGCAGGCTGCGGGGAAGGACCAGGGACGGTGTGGGGGAGGGCTCAGGGCCCTGCGGGTGCTCCTCCATCTTCGGTGAGCCTCCCCCTTCACCCACCGTCCCGCCCACCTCCTCTCCACCCTGGCTGCACGTCTTCCACACCATCCTGAGTCCTACCTACACCAGAGCCAGCAAAGCCAGTGCAGACAAAGGCTGGGGTGCAGGGGGGCTGCCAGGGCAGCTTCGGGGAGGGAAGGATGGAGGGAGGGGAGGTCAGTGAAGAGGCCCCCTTCCCCTGGGTCCAGGATCCTCCTCTGGGACCCCCGGATCCCATCCCCTCCTGGCTCTGGGAGGAGAAGCAGGATGGGAGAATCTGTGCGGGACCCTCTCACAGTGGAATATCCCCACAGCGGCTCAGGCCAGACCCAAAAGCCCCTCAGTGAGCCCTCCACTGCAGTCCTGGGCCTGGGTAGCAGCCCCTCCCACAGAGGACAGACCCAGCACCCCGAAGAAGTCCTGCCAGGGGGAGCTCAGAGCCATGAAAGAGCAGGATATGGGGTCCCCGATACAGGCACAGACCTCAGCTCCATCCAGGCCCACCGGGACCCACCATGGGAGGAACACCTGTCTCCGGGTTGTGAGGTAGCTGGCCTCTGTCTCGGACCCCACTCCAGACACCAGACAGAGGGGCAGGCCCCCCAAAACCAGGGTTGAGGGATGATCCGTCAAGGCAGACAAGACCAAGGGGCACTGACCCCAGCAAGGGAAGGCTCCCAAACAGACGAGGAGGTTTCTGAAGCTGTCTGTATCACAGTGGGGTATAGCAGTGGCTGGTACCACAGTGACACTCGCCAGGCCAGAAACCCCGTCCCAAGTCAGCGGAAGCAGAGAGAGCAGGGAGGACACGTTTAGGATCTGAGGCCGCACCTGACACCCAGGGCAGCAGACGTCTCCCCTCCAGGGCACCCTCCACCGTCCTGCGTTTCTTCAAGAATAGGGGCGGCCTGAGGGGGTCCAGGGCCAGGCGATAGGTCCCCTCTACCCCAAGGAGGAGCCAGGCAGGACCCGAGCACCGTCCCCATTGAGGCTGACCTGCCCAGACGGGCCTGGGCCCACCCCACACACCGGGGCGGAATGTGTGCAGGCCCCAGTCTCTGTGGGTGTTCCGCTAGCTGGGGCCCCCAGTGCTCACCCCACACCTAAAGCGAGCCCCAGCCTCCAGAGCCCCCTAAGCATTCCCCGCCCAGCAGCCCAGCCCCTGCCCCCACCCAGGAGGCCCCAGAGCTCAGGGCGCCTGGTCGGATTCTGAACAGCCCCGAGTCACAGTGGGTATAACTGGAACGACCACCGTGAGAAAAACTGTGTCCAAAACTGACTCCTGGCAGCAGTCGGAGGCCCCGCCAGAGAGGGGAGCAGCCGGCCTGAACCCATGTCCTGCCGGTTCCCATGACCCCCAGCACCCAGAGCCCCACGGTGTCCCCGTTGGATAATGAGGACAAGGGCTGGGGGCTCCGGTGGTTTGCGGCAGGGACTTGATCACATCCTTCTGCTGTGGCCCCATTGCCTCTGGCTGGAGTTGACCCTTCTGACAAGTGTCCTCAGAAAGACAGGGATCACCGGCACCTCCCAATATCAACCCCAGGCAGCACAGACACAAACCCCACATCCAGAGCCAACTCCAGGAGCAGAGACACCCCAACACTCTGGGGGACCCCAACCGTGATAACTCCCCACTGGAATCCGCCCCAGAGTCTACCAGGACCAAAGGCCCTGCCCTGTCTCTGTCCCTCACTCAGGGCCTCCTGCAGGGCGAGCGCTTGGGAGCAGACTCGGTCTTAGGGGACACCACTGTGGGCCCCAACTTTGATGAGGCCACTGACCCTTCCTTCCTTTCCTGGGGCAGCACAGACTTTGGGGTCTGGGCAGGGAAGAACTACTGGCTGGTGGCCAATCACAGAGCCCCCAGGCCGAGGTGGCCCCAAGAAGGCCCTCAGGAGGTGGCCACTCCACTTCCTCCCAGCTGGACCCCAGGTCCTCCCCAAGATAGGGGTGCCATCCAAGGCAGGTCCTCCATGGAGCCCCCTTCAGACTCCTCCCGGGACCCCACTGGACCTCAGTCCCTGCTCTGGGAATGCAGCCACCACAAGCACACCAGGAAGCCCAGGCCCAGCCACCCTGCAGTGGGCAAGCCCACACTCTGGAGCAGAGCAGGGTGCGTCTGGGAGGGGCTAACCTCCCCACCCCCCACCCCCCATCTGCACACAGCCACCTACCACTGCCCAGACCCTCTGCAGGAGGGCCAAGCCACCATGGGGTATGGACTTAGGGTCTCACTCACGTGCCTCCCCTCCTGGGAGAAGGGGCCTCATGCCCAGATCCCTGCAGCACTAGACACAGCTGGAGGCAGTGGCCCCAGGGCCACCCTGACCTGGCATCTAAGGCTGCTCCAGCCCAGACAGCACTGCCGTTCCTGGGAAGCCTGGGCTCCACCAGACCACAGGTCCAGGGCACAGCCCACAGGAGCCACCCACACACAGCTCACAGGAAGAAGATAAGCTCCAGACCCCAGGGCGGGACCTGCCTTCCTGCCACCACTTACACACAGGCCAGGGAGCTGTTCCCACACAGATCAACCCCAAACCGGGACTGCCTGGCACTAGGGTCACTGCCATTTCCCTCTCCATTCCCTCCCAGTGCCTCTGTGCTCCCTCCTTCTGGGGAACACCCTGTGCAGCCCCTCCCTGCAGCCCACACGCTGGGGAGACCCCACCCTGCCTCGGGCCTTTTCTACCTGCTGCACTTGCCGCCCACCCAAACAACCCTGGGTACGTGACCCTGCAGTCCTCACCCTGATCTGCAACCAGACCCCTGTCCCTCCCTCTAAACACCCCTCCCAGGCCAACTCTGCACCTGCAGGCCCTCCGCTCTTCTGCCACAAGAGCCTCAGGTTTTCCTACCTGTGCCCACCCCCTAACCCCTCCTGCCCACAACTTGAGTTCTTCCTCTCCTGGAGCCCTTGAGCCATGGCACTGACCCTACACTCCCACCCACACACTGCCCATGCCATCACCTTCCTCCTGGACACTCTGACCCCGCTCCCCTCCCTCTCAGACCCGGCCCTGGTATTTCCAGGACAAAGGCTCACCCAAGTCTTCCCCATGCAGGCCCTTGCCCTCACTGCCTGGTTACACGGGAGCCTCCTGTGCGCAGAAGCAGGGAGCTCAGCTCTTCCACAGGCAGAAGGCACTGAAAGAAATCGGCCTCCAGTGCCTTGACACACGTCCGCCTGTGTCTCTCACTGCCTGCACCTGCAGGGAGGCTCCGCACTCCCTCTAAAGATGAGGGATCCAGGCAGCAACATCACGGGAGAATGCAGGGCTCCCAGACAGCCCAGCCCTCTCGCAGGCCTCTCCTGGGAAGAGACCTGCAGCCACCACTGAACAGCCACGGAGGTCGCTGGATAGTAACCGAGTCAGTGACCGACCTGGAGGGCAGGGGAGCAGTGAACCGGAGCCCATACCATAGGGACAGAGACCAGCCGCTAACATCCCGAGCCCCTCACTGGCGGCCCCAGAACACCCCGTGGAAAGAGAACAGACCCACAGTCCCACCTGGAACAGGGCAGACACTGCTGAGCCCCCAGCACCAGCCCCAAGAAACACTAGGCAACAGCATCAGAGGGGGCTCCTGAGAAAGAGAGGAGGGGAGGTCTCCTTCACCATCAAATGCTTCCCTTGACCAAAAACAGGGTCCACGCAACTCCCCCAGGACAAAGGAGGAGCCCCCTGTACAGCACTGGGCTCAGAGTCCTCTCTGAGACAGGCTCAGTTTCAGACAACAACCCGCTGGAATGCACAGTCTCAGCAGGAGAGCCAGGCCAGAGCCAGCAAGAGGAGACTCGGTGACACCAGTCTCCTGTAGGGACAGGAGGATTTTGTGGGGGTTCGTGTCACTGTGAGCATATTGTGGTGGTGACTGCTATTCCCACAGTGACACAACCCCATTCCTAAAGCCCTACTGCAAACGCACCCACTCCTGGGACTGAGGGGCTGGGGGAGCATCTGGGAAGTATGGCCTAGGGGTGTCCATCAATGCCCAAAATGCACCAGACTCTCCCCAAGACATCACCCCACCAGCCAGTGAGCAGAGTAAACAGAAAATGAGAAGCAGCTGGGAAGCTTGCACAGGCCCCAAGGAAAGAGCTTTGGCAGGTGTGCAAGAGGGGATGTGGGCAGAGCCTCAGCAGGGCCTTTTGCTGTTTCTGCTTTCCTGTGCAGAGAGTTCCATAAACTGGTATTCAAGATCAATGGCTGGGAGTGAGCCCAGGAGGACAGTGTGGGAAGAGCACAGGGAAGGAGGAGCAGCCGCTATCCTACACTGTCATCTTTTGAAAGTTTGCCCTGTGCCCACAATGCTGCATCATGGGATGCTTAACAGCTGATGTAGACACAGCTAAAGAGAGAATCAGTGAAATGCATTTGCAGCACAGATCTGAATAAATCCTCCAGAATGTGGAGCAGCACAGAAGCAAGCACACAGAAAGTGCCTGATGCCAAGGCAAAGTTCAGTGGGCACCTTCAGGCATTGCTGCTGGGCACAGACACTCTGAAAAGCACTGGCAGGAACTGCCTGTGACAAAGCAGAACCCTCAGGCAATGCCAGCCCTAGAGCCCTTCCTGAGAACCTCATGGGCAAAGATGTGCAGAACAGCTGTTTGTCATAGCCCCAAACTATGGGGCTGGACAAAGCAAACGTCCATCTGAAGGAGAACAGACAAATAAACGATGGCAGGTTCATGAAATACAAACTAGGACAGCCAGAGGACAACAGTAGAGAGCTACAGGCGGCTTTGCGGTTGAGTTCATGACAATGCTGAGTAATTGGAGTAACAGAGGAAAGCCCAAAAAATACTTTTAATGTGATTTCTTCTAAATAAAATTTACACCCGGCAAAATGAACTATCTTCTTAAGGGATAAACTTTCCCCTGGAAAAACTATAAGGAAAATCAAGAAAACGATGATCACATAAACACAGTGGTGGTTACTTCTACTGGGGAAGGAAGAGGGTATGAGCTGAGACACACAGAGTCGGCAAGTCTCCTAACAAGAACAGAACAAATACATTACAGTACCTTGAAAACAGCAGTTAAACTTCTAAATCGCAAGAAGAGGAAAATGCACACACCTGTGTTTAGAAAATTCTCAGTCCAGCACTGTTCATAATAGCAAAGACATTAACCCAGGTTGGATAAATAAGCGATGACACAGGCAATTGCACAATGATACAGACATACATTCAGTATATGAGACATCGATGATGTATCCCCAAAGAAATGACTTTAAAGAGAAAAGGCCTGATGTGTGGTGGCAATCACCTCCCTGGGCATCCCCGGACAGGCTGCAGGCTCACTGTGTGGCAGGGCAGGCAGGCACCTGCTGGCAGCTCCTGGGGCCTGATGTGGAGCAGGCACAGAGCTGTATATCCCCAAGGAAGGTACAGTCAGTGCATTCCAGAGAGAAGCAACTCAGCCACACTCCCTGGCCAGAACCCAAGATGCACACCCATGCACAGGGAGGCAGAGCCCAGCACCTCCGCAGCCACCACCACCTGCGCACGGGCCACCACCTTGCAGGCACAGAGTGGGTGCTGAGAGGAGGGGCAGGGACACCAGGCAGGGTGAGCACCCAGAGAAAACTGCAGAAGCCTCACACATCCACCTCAGCCTCCCCTGACCTGGACCTCACCTGGCCTGGGCCTCACCTGACCTGGACCTCACCTGGCCTGGGCTTCACCTGGCCTGGGCTTCACCTGACCTGGACCTCACCTGGCCTCGGGCCTCACCTGGCCTGGGCTTCACCTGGCCTGGGCTTCACCTGACCTGGACCTCACCTGGCCTGGGCCTCACCTGACCTGGACCTCACCTGGCCTGGGCTTCACCTGGCCTGGGCTTCACCTGGCCTGGGCTTCACCTGACCTGGACCTCACCTGGCCTGGGCTTCACCTGACCTGGACCTCACCTGGCCTCGGGCCTCACCTGCACCTGCTCCAGGTCTTGCTGGAGCCTGAGTAGCACTGAGGCTGTAGGGACTCATCCAGGGTTGGGGAATGACTCTGCAACTCTCCCACATCTGACCTTTCTGGGTGGAGGCACCTGGTGGCCCAGGGAATATAAAAAGCCCCAGAATGATGCCTGTGTGATTTGGGGGCAATTTATGAACCCGAAAGGACATGGCCATGGGGTGGGTAGGGACAGTAGGGACAGATGTCAGCCTGAGGTGAAGCCTCAGGACACAGGTGGGCATGGACAGTGTCCACCTAAGCGAGGGACAGACCCGAGTGTCCCTGCAGTAGACCTGAGAGCGCTGGGCCCACAGCCTCCCCTCGGGGCCCTGCTGCCTCCTCAGGTCAGCCCTGGACATCCCGGGTTTCCCCAGGCCTGGCGGTAGGTTTGAAGTGAGGTCTGTGTCACTGTGGTATTACTATGATAGTAGTGGTTATTACTACCACAGTGTCACAGAGTCCATCAAAAACTCATGCCTGGGAGCCTCCCACCACAGCCCTCCCTGCGGGGGACCGCTGCATGCCGTGTTAGGATTTTGATCGAGGACACGGCGCCATGGGTATGGTGGCTACCACAGCAGTGCAGCCCATGACCCAAACACACGGGGCAGCAGAAACAATGGACAGGCCCACAAGTGACCATGATGGGCTCCAGCCCACCAGCCCCAGAGACCATGAAACAGATGGCCAAGGTCACCCTACAGGTCATCCAGATCTGGCTCCAAGGGGTCTGCATCGCTGCTGCCCTCCCAACGCCAAACCAGATGGAGACAGGGCCGGCCCCATAGCACCATCTGCTGCCGTCCACCCAGCAGTCCCGGAAGCCCCTCCCTGAACGCTGGGCCACGTGTGTGAACCCTGCGAGCCCCCCATGTCAGAGTAGGGGCAGCAGGAGGGCGGGGCTGGCCCTGTGCACTGTCACTGCCCCTGTGGTCCCTGGCCTGCCTGGCCCTGACACCTGAGCCTCTCCTGGGTCATTTCCAAGACATTCCCAGGGACAGCCGGAGCTGGGAGTCGCTCATCCTGCCTGGCTGTCCTGAGTCCTGCTCATTTCCAGACCTCACCAGGGAAGCCAACAGAGGACTCACCTCACACAGTCAGAGACAATGAACCTTCCAGAAATCCCTGTTTCTCTCCCCAGTGAGAGAAACCCTCTTCCAGGGTTTCTCTTCTCTCCCACCCTCTTCCAGGACAGTCCTCAGCAGCATCACAGCGGGAACGCACATCTGGATCAGGACGGCCCCCAGAACACGCGATGGCCCATGGGGACAGCCCAGCCCTTCCCAGACCCCTAAAAGGTATCCCCACCTTGCACCTGCCCCAGGGCTCAAACTCCAGGAGGCCTGACTCCTGCACACCCTCCTGCCAGATATCACCTCAGCCCCCTCCTGGAGGGGACAGGAGCCCGGGAGGGTGAGTCAGACCCACCTGCCCTCAATGGCAGGCGGGGAAGATTCAGAAAGGCCTGAGATCCCCAGGACGCAGCACCACTGTCAATGGGGGCCCCAGACGCCTGGACCAGGGCCTGTGTGGGAAAGGCCTCTGGCCACACTCAGGGGCTTTTTGTGAAGGGCCCTCCTGCTGTGTGACTACGGTGGTAACTCCCACAGTGATGAAACCAGCAGCAAAAACTGACCGGACTCGCAGGGTTTATGCACACTTCTCGGCTCGGAGCTCTCCAGGAGCACAAGAGCCAGGCCCGAGGGTTTGTGCCCAGACCCTCGGCCTCTAGGGACACCCGGGCCATCTTAGCCGATGGGCTGATGCCCTGCACACCGTGTGCTGCCAAACAGGGGCTTCAGAGGGCTCTGAGGTGACTTCACTCATGACCACAGGTGCCCTGGTCCCTTCACTGCCAGCTGCACCAGACCCTGTTCCGAGAGATGCCCCAGTTCCAAAAGCCAATTCCTGGGGCCGGGAATTACTGTAGACACCAGCCTCATTCCAGTACCTCCTGCCAATTGCCTGGATTCCCATCCTGGCTGGAATCAAGAGGGCAGCATCCGCCAGGCTCCCAACAGGCAGGACTCCCACACACCCTCTTCTGAGAGGCCGCTGTGTTCCGCAGGGCCAGGCCGCAGACAGTTCCCCTCACCTGCCCATGTAGAAACACCTGCCATTGTCGTCCCCACCTGGCAAAGACCACTTGTGGAGCCCCCAGCCCCAGGTACAGCTGTAGAGAGAGTCCTCGAGGCCCCTAAGAAGGAGCCATGCCCAGTTCTGCTGGGACCCTCGGCCAGGCCGACAGGAGTGGACGCTGGAGCTGGGCCCACACTGGGCCACATAGGAGCTCACCAGTGAGGGCAGGAGAGCACATGCCGGGGAGCACCCAGCCTCCTGCTGACCAGAGACCCGTCCCAGAGCCCAGGAGGCTGCAGAGGCCTCTCCAGGGGGACACAGGGCATGTCTGGTCCCTGAGCAGCCCCCAGGCTCTCTAGCACTGGGGGCCCCTGGCACAGCTGTCTGGACCCTCCCTGTTCCCTGGGAAGCTCCTCCTGACAGCCCCGCCTCCAGTTCCAGGTGTGGTTATTGTCAGGGGGTGCCAGGCCGTGGTAGAGATGGCTACAATTACCACAGTGGTGCCGCCCATAGCAGCAACCAGGCCAAGTAGACAGACCCCTGCCACGCAGCCCCAGGCCTCCAGCTCACCTGCTTCTCCTGGGGCTCTCAAGGCTGCTGTCTGCCCTCTGGCCCTCTGTGGGGAGGGTTCCCTCAGTGGGAGGTCTGTGCTCCAGGGCAGGGATGACTGAGATAGAAATCAAAGGCTGGCAGGGAAAGGCAGCTTCCCGCCCTGAGAGGTGCAGGCAGCACCACAGAGCCATGGAGTCACAGAGCCACGGAGCCCCCAGTGTGGGCGTGTGAGGGTGCTGGGCTCCCGGCAGGCCCAGCCCTGATGGGGAAGCCTGCCCCGTCCCACAGCCCAGGTCCCCAGGGGCAGCAGGCACAGAAGCTGCCAAGCTGTGCTCTACGATCCTCATCCCTCCAGCAGCATCCACTCCACAGTGGGGAAACTGAGCCTTGGAGAACCACCCAGCCCCCTGGAAACAAGGCGGGGAGCCCAGACAGTGGGCCCAGAGCACTGTGTGTATCCTGGCACTAGGTGCAGGGACCACCCGGAGATCCCCATCACTGAGTGGCCAGCCTGCAGAAGGACCCAACCCCAACCAGGCCGCTTGATTAAGCTCCATCCCCCTGTCCTGGGAACCTCTTCCCAGCGCCACCAACAGCTCGGCTTCCCAGGCCCTCATCCCTCCAAGGAAGGCCAAAGGCTGGGCCTGCCAGGGGCACAGTACCCTCCCTTGCCCTGGCTAAGACAGGGTGGGCAGACGGCTGCAGATAGGACATATTGCTGGGGCATCTTGCTCTGTGACTACTGGGTACTGGCTCTCAACGCAGACCCTACCAAAATCCCCACTGCCTCCCCTGCTAGGGGCTGGCCTGGTCTCCTCCTGCTGTCCTAGGAGGCTGCTGACCTCCAGGATGGCTTCTGTCCCCAGTTCTAGGGCCAGAGCAGATCCCAGGCAGGCTGTAGGCTGGGAGGCCACCCCTGTCCTTGCCGAGGTTCAGTGCAGGCACCCAGGACAGGAAATGGCCTGAACACAGGGATGACTGTGCCATGCCCTACCTAAGTCCGCCCCTTTCTACTCTGCAACCCCCACTCCCCAGGTCAGCCCATGACGACCAACAACCCAACACCAGAGTCACTGCCTGGCCCTGCCCTGGGGAGGACCCCTCAGCCCCCACCCTGTCTAGAGGACTTGGGGGGACAGGACACAGGCCCTCTCCTTATGGTTCCCCCACCTGGCTCCTGCCGGGACCCTTGGGGTGTGGACAGAAAGGACGCCTGCCTAATTGGCCCCCAGGAACCCAGAACTTCTCTCCAGGGACCCCAGCCCGAGCACCCCCTTACCCAGGACCCAGCCCTGCCCCTCCTCCCCTCTGCTCTCCTCTCATCACTCCATGGGAATCCAGAATCCCCAGGAAGCCATCAGGAAGGGCTGAAGGAGGAAGCGGGGCCGCTGCACCACCGGGCAGGAGGCTCCGTCTTCGTGAACCCAGGGAAGTGCCAGCCTCCTAGAGGGTATGGTCCACCCTGCCTGGGGCTCCCACCGTGGCAGGCTGCGGGGAAGGACCAGGGACGGTGTGGGGGAGGGCTCAGGTCCCTGCAGGTGCTCCATCTTGGATGAGCCCATCCCTCTCACCCACCGACCCGCCCACCTCCTCTCCACCCTGGCCACACGTCGTCCACACCATCCTGAGTCCCACCTACACCAGAGCCGGCAGAGCCAGTGCAGACAGAGGCTGGGGTGCAGGGGGGCCGCCAGGGCAGCTTTGGGGAGGGAGGAATGGAGGAAGGGGAGGTCAGTGAAGAGGCCCCCCTCCCCTGGGTCTAGGATCCACCTTTGGGACCCCCGGATCCCATCCCCTCCAGGCTCTGGGAGGAGAAGCAGGATGGGAGAATCTGTGCGGGACCCTCTCACAGTGGAATACCTCCACAGCGGCTCAGGCCAGATACAAAAGCCCCTCAGTGAGCCCTCCACTGCAGTGCTGGGCCTGGGGGCAGCCCCTCCCACAGAGGACAGACCCAGCACCCCGAAGAAGTCCTGCCAGGGGGAGCTCAGAGCCATGAAGGAGCAAGATATGGGGACCCCAATACTGGCACAGACCTCAGCTCCATCCAGGCCCACCAGGACCCACCATGGGTGGAACACCTGTCTCCGGCCCCTGCTGGCTGTGAGGCAGCTGGCCTCTGTCTCGGACCCCCATTCCAGACACCAGACAGAGGGACAGGCCCCCCAGAACCAGTGTTGAGGGACACCCCTGTCCAGGGCAGCCAAGTCCAAGAGGCGCGCTGAGCCCAGCAAGGGAAGGCCCCCAAACAAACCAGGAGGTTTCTGAAGCTGTCTGTGTCACAGTCGGGTATAGCAGCGGCTACCACAATGACACTGGGCAGGACAGAAACCCCATCCCAAGTCAGCCGAAGGCAGAGAGAGCAGGCAGGACACATTTAGGATCTGAGGCCACACCTGACACTCAAGCCAACAGATGTCTCCCCTCCAGGGCGCCCTGCCCTGTTCAGTGTTCCTGAGAAAACAGGGGCAGCCTGAGGGGATCCAGGGCCAGGAGATGGGTCCCCTCTACCCCGAGGAGGAGCCAGGCGGGAATCCCAGCCCCCTCCCCATTGAGGCCATCCTGCCCAGAGGGGCCCGGACCCACCCCACACACCCAGGCAGAATGTGTGCAGGCCTCAGGCTCTGTGGGTGCCGCTAGCTGGGGCTGCCAGTCCTCACCCCACACCTAAGGTGAGCCACAGCCGCCAGAGCCTCCACAGGAGACCCCACGCAGCAGCCCAGCCCCTACCCAGGAGGCCCCAGAGCTCAGGGCGCCTGGGTGGATTCTGAACAGCCCCGAGTCACGGTGGGTATAGTGGGAGCTACTACCACTGTGAGAAAAGCTATGTCCAAAACTGTCTCCCGGCCACTGCTGGAGGCCCAGCCAGAGAAGGGACCAGCCGCCCGAACATACGACCTTCCCAGCCCTCATGACCCCCAGCACTTGGAGCTCCACAGTGTCCCCATTGGATGGTGAGGACGGGGGCCGGGGCCATCTGCACCTCCCAACATCACCCCCAGGCAGCACAGGCACAAACCCCAAATCCAGAGCCGACACCAGGAACACAGACACCCCAATACCCTGGGGGACCCTGGCCCTGGTGACTTCCCACTGGGATCCACCCCCGTGTCCACCTGGATCAAAGACCCCACCGCTGTCTCTGTCCCTCACTCAGGGCCTGCTGAGGGGCGGGTGCTTTGGAGCAGACTCAGGTTTAGGGGCCACCATTGTGGGGCCCAACCTCGACCAGGACACAGATTTTTCTTTCCTGCCCTGGGGCAACACAGACTTTGGGGTCTGTGCAGGGAGGACCTTCTGGAAAGTCACCAAGCACAGAGCCCTGACTGAGGTGGTCTCAGGAAGACCCCCAGGAGGGGGTTTGTGCCCCTTCCTCTCATGTGGACCCCATGCCCCCCAAGATAGGGGCATCATGCAGGGCAGGTCCTCCATGCAGCCACCACTAGGCAACTCCCTGGCGCCGGTCCCCACTGCGCCTCCATCCCGGCTCTGGGGATGCAGCCACCATGGCCACACCAGGCAGCCCGGGTCCAGCAACCCTGCAGTGCCCAAGCCCTTGGCAGGATTCCCAGAGGCTGGAGCCCACCCCTCCTCATCCCCCCACACCTGCACACACACACCTACCCCCTGCCCAGTCCCCCTCCAGGAGGGTTGGAGCCGCCCATAGGGTGGGCGCTCCAGGTCTCACTCACTCGCTTCCCTTCCTGGGCAAAGGAGCCTCGTGCCCCGGTCCCCCCTGACGGCGCTGGGCACAGGTGTGGGTACTGGGCCCCAGGGCTCCTCCAGCCCCAGCTGCCCTGCTCTCCCTGGGAGGCCTGGGCACCACCAGACCACCAGTCCAGGGCACAGCCCCAGGGAGCCGCCCACTGCCAGCTCACAGGAAGAAGATAAGCTTCAGACCCTCAGGGCCGGGAGCTGCCTTCCTGCCACCCCTTCCTGCCCCAGACCTCCATGCCCTCCCCCAACCACTTACACACAAGCCAGGGAGCTGTTTCCACACAGTTCAACCCCAAACCAGGACGGCCTGGCACTCGGGTCACTGCCATTTCTGTCTGCATTCGCTCCCAGCGCCCCTGTGTTCCCTCCCTCCTCCCTCCTTCCTTTCTTCCTGCATTGGGTTCATGCCGCAGAGTGCCAGGTGCAGGTCAGCCCTGAGCTTGGGGTCACCTCCTCACTGAAGGCAGCCTCAGGGTGCCCAGGGGCAGGCAGGGTGGGGGTGAGGCTTCCAGCTCCAACCGCTCCACTAGCCGAGACTAAGGAAGTGAGAGGCAGCCAGAAATCCAGACCATTCCATAGCAAATGGATTTCATTAAAGTTACCAGACTTCAGTGTAAGTAACATGAGCCCCATGCACAACAATCCCTTATGAAGGGGAAGTCAGTGTCGCCTCGGATTTCTTGAAAAACACAAAAACTTATCAATGCCTGTAAAAGTCTGTTGGAAAGAAAATATGATTCAAGAATGTTATGCCCAACAAAGCTGGCATATTTTCTACCCGGACACACTCAGGGAATGTGGTCCCTTGAGTGCTTCTCTCACTGCGTAAATCCTACGTGGTGTTTAAGCATATTCATAAATGTGTATGTCTATTTTTATGTGTAAGATGGTTCATTTTTATTTTATTTATTCAATATGTACAATAAAGAATATTGACAAATAGGCTGGACATGGTGGCTCCCACCTGTAATCCCAGCCCTTTGGGAGGCCGAGGCGGGCAGATCACCTGAGGTCTGGAGTTCGAGACCAGCCTGGCCAACATGATGAAAACCCATCTCTACTAAAAATACAAAGATTAGCCAGGCATGGTGGTGCATGCCTGTAATCCCAGCCACTCAGGAGGCTGAGACAGGAGAAATGCGTGAACCCGGAAGGCGGAGGTTGCAGTGAGCCGAGATCACACCACTGCACTCCAGCCTGGCGACAGAGCAAGATTCCATCTCAAAAAAAAAAAGACAAAGAAATTTGTTTTTTTGAATAAAGACAAATTTCATCACACGAAGATAAAGATGCAAAGCTCCAGACAGGAAGGCACGGACAGCACAGTGAAGCCCGGAGCGGGCGCTGGGGGGCCAGGGGCATGGCGGGGGTGCCAGCGTCTCTCGGTGCCTACCATGGCCACTCCAGCCTGTGTTCTCACGAGGATGGCTGTGCAATGCTAGGAGCGTGTTCGAAGCTCTAGGGCAACCACTGGAAGTGAGGCTGAGGAGCAGAGCCCAGAGGCCCGTGGAGCTGATGAAAAGAAAGCTGGAGAAAGTGTTTGCTGCCTCCCAACATGGTAAGAAAAGATAGAAAGAGAGAGCACACGGCAAAGGGAGCTTGCTGAGGGACTCTTTACAATGGCTTGCACAGAGCTCAGGGGGTCTGGGAGGCTAGGGCCCTGCGCAGGGCAGTCACCCCAGCCTGCTGACCAAGGTTTGCTGCAGGCAGCTCTGGGGGTGGTTGAGGCGCGGTCCCTGGAGCCACCCCTCAAGGGAACGAGGCAGCAGAGTGGGCCAAGGCCCAGGTCGGCTGCAAGGCTGCCCAGGACTTGGGGTCCTTACATCAGCAGCCACTGATGCAGCTGGCCCAGAGAGAGGCGCCGAGCAGGTTGCCTCCAGGGGACAAACCAGGTCGGAGAGGGTGAGGCAGTGGATGGAGCCACAACAACCCCGGGCACGGGTGACACGCACGTTCATGCACATCTGACCCTTCCTCCCTCACCAAACAGGTCCCCCTGCCTTCCCCATGGTTGCGAAAAAGCAAAATGTAGACGTTTTTTCTTTTTTAATTCATGTTTTAATTGACAAATGAAGCCGTATATATTTATTGTGTACAACATGATGCTTTAAAATATGTATACATCGTGGAACAGCAACGTTGAGCTAATTTAACACGCATTACTTCACATACTTGTCATCTTTTGTGGCGAGAATGCTTAAAATCCACTCTCTTAGTATTTTTTAAGAATGCAATACATTGTTGTCAACTGTGGTCACCGTCATGCATAGCCAAGCTCCCGACCTCACCCTCCTGCCAGCTCAGGCTGTGCATCCTTTCACCAGCATCCCCCACCCCGGCCCCTGGCCCTGGTAACTACCACTCTATACTCTACGTATGAGTTCAGCTTTTTAAGATTCCACAGATGAATGAGATCATACAGTATTTGCTTTCTATGCCTGGCTTATTTTAGTTAACACACTGTCCTCCAGATCCATCCGTTGTTGCAAATGACAGGGTTTCATTCTTTTTAAAGTCTAAAGAGTATTCCATTGTGTCAATGGACCTCATTTGCTTTATCCATGCATCAACTATGGACATTTAGGTTGATTCCATTTCTTAGCTGTTGTGGATGGTGCTGCAGTAAACATGGGGCTGCAGATGTCTCTTCAACATACTGACATCATGTCCTTTGGATAAATACCCAGTAGTGGGATCGCTGGATCACAATGTACAGTTTTTTTTTTAATGGAAACTTTCATTTTTTGGTGAAATTAGGAAAACAGATAAAACCCACAGAATCCAAAATATATGTGAAGATGCCAAAAACAGTTGACATTGGGCAGAGGTCACATGGAAGGAAGTGAATACATGACGGGGTGTGAGGGCCCAGAGGCAGCTGAAATACGCTTTCTAAACACAAGGACCTCTTCTGAGAGGGCAGAAGTTTTATCCTGCACATGCAATGACCAGCACAGCTAAAATACACTTTCTAAACATGAGGACCTCTTCTGAGAGGGCAGCTTTATCCTGCAAATGCAATGACCAGCACAGGACCCAGAATAAAGAGAGTTGCCAGCGGACGCCTGGTGTCCATGTGTCCAGGTGAGTTCGAGATGCGGACGGCGCTGGCCAGCCAGTCACACCCTAAGTCAATCTGCTGCATGCATTTGTCCTTGCCACAGCAGAAAACGAGAAAGCCTTTGGGCTGCAAAGCTTCACAGGCTCCTCTTCTCCCGACTCCATGGAAACAGCTACAAAGAGCAGGCCCAGTAGAGCTTAATTCATGAAAATGAGTAATAAACTTGAACTGGAACAGTATCGACTTTTTAGAAACGGCAGCAAAGTGTATAAAAAATATTCACCAGAACAATATTTCCAAACGATGAGATGAGAATTTCAGCCAAGTAATCCTCCATGGATAGAAAATAATGAAGGGATTGGATTTATGAAGGAAAATCATGGAGCTCAAATACAAGAGAAGAGAATCAAAAATGAACAGGAGGAGATAAAATATGGTTTGGCCAAAGTTACAAAATAAATTTTTTAAAAACCCTTCATCATGGCAAGTAGAAAGAGCGAGAGGAAAAACAGATCCCGTGGAAGACACAAATAGGACATGGGGAGAAAAATGAATGAGATGAAACAGAGCAGAAATAAAATTTTACGGAACTAAAGACAAGTGATCTGAACCTGCCTGGGGCCTGGGGGACCTCGCCACCCTGAAGGGAAAGAACATGCCTGGCTGGCTTTGCCACCTGCTCATTGCAGAGCCCCACAGCTTGCAACAAACATAGGCGGTAGCCAGGGAGTGGTTACAGCAGGCCTTGAGCAAGACCCAGTGTTGTGCTGACTTCAGGTCTGACCCAGCACTGTCATAGTGGTGGTGTCCATAGTGGTAGTGGGGGTGCTTGTGTCACTCCACCCCCATCTCCAGGAGGCTCAGAACAGACAGAGAGAGACTCCATTTGTTTGGGAGAAAGTAAGGGATGAGAACAAGAGTCTCTGCCTGGTAATCCAGAGAATTATTCTAGATCTTGGCCAAGATTATCAAAGCAGTACCTCTATGAGTCTTTTGGGCTTGGAGTCCCCCTAAAGCAGATATAGCTAAGATCACAACACCCAAGTCCTTTTGAATATGTGGGAAGACTTCCCAAGGACAGGAGCAAACAAACAAGCCCAGACTGCAAAAAAACAAGCCCAGACTGCAATAAACACCTCACTCTTCAATGCCCAGGCACTGAAGAACATCTCCTAGCAGCAACACCATCCAGGAAAACATGGCCTCAACCAGTGAACTAAATAAGGCACCAGGGACCAGTCTCGGAGAAATAGAGGTATGTTATCTTTCAGAGAATTCAAAGTAGCTTTGTTGAGGAAACTCAAAGAAATTCAAGATAACACAGTGAAGGAATTCAGAATCCTATCCGATAAATTTAACAGAGATTGAAGCAATTAAAAAGAATTAAGCAGAAATTATGGAGCTGAAAAATGCAATTGGCATACTGAAAAATGCATCAGAGTATTTTCATAGCCTCTTATATCAAGTAGAAGAAAGAATTAGTGAGCTTGAAAACAGGCTATTTGGAAAAGCACGATAAAAGGAGACAAAAGAGAAAAGAATAAATAACAATGAAGCATATCTACAGGATCTAGAAAATAGCCTCAAAAGGCCAAATCTAAGAATTATTAGCCTTAAAGAGGAGGTAGAGAAAGAGGGATGGAGAGTTTATTCAAAGGGATAATAACAGAAAACTTCCCAAACCTAGAGAAAGATATCAATATCCAAATGCAAGAAGGATGTAGTACACCAAGGAGATTTAATGCAAAGAAGACTACCTCAAGGCATTCAATACTCAAACTCCCATATGACAAGGACTTTAAAAAGATCCTAAAAGCAGCAAAAGAAAAGAAATGAATAAAATACTATGGAGCTCCAATATGTCTGGCAGCAGACTTTTCAGTGAAGACTTTATATGCCAGGAGAGAGTGTCATAATGGATTTAAAGTGCTGAAGGAAAAAACTTTTACCCTCGAACAGTATAGCTGGTGAAATTATCCTTCAAACATGAAGGAGAAATAATTTGTTTCCAGACAAATGTTGAGGGATTTCATGAACACCAGACCTGTCTTTTAAGAAATGCTAAAGGGAGTACTTCAATCAGAAAGAAACACGTTAGTGAACAATAAGAAATCATCTGAAGGCACAAAACTCACCGGTAATAGTAAGTACACAGAAAAACACAGAATATTATAACACTGTAACTGTGGTGTGTAAACTCCTTTTGTTTGTTTGTTTGTTTGTTTGTTTGTTTGTTTGTTTTTGTTTTTAGACGGAGTTTTGCTCCAGCCCAGGCTGGAGTGCAATGGCACAATCTCAGCTCACTGCAACTTCCACCTCCCGGGTTCAAGCAATTCTCCTGCCTCAGCCTCCCAAGTAGCTGGGATTACAGGCATGTGCTACCATGTCCAGCTAATTTTGTATTTTAGTAGAGACGGTGTTTCACCATGTTGGTCAGGCTAGCCTTATCTTGAGTAGAAAAACTAAATGATGAAGCAATGAAAAATAATAACTACAACTTTTCAAGACATAGTACAATAAGATATAAATCATAACAAAAAGTTAAAAGGTGGAGGGATGAAGTTAAGGCAAAGAGTCTTTATTAGTTTTCTTTTTACTTGTCTGTTTATGCAAACAGTGTTAAGTTGTCATCAGTTTAAAATAATGGGTCATAAGATACTATTTGCAAGCCTCATGGTAACGTCAAACCAAAAGCAATACAACAGATACACAAAAAACAAAAAGCAAGAAGCTAAATTACGTCATCAGAGAAAATCACCTTCACTAAAAGGAAGACGGAGAAAAGAATGAAGAGAGAGAAGACCAAAAGCAAATAGCAATATGGCAGGAGTAAGTCCTTACTTATCAATAATACCATTGAATGTAAATGGACTAAACTCTCCAATCAAAAGACATAGAGTGGCTGAATCAATTAAAGAAAAAACAAGACCCATTGATCTGTTGTCCACAAGAAACACACTTTATCTATAAAGACACACATAGACTGAAAACAAAGGGATGGAAAAAGATACTCCACGCCAATGGAAACCAAAGAAAGAGCAGGAGTAGCTACACTTATATCAGGCAAAATAGATTTCAAGACAAAAACTATAAGAAGAGACAAGGTCACTAATGATAAACAGGTCAATTCAGCAAGAGGATATAACAATTGTAAATATATATGCACCCAATGCTGGAGCACCCAGATATATAAAGCAAGTATTTACTAGAGCTAAAGAGAGAAATAGACTCCAATGCAATAATAGCTGGAGATTTCAACATCCCACTTTCAACATTGAACAGATCCTCCAGATAGAAAATCAACAAAGAAATATTGGACTTAATCTGCACTATCGACCAAATGGATCTAACAGATATTTACAGAACATTTCATCCAACAGCTGCAGAACACACATTCTTTTCCTCAGCACATAGATCATTCTCAAGGATAGACCATATGTTGGGTCACAAAACAAGTTTTAAAATATTCAAATACATTGAAATAATATCAAGCATCTTCTGTGACCACAATGGACTAAAACTAGAAATCAATAACAAGAGGAATTTTGGAAACTATATAAATATATGGAAATTAATGAATGCTGAGTGGGTCAATGAAGCAATTAAGAAGGAAACTGAAATTTTTCTTGGAACGAATGATCATGGAAACAGAAAATACCAAAACCTATGGGATACAGCAAAAGCAGTACTAAGAGGGAAGTTTACAGCTACAAATGCTTACATTAAAAAAGAAGAAAAACTTCAATAAAAAAACCTAACAATGCATCTTAAAGAACTAGAAAAGCAAGAGGAAATCAAATCCAAAATTAGTAGAAGAAAACAGTAAAGGTCAGAGCAGAAATAAGTAAAATTGAAATGAAGAAAACAATACAAAAGATCAATAAAACAACAGGTTGTTTTCTTGAAAAGTTAAACAAAATTGACAAACCTTTAGCCAGACTAAGAAAAAAAGACAGAAGATCCAAATAAATAAAATCAGAGATGAAAAAGGTGACATTACAACTTACACCACAGAAATTCAAAGGATCATTAGTGGCTACTATAAGCAACTATATGCCAATAAATTGGAAAATCTAGAAGAAATGCAGAAATTCCTAGACACATACAACCTCCCAAGATTAAACCAAGAAGAAATTCAAAACCTGAACAGACTGATAACAAGTAATGAGATCAAAGCCGTAATAAAAAGCCTCCCAGTAAAGAGAAGCCCAGGACCCGACGGCTTCACTGCTGAATTCTACCAAACATTTAAAGTAGAACTAATACCAATCCTACTCAAACTATTCCAAAAAATAGAGGTGGAAGGAATACTTCAAAACTCATTATACGAGGCCAGTATTAACCTGACACCAAAACTAGACAAAGACACATGAAAAAAAGAAAACTACAGGCCAATATGTCTGATGAATATTGACACAAAAATCCTCAACAAAATACTAGCAAACCAAATTCAACTACACATTAGAAAGTTCACTCATCATGACCAAGTGGAATTTATCTAACTTGGGATGCAAAGATGGTTCAACATATGCAAATCAATCAATGTGATACATCATATCAACAGAATGAACAACAAAAACCATTTGATCATTTAATTGATACTGAAAAAGCATTTGATAAAATTCAACATTCCTTCATAATAAAAATTCTCTTCTATACTAGGTACAAAAGAAACTTACCTCAACATAATAAAGCCATATATGACAGTCCCACAGTATGATACTAAATGAGGAAAAACTGAGAGCCTTTCCTCTACGATCTGGAACATGACAAAGATGCCCACTTTCATCACTGTTATTCAACATAGTACTGGAAGTCCTAGCTGGAGCGATCAGACAAGAGAAAGATATAAAAGACATCCAAATTGGAAAGGAATAAGTCAAATTATCCTCATTTGCATATGGTATGATCTTCTATTTAGAGCTAACTAAAGACTCCACCAAAAAAAGTTATTAGAACTGACGAACAAATTCAGTAAAGCTGCAGGATACAAAATCAACATACAAAAATCAGTAGCATTTCTATATGCCAACAATGACCAATGTGAAAAAGAAATTAAAAAGTAACCCTATTTACAATAACCACAAATAAACACCTAGGAATTAACCAAAGAGGTAAAAGATTTCTGTAATGAAAACTATAAAAACTGATGAAAGAAATTGAAGAGTACACCAAAAAATGGAAAGCAATTGCATGTTCATGGATTAGAAGAATCAGTGTTGTTATAATGTCCATACTATCCAAAGCAATCTACAGATTCAATGCAATCCTTATCAAAATACCAATGACATCATTCACAGAAATAGAAAAAAAAAATCCTAAAATTTACGTGGAACCACAAAGACCCAGAATAGCCAAAGCTCTCCTAAGCAAAAAGAACGAAACTGTAGGAATGACATTGCCTGTCTTCAAATTCTACTACAGAGCTATAGATAGTAACCAAAACAGCGTGGTACTAGCATAAAAACAGACACAGAGACAAACAGAACAAAATTTAAAAACCCAGAAATAAATCCACACACCTACAGCAAATTCATTTTTGACAAAGTTGCCAAGAACATACTCTGGGGAATAGATAATGATATCTCTTCAATAAATAATGTGGGGAAAACTGGATATCCATATACATAACAGTGAAACTAGACCCCTCTCTCTCTCACTATATACAAAAATCAAATCAAAATTGTTTAAGGACTTAAATCTAAGACCTCATACTATGAAACCACTGCAAGACAACCTTGGCGGAAACTCTCCAAGACATCAGTCCAGGCAAAGATTTCTTGAGTAATATCCCACAAGCACAGACAACCAAAGCAAAAATGGACAAATGGGATCACATCAAGTTAAAAAGCTTCTGCACAGTAAGGGAAACAACCAACAAAATGAAGAGACAACCCACAGAATGGGAGAAAATATTTGAAAAATACCCATCTGGCAAGGGATTAAAAACCAGAATATATGCAGAATATATAAGGAGCTCAAACAGTGCTATAGAAAAAAAAATCTAATAATCTGATTTAAAAATGGGAAAAATGTTAGAATAGACATTTCTTAAAATAAGACATACAGATGGCAAACCGACATGGAACGGTGCTCAACATCATGGATTATCACAGAAACACAATCAATCAAAACTAAAACTAAAATGTGCTATCATCTCACCCCAGTTAAAATGGCTGATATCCAGAAGACAGGCAATAACAAATGCTGGCAAGGATGTGGGGAAAAGGGAGCCCCCATACACTGTTGCTGGGATTGTAAATTAGTACAACCACTGTGGAGAGCAGCATGAAAGTTCCTCAAAAAACTGAAAGAAAGCTACCATAGGATCCAGCAATCCCACTGCTGTGTATATACTACAAAAGAAAGGAAGTCAGTATATGAAGAGGTATCTGCACTCCCATGTTTGTTGCAGCCCTGTTCACAACAGCCAAGATTTGGAAGCAACCTAAGTGTCCATCAGCAGTTGAATGTATAAAGAAAATGTGGTGCATATACACAATGGAGTATTATTCAATAATAAAAAGGAATGAGATTGAGTCATTTGCAACAACATGGATGGAACTGGAGATCATTATGTGAAGTGAAATAAGCCAGGCACAGAAAGACAAACATTACAATGTTCTTACTTATTAATGAGATCTAAAAATCAAAACAATTGCACCCATGTTCATAAAGAGTAAAAGGATGGTTACCAGATGCTGAGAACGGTGGTGGGGGGATAGGGAAAGGTGGCAGTGGTTAACGGGTACAAAAAAATAGAAAGAATGAATAAGACTTACTACTTGATAGCACAGCAAGGTGGCTATAGTCAGTAATTTAGTTGTATATTTTTAATAATGAAAGGTGTATAATTGGATTGTTTCTAACACAAAGGATAATGCTTAAGAGGATGGATACCCCATTTTCCATGATGTGATTATTTCACATTGCACGCCTAGATCAAAACATCCAATGTACCCCATAAATATATACATCTTCTATGT